>NC_000016.10:35184622-35784622 GCF_000001405.40 Homo sapiens
AGTGAGATCCATCCACATGACTGCCTGAACCTGCATCTTCTTCCTTCTTGTAGCTGAGGTCTGTTCTGCTCCCTTGCTCTCCCCCTGAAGTATTCCTGAAGCCAAAATGAAGGATGGGGAGGTGGGTGCTGACAGCGATTCCTCTTGGGGTGAAACCACACTGGGAGGATGCTGGGCTTGGCTAAACCTCTCCCCTCCCCTGAGTTCCATTTCAGCCAGAGATTGGCAAAGTACAACCTGTCTCCACCTGTGTTTGGGCCACCTGTGAGCCCAAACGGCTCAAAGAATGGATTCTACATTTCCAAAGGGTTGAACGAATCAAGAGGAAAATTATACTTCAGGACACTTTAAAATTGGGCACAAGAATGATACAATGGACTTTGGGGACTTGGGGGTAAGAGTGGGAGGGAGGCAAGAAATAAAAGACCATAAACATGGTGCAGTGTATACTACTTGGTGATGGGTGCACCAGAATCTCACAAATCACCACCAAAAAAACTTACTCATGTAACCAAATACCACCTGTACCCCAATAACTTATAGAAAAATAAAAAGTAAAAATAAAATAAACCCTTTGTGTCCATAAGTAAGTATTTTGGAAGTGCAGCCATGCCCATTCATTCACAAGTTGTCTGCAAAATGTTTCTCATGCTCAACTGCAGATTTGAGTCTTTGAGACAGAGACCAGTTGGCAAATCTGAAAATACTGACCACTGCGCCTTTATGGGGACAGTTTCCAGCCCCTGTTTTGAGGGTTGTCTGGTGAGATTCCAGGCTCTGTGTCAAATATTTCCCCACTCAGGGCCTGCTGTGGTCTCCACTGGTGTGTCTGGAAAGTGGGGGTGCCATGAAGCTTTCTGTGGGGTTGTTGAGTTCTGCTGAGACCCATTTTCAGTTGCCTGCCTAGGGTCATCTGACTCACCCACAGAGGTCCCAGAGCCTGAGCAGGGCCTGCAGAAGCAATTCGCATTTGGCAGCAGGAACACCATGGAACTGATGGGGTAACCTGCCCAGAGATGATCCCACGGGACCCACTGTCTGAGTCAAGATTGGCTCAGGGCTTGTGTTGTGGACCACATCCTGGTTGGGCTCCAGCATTTGCAGGTGCTGAAAATCTTCCCCAAAGATGCTGGGGCCAACAGCTGCTGCAATCAGCTCACACAGCACATGCTGTGCCCCTTGAGTGTGTAAGCAGGTAAGCACCTGCTGGGGCCATGCCAGGCTGGAAGGAGGAGGGGGCTGCTTAGCTTCCTGAGTGGCGGAGGGGACCATATGTGGCCTGGGGGTCTTGGTGTGTGTGGCTGCTTCACCCTTTGCCCCAAGGGCCTTGATGGTGTCAGTAGAGAGGAGGGCACCCCCAGGAGGTGCTGTCTGAATGAAGATCCCTGCCCCACCTGTGAGGGACACCTAGGGTCCTCCTGGGGCAGGTCAGAGGCTGAGTCTCAGGAGAAAAAGACCTTTCTTTCAGCTGAGAAACAGCTGGCAACTGGATGTGGGCCATTGCAGGCCACACCCACTCACATCCTCTCCTGCATTGCTGGCCACACCCACTCACATCCCCTCCTGCAATGCAGATGCTCCATCACTGGGAAATGAGAAAGATGGAAGGATGAAGCTAAGGCACAGGTGAGACCAGATTCCAGGCACAAGGCTGGCCAGGGGTATGGCCTGCTTCCCACCCACCAAGTACTCTCCTCAACAAGTGGGTGAGGAACCAAGGTCTCTAGAATGACTTTCCTGAGGTAATACCTTGGGTTGGGGTCCCCTCAGGGTGAAGCAGAGGCTGGGTCATCCATATGGCTCTGGATGCCTGGCCTTGGGCTCTGGGTTGCAGGCTGGAGATGAGAGGTGATACCTGTGCTAAAGATGGGGAGACTGAGACACAGGGCTCTGGGGCTCCAGGTGTGGTGAGAAGTCCAGGGCTGGCCTCCTCATGCCATTGGTATTGGGGACATTGGTATTGGCTCTGGGTGAGGTGGGCCACCTCAGGTATGAGTACAACAGGGCATGTGGGCTCAGGCAGTGACCATGGGGTGAGTGGACTAAGGAGTTAAAGGCATGAGGAGGTGACAGTCACAGCCCAGTGGGAGGGGAGGGTTACTGTGGGGGCTGTAAAGGGGGTGCCAGTGGCATTTCCCTGAGAATGGTCTGTGCATGTGAGAGAGCAGTCACGGGGACCATGCCCAGGCATTTAGGCCTGGAACAGTGGCAGGTGGACTTTGCCCAGCCATAGAGGGACCCATCAGAGAGGTGGGGCTTCTGGTTTTAGAGGAGGCAAAAGATGTGCTCATACAGATAGATCACGATGGGATGGACATGGGTGGGCAGCTACAACTTGGGGAGAGTGGTGTGTGGGCTGAGGCTTGGCCCCTCTGGGGTGAATGGGCAAGGAGGTGGGGAGGAACCAGCCAGAAAGACAAAGAAGGGGTAGACCTGGGGAGCAGATCCCAGGGTGGAAGCAAATATGGGGAGGAAAGAATGCTCAGAGATGATGAACATGTTCTGGCTCTGCCTCTGCCTGAATCCTGGTCCAGAGCACACACTCCTGTGCCCTCACCCCGAGTACCTGCTTGCACCTGCCTGCTTGGCCATTCCAGGCAGGAGTTCGGTGTCTGCTCTGCCTGGGCTCAGGCTGCGGGTCACTGGAGGGCCCATCAGAAGGCACCATCTGGCAGTGGGCAGCATTGAGTCCTTGTGATCTTCTTTTCCTGGGAACCATTTCTGCCACAGCCTACTGGGCTGCCTCCAACACCCCAAGGGTCTTCTAATCTCCACCCTGGGAGGCCAAGGAGGGCAGCTCAGAGCTCTGGGAGGTAGCTTTTTCCAGCATCTGTTCACACTGTTTCCACATGTGCCTCGGTGTCCTCCTCTGAGAGATGGGCATATCCTTGTGAGGGGATAGCAGGGAGGTCTCTGTGGAGAAGGGCTGACTTCCTCATCTGTTCTAAGGGCCCAGTGCATCCCTTCTAGGGGATGCTGGCGCAGGTTCCCCAGGAGTCCTGGCAGGAAGGCAGCTCTTATCCCAGCCTCAAGGAATGTGACAAAGTAGTTGAGCTGTGAGGGAGAAGGTGGCATCAGCCCTGGGCTTCTGAATGGGGGAGGTGGGGCCTCCAGGATGTCACCGTCAGTGGGTGCTTGTCAGGCCCTGGAGCTATGCAGAAGGTGGCCTGGGGTCTCAATTCTAGCGGGCTGATGCAGCCCACCTGGCTCTGAGGCTCCAGATTCTTCAGGTAGCTGGGCTCTCTCTATTGGCCAACTGCTCCCAAGGCCTGTCCAGGCTCCTCCACCCAGCTGGGCTTCCCCCTGGGTTCTGGGCTTCCCCCTTGGTGGAAGGGAAGAGAAAGGAAGGGTACTGCCTAGGTGGTAGGTGCTCCCTGCTGGGAGATGACCTTATTTCCTGATGGGTCCCAGGCCAGCTGGGAGCACTCTGGACCTCTCAGAAGGAGCAGCCTTTTGGGGGAATTAGAGGTGGGGGACACACATCTCAGTGCTGAGAATGTTGGGGGCAGGCTTACAAGGTGTCAAGGCCCCTGGGAGCCTCATTCAGCCCAGGTAGGGGTCCTTGAAACACTCTCCCTACACAGTAGGGAAAAGAGGCTGAGGTATTAGCAGGGGCAGCCTCAGAAGATGGATTGGGTCAAATGGGCCTCTGCTTCCTGCCTTCATGTACCTTATGGCCTTCATGTGCACCTTCACTGGGAAGGGCTCCTTGCTGGACTTGAGGACAAGAAGCAGCAAAACTCTTCATTTTCACCGCCTGTCTACCAGCAATCCCACTTCCTCCATCTCCTGGCTGAAGAAGGGCAAGGAGTTCCATTGACAGCATCACATCAGGGAATCAAGGTGGGCCTGGTGGGGGAGGTTGGGGAGTGGGGTCTGCCATTGCTCACTCGCCCTTCCACAGTGAGCTGTGACATCAGCAGTGGATTGGTGTCATTAAAAACATGGTGCTCTGAAACTGCTGGTACTCCACTAGTTGAACTTGTCATGGAGGACAAGTTTGACAGCGCCCAATAGACATACATGCTGGACAGGTGGGGTGAGGACTGAGCTCCGCCCTGGCCTGCCTATGCCAAGTGTTGTCCTCACAGATCCAGTGTGCCTGCGGGGCTGCCACCAACCACAAGGTGGTGCTGGGCTGGGAGGAGCAGTTCTGCTGCAGGGTGTACTGTGACAGCGTGGAGAGGTAAGTGACAGCAGGATGGGCCCATTGGCATGTCCTACATCACCATGCTCAAGGTGGGTGCCACTCCTGGCCATGCGCCGGGCTGGGGGCAGGGTGGAGGCTCCACTTTAATAAAATTTACCAGAATTATAGATTTTAGATTTAGATTTAGATTTTAGATTTTAAAGTAGCCTATGAAAGACAAAATTATGTCACCAGCCAGGAGACAACATCTTCAGCAGTTAGCAATTCTGGATACAAACCTGCTATTGGTTCATATAGCACTACTATTAACCAAAGTCCAAAATTAGATGCAGTTTATCCTAAAGTAAGAATATATGTGTCAGTCAATACTAATGGGAATCACTCCGGTCACTCTTGTCCCTAATAATCCTTTCAGAAACATTTGCTTTACCCTCTGCAACTCTGCACTGTCTGAATTCCTACACTGACTAAAAACCTTATGGGTGAATTTATAATTAATCTCACATATTTAACGAATATGATTTTATCTTAAGATCCACCATAAAATAATGCGACAAAGTGTATTTGAATTATAGAGGTAAAATGAAAACAAATTTGGATGGGCTATTCTTGAATATGTAGAATTAGTTATTTTTGTATTTATGAGTTTTATTAACCTATATTCATTAATAATGAAAATAATGCTAAAATACATTTTTTTCTGTCAAGCTTAAACTGATACACTTGCTAGTAAAGGAATGTAAACTAAATGAACATTGATGTCTATTCAAATTTAAAAAATATTTTAACAGTTCTTTCATTATAAAAGGCTTATGCTTGATTTGGTAAATTCACTCCTCAATATTTCTTTATTTTTGATACCATCACCAACAAAAATGTTTATTATTATTATTATTATTTTATAAAGAGAAAGTCTCACTCTGTGGCCCAGGCTGCAGTGCAGTGGCATGACTATGGCTCACTGCAGTCTCAACCTCCCAGGCTGAAGCCATTCTCCTATTTCAACCTCCTGAGTAGCTGGGACTACAGGTGTGCACCACCATGCCTGACTAATTTTTAATTTTTTTTTTTTTTTGTAGAGACAGCATCTCACTGTGTTTCCTAGGCTTGTCTCAAACCCTTGAGCTCAAATGATCCTCCAACCTTGGCCTCCCAAAAAGCTAAGGTTACAGATGTGAACAACCATGCCTGGCCTGAAATTGTTTTCTTAATTCACTTTCGGGTTTCTCATTGCTAGTATGTAAATGTACACTTAAAGTTTGTATATTGGTCTTGTATCTTGTGAAATTGCTCAACTCATTATTGACTCTAGTGGGCTTTTGTGAATTCCTTACAAATGTTTATATACAAGTTTATGTCATATGCAATAAAAGACAATTCTAAGCTCTTCAAATATGGAGAATTTTGTTTATTTTTCTTATGCATTTCCCTGGGTGATACATCTTGTTCCATGATGAATAGAGTGGTCTAGTGTACATTCTTATCTTGTTCTCAAATGTCAAGCACAAACAGCCAATATTTTTACCAGTATGATGTTAGCTGTAGGTTTTTTGTTGATTCCCTTTAGCAGATCTTGGAAGTTTTAGTTTTTTGTATTCTTAGTTTCCAGGGAGATTAATCTCGATTGAGCACTGAATTTGTCAGATGCTTTTCTGTGTCTATTAAAAGGATGTTTTTGTTGTTGCTTATCATATTATTTTTGTGTATTACATTGATTTTTGAGTGTTAGGTCAATATTACATTTGTGAAATAATTCCATGTGGCCATGGTGTACAATCATTTTAATATATTACTGGATTCAGCTCACTAGTATTTTTTGAGGATATCTGTGTTTGTTTATCAGGGATATTCATTTACAATTTTCTTTACTCCTGCTGCTTTTGTTTGGCTTTAGTATCAGAGTAACACTGGCCTCATAGAATAAATTGGGAAGTGTTCCCCATAGTGTTCTATTTTCTGAAAACGTTTGTGAAGAGTTGGTATTAATTTTTCACTAAATGTTTGGTAGAATTTGTCAATTAGCTCATGTGGCTATGGACTTCTCTTTGTGAAAGATTTTTAGTTAATTGTATCTATTTATTATATGCATATTTCTATATTCTATTTCTTCTTGGATTCACTTTGATAATTTGTGTCTATCAAGGTATTTATTTCTTATGTGTAGTATTTATATTTTTATATTTTCTAAGCAGTTGACATGCAAGATTCAGGAAGTTAAATGTAGGAGATTGAGGCTTTGGTTTAATTAATGAATGACTCAAATTTTCCTCTGTCAGAAGATGAAGAATATGATGATAACTGCCTGTACATAATAATCATATTATTGCATAATCAAATGAGTTATTAAATAGAAAGAAAATTAGTGAAGGATGCCATTTGGCTTCGGATAAATCAACACAGCCCACAGTTTTTCATCAATATTTAGATAAGAGAGAATAACAAATTTTAATAGGAACGAATATTCAACAACATAATAAATAATGAATGGTATGAACAATAATAATTTGATAAATCAAAGTACTAAGTAGTTATTTAGTCAATACAATGTGTTAGTTACTATTCTAAGTCACTTACACATATTCAAAAAAAATTTTTTTTAGAGACAGGGTCTTGTTCTGTCATGCAGGCTGGAGTGCAGTGGTGTAATCAGTGCTCACTGCCACCTCAACCTCCTGTGCTGAAGTGATTCTTAGCCCTTTGAGTAGCTGCAACTACAGGTGCACACCTCTACACCTAATTTTTTATTGTTTTATAGAGATGGTTGTCTCTTATGTTGCCCAGGCTTGTACATACAGATTTAATACCTGGTAGATTAAAATATATACCACAGTATTTATTGACAAGAAAACGATTGATATATTTACAATCTTATTAGGTGACATTAAAACCATCATAGAAATGAAATGTTTTGGTATATAACACATAAATGAGCATAAAGAAAAATAACTATTTAAAAGTGTGACTAATTAGGCACAGTAATAAATAAACAACATTCTTTACTAGTGAACATGAGACACACATTGCTTTTCAACTTATGAAAAAGTTATTTAAAATAGTAATGTTTTAGGCCAAAAAATGTCATTAACTTTATGAAAGCTCATATCTTCTATTCATGAAGGTCATATTTTCTAGACTTTGTGAAATGAAAGTAGCAACTGTGAATTAATGTGTGATTAATCAGTAATACCTAGCCACATACAAATTTTATTTCAGTTCCTTCTAATTTACTTCTGCGTTAAGTGATAAATCTAAATTGAGATTATTTTTACAATCAGGTACATGCTAAAAAGGAAGCCTGGTGATTGGAGCCAAGAAACTTCAGTTCAGGTAAATAATTCCATTCTATTAGCTTAAAGTGTTCCATGAAAACAGAAATTCTGACTATGTATAGGTACTATTAACTGCAATGATAGCTATCTTTTCAGAAATTTGCAAAAAAAAAAAAAAAAAAAAACAGAATAAAATGTTATATATTAAAAATAATCTTTCTGTTCAAATTATTACCTGCATATGGTATATCTGAGGGAGAGCAATGTTCCAAGTGAAGAACTTTACAATTTCTCATAAAATATTGTTATCCATTACAAAATATCTGTGTGAAATATTTCACACATTTGTACCCTGAGGAAAAAATAATATATATTGTAAAAACTTTAAGTAAGACCACTAAAACTCCTCAAGAAGTTACAAGAATATCTGAATTCTGAAAATAATTGAAAGGGAAATGTAAACACTTCCCAGTAGCAAAATTAAATACAGGAAACCATCCAAGGGAGTAACCAAACTAAGAAGTAGGTGCTCCCTTTACATACCGACTGACTAATCACAATGATGTCAAATCAATGTGGGGTTTGTCCAACTTCCAGGTGTGTAACTATAAAAACCAGAAATAAACTCACTACAGACACTCCAAATTTGGTATTTCCCAAAGGTGAGAATAAAATTATTTATTATGCAGCAAAACAGGATATAAGCTACCAGGATGAAGGATCAGAAGAGGGACTAGAAAACTCAACATTATTATTCACATTATTTTCTGCACTTTATCATTTCAAGGTTATTTAATTTTCAAAATATGTAAAAACAAATACTGTGATTTCTATTTTTATATAATCTGAATTAGGTCAAAACAAAAACTTTTTATTTTTCTAGACTTTACTTTTATATATGTATGACAACCATTTTTTTCTTGTTCAAATTAATTATTGTTGACTATCTTACAGGAAAAAAATTAAAAAGCACAACATGTCTACCCACCCAATGTGTTCCTCTTGCGGGCTGCTCTCAAACTTAAATTCCAGCAAAATTCAATTTTTGCTGGTTTCCTATGCTTTCTTCAGTGTCTTAAATATATAACAAAAAACTAAAATGTTTAATGAGCTGGAGTGGGAAAATATTGAAGCAAGGGCTGGGGCTGGCTCGGTGTGCGGAAATCCTGTGCAAGTGAGAGCTGGCCAGCGGTGTCTGTGGAGTCCAGATGAAATCTTTTCACAGTGGATCTTTCCAGACTTTCTGTTGGCTTTCACCCAAGTGAATCATAATGAAGGAGAAGTATTTTATGCCAAGTCAAAAGGATACCCAACCAGCATGGTTTAAATGGAACCTGTACCCTTGCAGATTTACCAGTGAAAAACTGGCCCAAGAAATGGGCATTCTGGAGGCTAGAATCCAGATTTGCTTTGAGAGATAATGTCAGATAAGACAGAAGTGATTTTGACCTCAGCTTTGGACTCATGAATGCCTCTCCCAAGAAGTCAGGAAAAAGTGGGCAGCAATTATTAGATACCAGACTAGTGTCCACATCCAAGCCTTTGAGAAAAATTGCTTTCCTAGCATCACCACCAAAGAGAAACTGGTAAAACAGACAGGCATTCCAGAGTCCAGAATTCAGATCTGGTGTCAGATCAAAGGATCAGTCGTGCAGGCTAGAGCAGAAGTGGGCCTGTAAATTCTCCAGCACTAGGCCTAAGTGAGAGGCTTCACCTGACTGTTCAGCTGCAGCAAGGCCACCTGTACATCTATCCAAGAAGAACCTATCTTCTTCCTGCCTTCAATCCATTCACCAGCAAAGGGTCAGTTGTACCAGTTCTTCCTCTACCATACACATCTTATGGTCCCTGGGATCCCTCTGTGGGCTGCCCAAGTCAGGCATCAAGGGTGGCAATGCACCAGCTCATCCAGGCCCTGCATACAAAAGAGATCTCCAAACCTCCGTGGCACTCAGGGGCCATGTGTCAACAGGACCAACTCTAGGAGGCACACTCTCACATCATCAGGATCTTAACCTCTGTACCAAAGAATGTGCCAGGAGGACAAGGACCATGAGCATGCTGGCCTGGCAGGTGTGTCCTTAAAGAGGAAGCCTCAGCTTCAATGAGAATCCAAAGTAGGAGCACCACAGCTGACTGGACACCCCAAGTCTCTCCTGTGTTGGGAGCAGACACAAGCCACAAAGAAGTTTCTCTTTCTGCTTGAGCAGCAGCACCAGCCATCTGCACAGACCTTCAGCCTTTTCGATTATCTCCTGTAGATTCAGGAGTTTCACCAAAAGGCACAATCTTTTCCGAATCTGGATCCACAGAAAGAGCAAGACTGCAATGCTGAAACAACCCATTAGTCAGGAAGAATTTCCCAGAGCTCACCAGGAAATCAGCTTAGCAGGAGGCAGACCTCTTTCCCACAGTAAGCATTTGGACACACATTTACGGGCATGTCTACCCGTCAAGCTTATATTATGATGAATGAGTTAGAGGTCAAGTTATGGGAGAAAAAATGGAAATAGATCTCTTTCTTTGAACACTGCTAAAAGAAACACACAGGTAATAGACGTGTCTGGTGGATCGGGGCTTGTCCCCAAAAAGCCGGAAAGGCTGAGCGAGTGATTGAAGGCAGGGTGAGACTGGACACCCATGGAGAGGTCACAGGATCCAGGCCATGCCCACCGAGGATGACATAGCCCTTCTGAAGGCCCAAGGGAGATGGCTCAGGATGCCAAAGACTCAAGCAGCCAATCTGATCTGTGCACAAACTGCTGAATCTCAGCGTCATTTGCAAGGAAGGCCTGGCCAGCTGCAGGAATCAAAGACACTAGAGGCAGGCAGCCAGCAGGGGGGTCAGGAGGGCTGTCTACTCCGGATACAGGAGTCCACTGGCAGGCAGGCTACAGGCTTCTCAGGTGCTGGCCCTAGAGCTATCAGTCTCTCGGTCGTTCAGGGCAAGGGGTATGATCTCTGTAGACATCCATGTAACAGAGGCTCAACTCCTTCATCCTCAGAAGCAAAGGCTAGTGGAGACCAAATAGGGCTTGAAAGGTAAATCCCCTAAAAAGGCAGAATGTCCTGGGCTTTGGCCTCTCCCCTTCAAGCACAACCGGATCATCACCTCTTTTCAGACTTCTCACTATGCTGAGAACCGGAACAAGACTCCTAACTCCCCCTCCTCACCTCTGCACTCCTGCACTCTTACCGGGCAGACCAGAAACCAGGAGACCTGAACTCTGGCCAAGCTCGGGGAGAAGAGAATCCAAAGAGGGCGGGAGCGGTGAGGGCTGAGCTCCTACGGGTGCCCCGGCCCAAGGCTTCAGGTCCAGACTGCGGTCCAAGTGGCACTCGGTGCAGGTTCTGCGATGTCGCTGGAAGGCCTGGAACAGCCTCTGCAGCTAGCTGCCGCTTCTTCCTTTTCTTAAGCGCCAAAAACGTGAACACTTCCCCCAAGGTTTTCAGATACGCCCAGGCGCCCCCAGCTGGAGGTGGGGATAATGGCATTCTACAACATGGTTTATCACCTCGCCCGCCAGGGCAGCAACCAGCCCCCGCCTCGCCAACCCAGCTGCCCCAGGCTGGAGGCGATCCTGTCGAGCCTCCTCCCTGCAGCTCCACTCCTCCTCCTTATCTTCTTCCTCAACCACTGGCATAGTTTTGGTCATCCTCCTTGTCGTCACAATGGGGCGCCTGACACCATGGAGACCCGGGAACCCCACTGATCTTGGGTCCTGCAGGGGTCAGGCGACCGTGCAGGAAGACCAGAAGGAAAGTAATCTGCCGCATCCAGAATGAACAGAACAAAACCCCCGCACTCCAGGAAGAAGTCAGGAGCCCAGTGGGGGCTGCAGGTCCAGCCCACAACAACCTAGACATGTGGGGTGCTCCATGGCTCACGCTTATGTCCTGCAGGCTGAAGCCCGCGCCAGGGTCCGCAGTCTTTGTTCCGGACGCAGAACCAGTGCTTCAGCTGGTTACCGAGGCGTCCCCGAAGGGGAAAGGGTGGACACGGTGAGAATCTACAGCACAGCAGATCACTTCGTCCTGGCAGCGACCAGCCCTGCCCGAGCGGCACCAGCAGCCTCCATGTTAGAGGCAGTACCATCAGACTTCCCCCCTACAGCATCTCTCCTGCTTTTTTTTTCCCTCACGGCTCTAATCTCCTGCTTTTGTTCATCCTCCTTGTCACAGTGGGGCACCTGGCACTATAGAGACTCAGAAAATCCGCAGATGTGGGGGGTCCTGCAGCATCCAGGCAGACATGCCGGCAGTCAGAGAGGAAAGTCCTCTGAAGCCTCTAGAAGGAATGGAACAGGACCCAGCACTGCAGGAAGAAGTGGGGCACCCAGTGGCGGATGCAGGCCCCACACACCGCCGCGGTAAACGTATAAGGCTTTCCCTGGCCCTTGCCTGTTTCCTAGAAGCTGAAGCCGCGCGGAGGCCCAGGTTCGCCCTTCCACACACGGAATAAGCTGTTGGACTGGCTGCCTCACCTAGGACCCGAGTTGCGCCAGAGAAAATCGCGGATGCTGCTTTCCCGCGGGCTGCAGTGTCTGTCACTTTAGCGACCGCAATAACACTTCTCCCACAGGGACTCCGCGGTGCCCAGCTCTCCAGCCTGGGGATTCTCATCACACAGTGATTCCAAAAGAAATGATCTACAATGGCATGACCAAGCGCCACAAACAGACAAACATCTGAGGGATGTCCATTGGTCACTTTGATTTTTCAAAGGTGACAATTGTCCCTCCTTGAAATCTTAAGAGAGCATGAACAGGCTATTCTAATGGATGTGCAATTTACACTAAAACTGATTGAAAGGTGAATTCTGATTCCAAGGTACTTTGTATTCTCAAATTGTGTCTGCTTCCCCTGACCCCCTCAAAATGGGAGTGATGACTACTTGTCTTCTTAGCACTGTGGGGACACAAAGCCTTAGATGGAAGTGTGTCAAAAACAACATTCCATAAAAGGCCATCACTTCCAATTTTCAAGAAAGGTTGGAAACCAACCATGATGTATGAAGCACTGTCAGCCAAATTGAGCAATTAGTAATACAAAATGAATGGTATAAACTATTCTACATGTGTGTGGCCATGATGGCAATTTACACATCGAAAAAACATGGCCAAATTCAGGAAGAGGAATCTGTAAACTCACGGCTGTTGGGAAGCTTAATGTCTGTGTACCGGAACCTATCAAAGTTACTTCTCCATGCCAGTCTGTCCAAACAAACCTTGAGTTGTTTATTTCTATGGAATTCCTGTAGAATCCTAATGAGCATGACCTTCTGGACCCATCTTCACAGCTCTGGTGCCAGTGGATTTGCACTTGCTCGTGTTTCTCCCTATTTTGTTAAGGGTGGAAATATTTAGTGACATGGTGGGTTGGAAAGGTACTGAAATAATGGCTGGGGCCTCCTGGGTGGGTGAGTCAGGGCTCCGGCAGCCTAAGACTTTTTACAATAAGTAAGTTATAGGTAAAGTTAGAAAAAATAAAAAGAAAATGGAAATCATTCTTTCTTTGCCCACCATAAAGAGAAACACACAGGGTCTAGACATGCCTGTTGGAGCCAGCTTGTCTTGGGAAAGTGGGAAGCACTGAGCAGGAGCACTGGGGATGGAGGGCAGTTGAGATGGGGCTCCCAGGGAGATGCAGCCACGGTCAGGGCCTGGCCCACTCAGGCTGGCAAAGACCTTCTGAAGGCCAGAAAAGACGGCCCAGAACACTGAAGGCTCAAGCGGCTCATCTGAGCCAAAGATCTGTCCAGTTGGCCCTGAATCTCAGCAGCCTTGCTGACGGTGGGGCAGGGGGTCCCTGATCAGCCCTGAGGATCTTAGTCACTGGAGGAAGGCGGCTGCCTGTGGATAGGGCAGAAGAGCTGCCTACTGCGAATGTGGGAGTCCACTGCCCGGCAGATGGAGAGAGCCTCTGCGGGTGTGGACCCTAGTGCTGTCAGTCTGTGGGTCTGTCAAGGTGGGCATGCGGACTTCTGTGGCCACGCCTATCTACCAGAGCCTTATCTCCTCAGTCTGCTCAAGTGTAGGACAGTGGAGACAGGGTAGAATTTGAATGGGAGGCCCCCTAAAAAGACAGTGTCATGAACTTTGGCCTCTCCTCTCCTCTCTGAGCAGAACAAAATGAACACCTCTGTCCTGTCTCCTCGCAGTGCCCAACAAAGGAGCAGGGCTCTTGGCGATCACATCCCTCTGATCTGCCTCCCCAACCTTGCACACTTCTCAAGCGGGACATAGAACAGGCCGTTACAATCTTGCCACAACCAGACAAGGAGCGAGGCAGGAGAGGGCAAGGGCGGTGGAGGCATGGGCTGTACTTCCACTGGTGCCCCAGACCCAGGCTGCATTCACAGGCTGCAGTCTAAGGGGTACTCGGCGTGGCTCCCTGCTCCCCTCAGCGGCCTGGATCAGCTGCTGTGGCTGATCATTTCCGAAGGTTTGCATTTATCATTTCCGAAGGCTTTCACAGAATCCCTGGTGACCTCTGGCAGGGGGTGGTTATCTGGTGACCAGCAGCAGGGCCCGTGGCCTTGCCCCCAAGCTGCAGCCAGCAATCCCCGTGCCCACCCAGGCACTAAGCATTTGCGGTGGGCCTCTTTCTGGAAGCTCCCCTTCTCCTGGTAGCCCTCTGTTTTCCTCACCCCGGTACTTCTGGCCATCCCTCTTGTCATCACAATGGGACAACTGGGTGCTGGAGACTTGGAAATCACCATGCAGACCTGCAGTCCATCCCAGGCCCTGCCAACAGGGCAGCGAATCAGGGAGAAATGTTGTCTTCTGCCTCCTGGAAGACCAGAACAGATCCGCGCACCTTTAAGTTGTGCCCCAGTGTAGGCTATAGGCACAGCTCACGATAAGACCGGAAGGTGAGAGCTCCCTGGTCCGCCCTTTTTTTCCTGGAGGCTGGGGCTTGCCTGGCCAAGGTCGCCCTTCATGAGAGGGAATCAGAACTTTGTGTGGATGCCTAACCCCGCCGGGTCAGCGCTGGAGAGAATCACTGCTGAGGCTTTCCTGCCGGCTGCAGTGACTGCCCCTTTAGGGTCCCTGCAAAAACACCACCCCTGCAAGGAATCCACCGTGTCCTGCTTGCCAGCCTAGGTTTACTGATCATCTGGTGATTCCAGAGAAAACAATCTACAGTGGAATGACCAAGTTCTAGAAAGAGGAAAACACAAACAATCTGTGGAAAGTCCGTTTGTCGTCTAGATTTTTAAAAGATACACATTTTCCCTTCTTGTTATATTGAGTAGTGCATGAAGCCGATATAATAGATGTACAATCACACTATAGCTGATTGAAGGGTGAATTCTTATTCTAAGGTACTTTGTGGTCCCAAATTTGTCTGTGCCCACCCCCAGAATTCCCTTAAAAGCAAATATTTATCATTGAGAGTGGATGAAGAAAGAAACTAGGTAGGCAGATAGAGCAAAGAGTCCTCGGCAGAACTCCCCTTCTAACGAAAACCAGCCCAAGACACCACTTCTCTTTAAGAAAGAACAGCTCTGTAAGATCAGGCTGCAATCATAGATAAGGAGGCTTGAAAGCTTTCATGGACAGGGATGCCTGCAGCTGCACTGCCCATCTTGGGCCAGACACATGCAACATGAGGGGCTCCTCCCCTCTTCATTGGACATGTAGAGTGGGAAAGAGATGAGCAACTTGTAATAGCTCAGGCCAAGAACCCGCCTGCATAATAAAAGGGTGGGATGTGGGCTGTCAGAAATTTGTGCTCTATGCAGATGACACACCTGGTCCTAACAGGTTTTTCACACCCTATGTGGATAAGATACTCCTTCCCACTAGCTCATATATAAAAACCCTTGCATTTCACTGCAGAATGGCAACTCTTTTTCAGGATCCCTCTCTGCAGCAGAGAGCTATTCTCTTTCACCTATTAAACTTCTGATCTAACCTCACCCTTGGCATGTCTGCATTCTTGATTTCCTCAGTTGTGAGACCAAGAAGTTCAAGTGTCACCCCAGACAATGAGGCTGCTGAATTATCACTCGTCTCATTGCCTGTTGGTATATGGAAACTTCAATGAAAATGTGTCCAAAAGGACATTTCATAAAGTGCTCTCTTTTCCAATCCTCAAGCAATATGGGAAACTATCCATGATGTATTAAAAACTTTTGGCTGAAATGCACAATTTCTAACACAAAATGAATGCTATTAATTATTTGATGTATGTGTATTATGGCCATTTGGACATCACCACACACTGCCAAATTTAGTAAGAGGGACTTGTGAACTCGTGACTGTTAGGAAGCTTAACTTTTGCATACTGTCACCTATGAAAGTTAGTTCTATCTGCATTTCTCCAAAGCAACCTTGAAATGTCTATCCTGTATAAAATTTCTGTATAATCCCAGGGAGGTTCACCCTTCTGGCCCTGCCCTCACAGCACTGGTATCAATGGAATTGCATTTGCTCATGCTTCCCCCAATTTCCTTGAGGTCATAAACATTTAGTAACAGGGTGAAACAAGAAGGTACTAAAACAAGGGCTGAGGGCTTCTGGGTGGGTGTGTAGAGATCTCCTGCAGCCTGGACCTCTTCACAATAAATAGGTTGTAGGTCAAGTTAGAAAAAGATGGAAATTATTCTCTTTCTTTGAACACCACATAGATGAATGCACAGAATCTCATGTGTCTGTGAAGCCAGGCTTGTTCTGGGAAAGTGAAAAGGGCTGAGCAGGAGCCCTGGCAATGGAGGGTGGGTGAGAGGTGGTCCCCAAGGAGAGACCACTAGGGTCAGTACTTGGCACACTGAGGCTGGCAGGCGCCTTCTGAAGGCCAAGGGAGATGGCCCAGGACACAAGGCTGAAGCAACCCATTTGAGCCAAGATCTGTTTAAGTCCTCCTGAATCTCAGTAGCCTAGCCAAGGTGGGCATGATCATCCCTGGGTATCAGAGACACTGGAGGTTGGCAGCTGGTGGGTGGGGTGGGACAACTGTCTACCACACTGGCATGATTTCACTGGCAGGCCAACTGCAGGGAGTGGATAAAGAGAGAGTTCTGTTTGGAAAACTCCCTTGGTGGATCATGAAGGAGGTGAAGTATTTTGCATGACCTCAAACCCAGCTTGTGGGATAGCAATTCCAGTGAAGCTGGGACAAGCTGGTACTGCTCAACAAGGCCTCCCTAGACAACACGTCCCTTTTTCACCACAGCTGGGCCTGGATTGGGATGCGGACACCCATAGAATCCAGAGGATTGGACCCTGGTCAGTGGTGGTGCTGGTGTGTAGCATAAAGGCAGCTCCGGCACGCCCTCCAGGTTCGAGGAGGAGCCAGCCTCTCCTATGGGGCCCTGGGCAAGTCATGCCCTCTTTGGTCCTCTGTTTCCTCATCTGGGAAATGCAGGAAGCCTGTTGTGCAGGCCTCACAGGGTCATGATAAGGTGCAAAGGAGGAAGGAAATTTGAGAGTTTTTGTGGCTACCTCTTCCTGAAAGAGGTCAGAACAATGGTGATAGCCACATGTGACTGAATCCTTGGGAGAACCTGTGAGGAAGGTGTTGTTCCCATCACACTTCCCAGATGAGGAAATAGTCTTAGGGAGGCCTGGCTGTATGTCCAAAGTTACGAACACATTGAATGTTGGAGCTGGGAGTAAATCTAGAATCAGGGCTCACTGGAGGTGGTGGGAGCATTGCACCAGCTGACTCAGGTGGTTATTTAAGATCTGAGGTCAGGAGAACAGAGGTATAACTGTGAGGGAAGCACAGTCTTACTGCCCCTGTTTCTGACTCTGCTAACTGGAGACGTTTTTAGAGAGTCCAGATGGGGTTGCAGCAGCAGGTGAGTTGGCCTGTGGCAGGGAGGGGCTCCAGGGAGTCAAGGACAAGGCTCCTCCCCCCAAGCTGGAGTTCTCCACATCAAGAGAGGAGAGTGTCTTCCTCTTCCGGCCCTGCCCACCTGTGCCCACAGTGCTTGGAATGCCTTCATTAGAGAGACCAGAGGCAGAGACTGGGAGAGCTTGGCTCAGAGTGAATTTGGGGAAGAGTGCAGCTAGGGATGACCTGACTTTGTGACTTATTAAAATCCCACCACAGAAGTAACTAGGAGGTTCTTGGTGTCTTTGGAGGCCAGCTGTGGAAAGAGGAGAGAAAGATTTCGGGCAAGGAGGCTGAGGGTCCTTGGTGGCTCTAAGTGGGAAACTTGGGTAGGAGGGTCAAGGAGATGTGGGTTCGTGAGAGTTCAAAGCACAGGCCTTGTGCGGGACGCTGAGAATTGGTAGTCATCATTGCTACCACCTTGATGGCACAAGGAGCTGTGCCCTTTCTGGGCACACTTCTCACTGACATGCAGATGCTGGAAGTTCGCAGAGAGGATTATATGAATGTGCGTGAGACTGGGAGAAGCAGGCAGGGTGGGGACCAGGATCCTGAAACTTGTAAGGACAGAGTCCTGGACTGAGCCCTGAGATTGCAGCACTTGACAAACCTTCTTTCCTGAGAGCCTACCAGGTGCCCCTGTGAATGGGGTGTCAGGTCCATCTTATCTATAAGTGATGGAGGCTCCAGCAAAGACACCACCCTGTTCCTTGAGTAGTGAAGCTGCAGAACTGAGGCTCAGCCTCTGCCTTAGGTGGTGCCCATTGGAGAAGAGAGAAATTGGGCCCCTCCTAAGACAGGCAGTTCCTACATGGTTGAGTACCTTCTTTGTTTCCAAATCCTCAGTTTTTCTGTCTATCATCACAGAGAATCAGGGCAAAAGTTCACTGAGCCTCAGTGTCCCTTCTGTAGAACCCAGAACTTGGTGAAGGTCCAAGTCCTGTTTTATGCTCATGCCGTGACCCTGGTGGCCCTGGTGGTGGTGCAGCATAGGAAGTACATGGGATGAGGGCTAGTCATGGGCCAGGGAACCTTTCTGAGGGATCTTGGCTGTCCACCTTCTAGGAAAATATAATCCACACTAAGTAAAGGAGTGAGATGAGCCTCTGGGGCCCTCACTGTGAGGGAGGGTGGGGATGTGAAAGTCAGAGACCACCCTAGGGAGAACACTACCTGGCTCCATCCTCTGCATCTTGGATTTGTTGGGAAGGTTTGTTTTATAGAGAAGGAGGAGACCCATTGCAGTGGAGGGTTTGATTAGGGAACTAGAATCAATTATAAGTTCTTATAGGAGGGACTGTTTATATCCAACTCTGAGAACCGGTTGGCACTACATGGGATTGGAGGGGATGATGGAACCCCTTAAGGGATAAGCCCCAGAGACTGGCTTCTGCCTCCTCCCTCCCCCACAATTTCCCTTTATCATCTTCCACCCAGGACCTGTCAGAATCCTGTCCTTCTGTCTGTCTCTAGATCAAAATCCTCCAAGAAATGCAGCTGCTTCAGTGACAAGAGATAATTGTCATCTTCCAACTGAAGAAGAATTTGGGGTTTGGTTCCAGTTCATGAAGTGTGACACAGTCAGAATAAAAGGTGAGAGCGTAGCAGATTAGCAGAGGGTAGGAGAAGACTCCATCTTGCGGCCAGCTTCAGAAAGCCTGTGGCTATGGCTCCCTGGTCAACATTTGGCCCTGTTGCATGGGGACCCCTGGGCAGGCAGTGGGAAGCCTGAGGTGTGGCTCCTGGTAGCCTCACAGCTGCCACTATTTCCTGAAACTCCTACTTGTTCTGTCAGCTGAGCCCCCATCCCAGGAGGCCAGCAACACCCCAAAGACCAAGAACAGGCCATGGTGAATCTCACTGGCACTGAGTGCCTGGGCTGGCAGGGGCAGAGTGCCTCAGGGCTCAGTGATATTTGGGCTGAGCATGGGCTTTGGGAGTCAGACAGCTGCACTGGGCTCCCAGCTGCACCGTGACCAGCCTTGTGTCTGGGGCAGGGGCCTCACTGCTCCGGAATTTGAGACACCATAGTCATAAATTGAACACAGCCTTCTAACTGCTTTTTCTTTTTTATCTATCTTTCTCTATATGCTACTGATCTCTGTGTTTATTTAAATTAAAAAACAAGTTTTTTAAATTAATAAATATGTTATACAATGTGTATTATTCTTCCTCATGATATTTTTTACTACATTGTATGATTCCACACATATGAGGTACTTATGGTAGTTCCATTAACAGGAACACAAAGTGGAAGAGTAGCTTCCAGGGGCCAAAGGGAAGGTAAAGGGGGGCTGTTGTTTAACAGGAACAGAGTTTCAGTTTTGCAAAATGAATAAAATTCCCTATGAATGTGGATGATGGTTGCAGAACAATGTCAGTGTGATTATTTCCTCTGAGCTGCACGTTAAAAAATTGTTAAAATAATTAATTTTATGTATATTTTACCACAATGTAAAAAAAGACTTTTAAAAATGAACAGACTATAGAAATCTGCAACAGTGTAAATAAATATCACAAACATAATCTTGCAATAAAAAAATTGATGTAAACGTATCTATATTATATAATTTCATTCATATTAAATCCAAAAATCAAAACTGAGGTTCTGGCTTCCACTAATGGTGAAGTAGCTAGCTGAACTAACACTCTCATAGAGAAAAATAGTGAACCCTGGATAAAATAGTATATATTGTGGGGAAAAGAAAGAGAGATCAGATTGTTACTGTGTCTATGTAGAAAAGGAAGACATAAGAAACTCCATTTTGATCTGTACTAAGAAAAATTATTCTGGTTTGAGATGCTGTTAATCTGTAACTTTAGCCCCAACCCTGTGCCCACAGAAACATATGCTGTATTGAATCAAGGTTTAAGGGATTTAGGGCTGTGCAGGATGTGCCTTGTTAACAGTATGTTTGCAGGCAGTATGCTTGGTAAAAGTCATCACCATTCTCCATTCTCGAGTAACCAGGGGCACAATGCACTCTGGAAAGCAGCAGGGTCCTCTGCCCAAGAAGGGTATTGTCCATGGTTTCCCCCAACTAAGACAGCCTGAGGTATGGCCTCGTGGGAAAGGAAAAACCTTACCATCCCTTAGCTCAACACCTGTAAAAGGTCTGTGCTAAGGAGGAGTAGTGAAAGAGGGAGGCCTCTTTGCAGTTGAGATAAGAGGGAGGCTTCTGTCTCCTGCTCGTCCTTGGGAATGGAATGTCTCTGTGTAAAGCTGACCATTCCCATTCATTCTATTCTGAGATAGGAGAAAACTGCCCTGTGGCTGGAGGTGAGATAGGCTGGCAGCAATACTGTTCTGTTACTCTTTGCTACACTGAGATGTTTGTGTAAAGTGAAACACAAATCTAGCCTACGTGCACATCAGGGCACAATACCTTTCCTTGAACTTTTTCATGATGCATATTCCTTTGCTCACATGTTTTCCTGCTGACCTTCTCCCCACCATCACCCTGTTCTCCTGCTGCACTCCCCTTGCAAAGATAGTAAAAATAGTAATCAGTAAATACTGAGGGAACTCAGAGACCACAGAGACCAGAGCCAGTGCGGGTCCTTGCACATTGAGCGCAGGTCCCCTGGACCCACTGTTCTTTCTCTATACTTTGTCTTTGTGTCTTATTTCTTTTCCCAGTCTCTCGTCTCCACCTGATGAGAAATACCCACAGGTGTGGAGGGGCAGGCCCCCTTTACAAAAAACTCCATTTTGATCTTTCTTTTCCCCACATATATCATTTTAGAGACACTTCTATTTTGCATACATATATGAGTATATGTATATAAGAACTGAATGAGGATTTCATCTGTGCTCTCCATAGGAAAAATAACTATTGAAGCTAGAATCCAGCCCAATTAACACCCTCTTTAAAATACAACACTCTTCCAAGGGACACAACAGAAACCAGAGTCTCTATAACTCTTGTACGCAGTCTGTGTGCACAATTTTTAAATCCATGAGATGTGTGAAGACACATGAGAACGTAATACTTACACAAGATAAAAAGCAGGCAGTAGACATCTCCAGGAAGTAACTAGCAGACAAGAATTTGAAGGCAGGTATTATAACTATGCTCATGGGGGCAAAGGAAAATATTCTCATAAATAAACAGATGTGGAACCTCAGCAGAGAAATGAAAAGTAGCCAAATATAAAAATATAAAATAAAAACAATAATTTTGAGCTTATCTATAGATCAGAAACAGAAGACAAAGCAATAGAAATTATCTGATGTGAAGATGGAAGTTAAAAAGAAGAAAAAGCTTAAAGAAAATGGACAGAGCATTACAGACCTGTGGAATGATTGAGTCTGACAAAAGGGAAGAGACAGAAAAAATTAAATGGGTACAAAAGTAAATCAACAAAATTTACAGAAAATAAACAGAGCCTTAGAGACCTGTGGAATGATTGAGTCTGAGGAGAGAAGAGAGACAGAAGAATTAGATGGTGTACACAAGTAAATCAACAAGGAATACCTGAAGACTTCGAAAAATTGTTCAAAAACCCAAATTTTTATATCCAAAGGTCCACCTCCTGCCCCCTGCAAAAATACAAATAAAACGATGCCCAGGCCATGTTGTGATTTAGGAAACTAGCAGGGCAGGACTTTCAATTTACTTGATATGATTTATCATTTTTGTTATTTATAAGAATGGAAATAGGTTCTCCTTAGAGTATTTTTCTTGGAGAAAGTCTGCCATGTGAGGCACAGGTGACAGTTATTAAAGGTGGATGACTTTTCCAGCCTTGTCTTAAATGTTCCATATTTTACTTTAGAAATTATTTATATTTGTTTCTTCCAAAGCCTGCAGTAATATTGATGCTCCAGAAAGATGCCCCACGGAGATTCTGCTCGTGTTTCTGCCCTGCAGGGAGCTGAGGCTGTGCCTATGACAGTTTCAACAGCGTGTAGTCTTGGAGTACTTAATCTGAAAAACTTAATGGAAACATGAATTAAGAGAATGATCACTGTTTAGTTATATCAGCAAACTATTAAAAGTGGTCCAATGGGGCTGTTTTTAAAAAGAAATATTAAAAGATTTTCCAAGGGAGCCCTATTCAGGGCAGAAACGCAGACACTGTCCCTGACCTCACCACACAAATTTCCCTCATGTGTTGGGAGCGACCAAGGGGCGCTCTGGCCCTGCTGACCTACGTTAATCACGGCCCGGAGGTTCACACTAGGATCCCGAGGCCTGGGAAGCAGCCTGGGTCGGGTCAGAGGAGTGGTGGAGGTAGCTCCCCAAGCCCCTTCCTGTGGCTGTTTTCTGACTGAATGTAACAGGGTCAGGTCTTTCCCCTGGGACGTTTTCTCCTCTTTATTGCAGTGGCGGAAGCGTCCCCGTGAGAGGCCCGACCCAGGTGTGGGCCCTGCCACCGGCCAGGGGTCCAAGGGGCGCTCCTGGGGTGAAGGAGGATTTGTGACAACCCAGAGCACAGCGGAAATGGTGGTTTTGAAAAAGCAAACGGCAGGTGACTAGTGACAGGAAGTTTTCATTTCTGGCAGTGAACTGATGGCTTCAGATACTCGCGAGGGAGCTTTTCGAGGGGATCCCAAGAAGCCTGGGAACTGGCGGGTCCGCGGCCATTTGCCAACCTCTCGGGAGGGGTGCACTGCGCATGTGTGAAATGATAGGCCTGGTAGCCCATTCCTAGCGACGCGCTGCCACTGCGCATGTCTGAATGGGCAGTCCCATTACCCTACCCCTAGGGACGGGTGCACTGCGCATGTCTGAAAGGGCAAGCCCGTTACCCCACCCCTAGGGACGGGCTGCACAACGCATGTCTGAAAGAACAGGCTCTTGACCCTACCCCAACGGACGGGGGCATTGCGCATGTATGAAAGGGCGGGACCGCCCCATAGGGACCCCACCCATAGGGACGGGCTGCATTGCGCATGTCTGCAAGGGCGTGGCAAGGGGAGGAATGAGCGGGAAGGGGCGGGGCTGAGTGGACTGGCGGGACGAGAAAAGGGGCGGGGCGTGCCCAATCCGGCCGAGGAGCGTTACCATGGCAACCGTGCCGCGGAGGCCTTGAGAGGCCACACGCCCTATGTTGGTCTGCGAGAAATCAAACTTCGAACAGGACAAGCCCGAAGCCCGCTTCTCCGGGAGACGGGGTGCCACAATTGCAAGGTAAAACTAGCAGACATAGTTGCACTGTCTCCCCAGGCGGGAGAGATTTGGGAACAGCAAGGCTTCCCTCCCCATGGCCAAAGGGCTCGGCTGCATGGAAGGGCTGGGCAGGGAGCAGAATAGTCTTAAGGCATTGCATTAGTTACAGTGTCTGGTCCGCTCCTCGCAGATTGGTTGCAGGGCAGAGGGTCTGCAATGTCGGCCTGCTCCGGGCTGGGGGAGCGCGTAGCTCTGGGGAGGGGCAGGGCGGTGCCCGCCTCGCGGGACATGCTAGGAGTTGCAGTTTCTTCACTGGTTCCCAACGGTGGATGGCGGAGCTGCAGGATGACAACACAGATTGAGACAGGAGAGGACGCGGGGGCGCATCCCTAGAGGGAGGGGCAGGGTGGTGTAAGCGGCTTCACTTGCAAAGCTTTGCTGGCCATTGATTCCATGCCAAACCGTCGCCAAGGGGACTGAGTCAGGAGAGGAACTTGAGGGGCAGGTCTGGGTTGGGCAGTGAGGAGGGTGTGTTGCTGTGAAGTGCACCCCGCATTTGCCCAAATCAGGAGTGTCTGGTCCTCACTCACCCGCCTTCCGTCTACTCAGCTCGACTTTCTATCCTACCGGCACCCAGGGTCTTTCCACAGCATCGCGCCTCCTCCAGCCCCTGGAGCCGCCAGCTTTCTTAAGTGGCTATGGGAACTAGCCTGAGGTCCCAGACGCTGTCCACTGTGCTGCTGCCCTCCGCTATCTCCAAGCAGAGCGCAGGTTCAGCTGCCTTTGAAAGACACCTACCGCCTGGCCTGGGGATGCACAAGTTCAGAGCTTTGCAGGGAGAGACCATGGGCTGGGGCTTCGCCCAATTGTCACCCTCACCAGTGCCTTTTTTGCAGATGTGGACGTGGAGGCATGAGGGAGGGTAATTATTTGGTTACCAAGGTGCTGCTAAGAGCAGAGGAGAAAACCCCAATTCCCAGTCATGTGTCTGGTGTGACATTTCACCAACCCATTTAAGTGAGCAGGCCCCCAAATACCTACCTAAAATTTTTGATGGTTTAGGCATTTTACACTTAAAATCACTGGCCTCATGTCGACTGAAGCCTAACTGGCCACTGTCTCAAACACACAGATGATGACCTGATCCCTCAGGAATAGATTTGTGGGAGTAACTTTCAACGTATGGAGCACTTGTGTGGGGGAGTCTTTCATACCTGTCAGGTTTCACATCTCTGCTTTGCGTGAAAAGCTCATCATCCACAGCAGTCAGGGATGTGCCTTTACTTGCTGGGGCTGATCTGTTGAAATTTATGTCTAAACAGTGGAAACACCCAGGAGCATTTCTGCTTTCATGTAGCCCCTTAATAATTGACGCCCTAAAGTCCTGTGTCTTCAGGGACAGTTCCTTTGATTCCTGCATGGTACCAGCTTTCATGCTGTTAAATCTAATCTGTAAAAAATCTGAGTGTTAATCTCCATGAAAATAAGATCTTGTTCTTTCTCATTTAAATGCCCTTCCTTTTTTTCTCTTTTCTAATGTTCTGAGTAGGATTTCCAGTACTGTGTTGAAAGAAGTAGTGAGAGTGGGCATCTTTATCTTAAAATAAATCTTAGAAAAAAAGATTCCAACATTTCACCATTTTCTATAGTGTTAGCTATGGGCTTGTCCTATAGTTAATAAAGAATGTATTTCTTTATCATGAGGTATATTCTTTCTGTATACCTAATTCCTTATACATTTTATTAGAAATGGATTTTAAATTTTGTCAAAATAATTTTAGGCATGCATAAAAATGTCATGATTTTTAATCTTTTTATTGTATAAATAAAGTGTATGGCATTTATTAATTTCCACATACTAAAATATTCTTACATCCCAGGAATAAATCCAACTTGATCATAATACATGATGCTTTTAAAGTGCTTTTGAATTTCATTTGCGTCTTTGTGGATGATTTTGCATCTATGTTCATTGGGGATATTGGCCTTTAATTTTTTTTCTTTTAATGTCCGTCTCTGGCTTTGGTATCAGGGTAATGCTGGCTTCATAAAATGGGTTTGGCAGTATTCCTTTTTCTTCAATTTTTTCAAAGATTTGATTCTTTTTAAATGTTTGGTAAAATTCAGCAGCAATCAGATCTAAACTTCTTACTCATTACTGATCTATTCATACTTTCTATTTTTTATGGTTCAGTCTTGGTAGGTTGTACATGTCTAGAAATTTATTCATGTCTTCTACTTTATCCAATTTGTTGGGATATAATTGTACATAGGAGTGTATGTACATAGTAGTCTTATAACCTTTTGTATTTCTGTTTTACCAGTTGTATTGTCTTCCCTTTTATTCTGATTTTATTTATTTGAGCATTTTTTTCTTAGTCTAGCTAAATATATGTCAGTTTTGTGATTCCAAAAATCTCTTACTTTTTTTCTACATTTTCTGTTGTTTTTCTAGTCTCCATTATATTTATTTCTGCTCTAATTTTTTTATTATTAATTTCATCACCTGGTAACTTTGGGATAATTTCTTTCTCTTCTAGTTTCTTGAGTTATATCATTATTTGTTTTTTTTGTGATCTGTCTTCTCTTCAGATGAAGGTGTATACTGCCACTCAATCTCACTGGGATTGGCACCCATATGCACTATGGTCATTTTGCTTGAGTCCATCAAACTTCTGATCCTAAGATTGCACCTTTGGCATACTGGTAAGCAGCAGTGCTAAAAGCCCACACGATGAGTAGGGGTTTTACAGTGAGAGAATTACCCACATGTTTTGGGAGGGACTAATATCAAATGCTCTTTTTCCTTTTTATTACTCATCAGTGCCTAAACCATAAGTCACAAGGAAGGTGCACCTCATCATGAGAATGCATGTGACAGCAGCAAAGGAAGCAGCAGCTCAGAAAAGACAAGGCCACTGTTCTTGCTTGCGTGACAGTAGCACTTGTTAGGGCAACTGAGTGACATGCATAATTCTCTCCAAAGTAAAAGTCCCTTTTGTTTCTGCAGTTTTACAAAAGACCATCCCTGGGCCTACCCTGAGAGTGTGGAATAATAAATAATGTTCAGATGACTACCCACACATTTAGTAATGATAACCATATCAGATAAAGTGACCACAGGTTTATAGCCAGACTCTTTGTAATCAGGACTGAACTGCAGACTGATTAAGGTGCTGTGTTTTCACTGCCTTGGCAGGCAAGTGTCTTGCAAACTGCCTGCCAAACACAGGCTAAACATGATGACCCATCATGCTGGAGCACAGTCAATTGACCATTTATGTCTAGGTGATGAGTGTGCTTAAGTGTGGGTAGGGAAGGCAACTCATGATAAAGGCCACAAACTTCTATTTAGACCAAAGCAAAAGCCCAACAGCAACTGGTGGTTCTGACTGAGGTGACTTTTAATGTATCGTGAAACCAGTAGGCCAAAAGCAGTTAAAGTTGAGCAGATGTCCTCAGTCATGGGTGGTTAATCCAGTTAGTGTTGTGAATTGTTTGATTAGCCTCTCCTTTACCCCATTGGCGAGGGAGAAATTACCACTCTAGGGCTACTGGAACAATTAAAACCATGGCATCAATCATTGGACAGATGAGACTGACAGCAGTTATTCATTACATATAATCATGGAAGGAGGAAAGTATGTAAGGTAAACACATCCACACAGGGATTGCACTTGGGAGCAGAGAGAAGAAACAGGAGGTGTCGGGAAAGGCTTTGTAGTATCAAGAGGGTGAGATGCTCCTGGTTTCTACAGGATGTTGTTATTGATTGGTCTGAATAATTCTGTGATCTTGGGGGAAACTGAAACACATTATACCACCAACTGCTAAGACTGCAGTAACATATTCTAATAGTGTAATGCTGTAATGTGTTATTTACTATAATACTAATTACAGTATGTTCTCACTTTGTTGATAGATTCTTGGAAACTGTGACTTTTTATTACTATATAAATGAAACCAAACTTACCATTGGCTAATGATATAAACAAGAGTTACTTTCCTATGATATATAGTTTTTTATTTCACTTAAAATCAGTTTCCAAAAACCTATCAATGACATTAAGTGAGCACTTACTGAACTTCTGTTTTAGTGATGTGTAATAGAAAGTAGCTATATAAAATATACTATTCATGCAGAAAACTGTACTTTGTGCTACACATTACAGTCATGAAACACAAAACAATGTTCTAGAAATGGACAGACCATATATATTACGTTGTTTTGTTGTAAGTAGGTAAATGTAAACCTACCTTTAAAGGCCAAAAGAGTTGAGAGGTTGAAGAGGCTGACAAATCAAGTTTCTTAGGAGAAAATATTTAAGAGGGACTTATGAATAGAAGCTATGTATCAGATGGATGAAGATGGTGGATCCCCACACTGTTACCAACCCTCCCCCCAAAACCCAGACACTTATCCCAGGAAAGGGATGTGAAGGACAATTGAAATCACTATATGAATTTGCCTAAGGTTTGGATTTATTCTAAGTACTTGTTCACAATAAATTCAAGGTTGTTTTGACTTAAGAGTAGAGCTTACAGAAACAGTAGGTTTCAATATATAACAAAGGTACTTGAACCCCCCGCCACAAAAAACATTAGAAGTACCTGTGTTATAATTTTAATTTTTTTTCAGTAATTTAAAATCTTAAAATCTTGTTATGTTAAATTAAGTAATCTTAAGTTTCTCACTAAAAATTAACATTGCTAAGCATTAAAATAATAGTTTTAAGTGCCAGGCGCGGTGGCTCACGCCTGTAATCCCAGCACTTTGGGAGGCCGAAGCAGGGGATCATGAGATCAGGAGATGGAGACCATCCTGGCCAGCATGGTGAAACCTCGTCTCTACTAAAAAATACAAAAAATTAGGCGGGTGTGGTGGCAGGCGCCTGTAGTCCCAGCTACTCAGGAGGCTGAGGCAGGAGAATGGCATGAACCTGGGTGGCAGAGCTTGCAGTGAGCCAAGATCGCGCCACTGCATTCCAGCCTGGGCGACAGAACGAGACTCTGTCTCAAAAAAAAAAAAAGTTTTAAGAAAGTTTTTACCCCAGCACCAGTGATTGGATAATAGAGCTCCAGGCCCCACCTCTTTGGGGTGAAAAGTTCCAAGCTGCAGCCCTTTTCAGGCAGGCCTTCCTCCTTATTCTGAAGCCTGGCCCTCACTGTAGGACATTTGCATTTAACCTTGTATATAACATTATTTTTTTTATAAATTATATGTATGTGGCCAGGAGTTCAAGAGCAGCGTGTACAACATACACACTGGGAAGGGTATGTATGTCGTACAATAAAATGAAAAAAATTAGCCAGGCATTGTCGTGCATGTCTGTGGTCCCAGCTACTTCATGACCAAATGGAACTATTTCACAAATGCAATGTTGACCAATCCAATAATCAATGCATTAAACAAAGTGATAGGATAAAGGAAAGTAACAGAAACATCCCTTCAACAGCCACAAAGAACATTTGACCAATCCAATATTCATTCACAATTAATCACCCTGGAAAGGAGGAGTACAAGCACATTTCCTAGATCTGCTAAAGGGCATCAGTGAAAAACTTATGGCTAACCCCATAATAATAAAATAATGGTTGTGTCTTGACATTTGAAAACAAGACAAAAATATTAACATCCAAAGAAATTACATAAGAAAAATAAAATTATCCATGTGGGAAAATAAGAGGTTAGAATTCTCTATCATTGCAGATGACATAACATGAATATAAAAGTTTATAAGAAATTCATTAAAACCCACTACAACCAATAAATGAGTTGAGCAAGGTAACAAGATACAAAATCAATATACAAAGTTCAATTGTACTTTTATGTACTAGCAATGATCAACCTGAAAATAAAATTAAGAAAACAATTCCATTCGTGTATATATGAAAAAGAAAGAAATATTTAGGAGTAGATTTAATCAAGTGCAATTTTACAGTAAAAATAAAAACTTTGCTAAAATAGATTTTTTTAAAAAGTGAAAAAAATTGGCACTGATGCTCATTTAGTTAATCTTATTCCATTATTTAGTGTATCCATTTAAACTCCACACAATAAAATAAAATGTATTTTGGCATTATTTTTAGAGTAATAAATACAGCTTGGCAGAAAACTCATAAATATAAAAGGAACTAATTCTACATGTCCAGAATGGCCTATCCTAATTTTTCTGTTTTACATATACTATAAATCAAATAGATTTTGTTCCATATTGTGAAGCACAAATTCAAAGTTTTCTTTTTTTTTTTTTTTTGAGACAGAGTCTCCCTCTGTCACCCAGGCTGGAGTGCAGTGGCGCCATCTCGGCTCACTGCAAGCTCCGCCTCCCAGATTCATGCCATTCTCCTGTCTCAGCCTCCCAAGTAGATGGGACTACAGGCGCCAGCCACCACCCCCGGCTAATTCTTTGTATTTTCAGTAGAGACAGGGTTTCACTGTGTTAGCCAGGATGGTCTCAATCTCCTGATCTCATGATCCGCCCACCTTGGCCTCCTAAAGTGCTGGGATTACAGGCGTGAGCCACCATGCCCGGCCTCATGTAATCTTACTTTAGGAGAAACCGCCTCTAACTTTAGGCATTTGCTCATAGCAGGTGCTAAATGAACCAATGCCAAATTAGCATTGTTTTTAGGGTAATAAATCTGCATATCTACAGTGAGAACTCACTGTAGAGGATTTTGTCTTCTGAGCAATGACATGATTCTATCTTTCATGGGCTACTCCAGAACTTCTATAATGATGGTAGAGTTCAGTGAAGTGGAGCCTCAGGCCTGCCATCCCCATGCTTCTGGCAAGCAGCAGCATCTCCCCTGAGCATGGTGGCATAGGGCATGCCATTAAAACCACCTTGCTGCTGTTCATCTCCACATACTAAGTTGCTGTACACTTTGCAGTGGAATTCCACCTTGCTGCATCTGGTTGGCCAGAAGCCCTGCAGATAGAATGGAATGGTCAGAAGGGCACATTGAGAGAATAGATGGGAGCTTAGAGGCTGCCCACCTTGCTGGCCCCTGCCCATGGGTCACAGCCCTCACCCAGCTGTCCAGCTTGTATGTCTGCTGAAGGCTGCTGAACTTGTTCTCCATCACAGAGGTGGTGTGACAGCAGTCTGAGGGCACCACACTCCATGACTGGGCTCTACTGCTGGTGCTGTGGGAAGGCAGGTGACCCAAAGACAGGTCCTGCCTTCCACTTCCAGGCCACACTCCCACCAACTTCCAGGCCCACCTTGATATTCTGATGTGATGCTCTTTTCAGAGCTCTTCTTATTGCCTGGGACAATTTTATATTATTATATCATAAATATGATAAAAATATGATATTAGGACATCACAATATTATGATATCATAATTCATATGTATTTATAACATCACAATGTATTATGACATCATAATCTGTATTATGACACCATTGTCTATTATGATGTCATAATTTCCATGTATTGTGACATCACAATATATTATGACTCCATAATGTGCATGTATTAAAACATCACAATATATTACGATAGCATAATGGATAGGGATTATGACATCACACCATATTACAACATCATAATTTGTATGTGTTATGACATCACAATATATCATGACATCATAATTTATATGTATTATGATGAATTCATACATATTACATAATTTGCATGTAATACGATGTATTACAAATTATTATGTAATTCGTATGTATTACATATGTGTTAGATTGTTCTGGATGTCCTGGGCTCTAGGGGGCAGGCGGTAGGTGGGAGGAGACACCCAGGTTGCAGAGGGAGTGATTGGGACACAGGGCCCTGGGGTTCCAGGAGCAGTAAAGAGGCCAAGACTGGCCTGTGGGGACTTAGATGTTGGCTCTGGGTGAGGTTGTTACCGCAGATGTGAGCACAGCAGTGCTCATGGGCTCAGGTGGCTGTTGTGTGGAAGATGGACAGAGGGGTTAAGGTACCAGGAGACAAAAGCTATAGCCCAGCAGGAGGGGAGGGTGGCTGTGGGGGCAGTAAAAGGGGTGCCAACAGCAGTTTTGGTGGATGGGCAGTGGGTGTGAGAGAGCAGGCAGGGGGATAATGCCCAGGCATTCTGGCTTGGAACAGTGGCAGGTGGACTTTGCCCAGCTGCGGAGGGGTCTGTCAGGGAGATAGGGCTTCTGATTTCAGAGGAGACCAGAGGTGTGCTCATGCAGATGAGGGTCCTCATGGGATGGACATGGAAGGGGCAGCTACAACCTGGGGACAAATGGTGGTGGGCTGAGCCTCTGGGACTTCTGGAGTGAGCAGGCAAGAACGTGAGGAGGAGCCAGGCAGGGAGCCAGAGGCAGAGGGTAAAGAGTAAAGTAGAGCCCAGGAAAGGGGCAGATCCAGCAAGTAGATGAAAATTTCCCCTCACCTGCCCCATTGGCCTCTGTCCCTGCCCACACGCCCTAGTGCCCTCGCCCTGAGTCTCTGCTTGTCTCTGCCTACCTGGCCATCCCAGACAGGTGTGGGGTAATTGTGAGGGTAACTGAAGGGCCACTTTCAGAAGGCACAGTCTAGAAGTGAACAGCATTGAGTCACTGTCGTCTCCCAGTCCTGGGAAGAGCATCTGCCACAACCCGCTGAGCTGTCTTCATCACCAATGGGTCGCCTTCCCCACCCCTGGAGGTCCAGAGGACAGCTCAGAGCTGTGATTGGTGCCTCTTCCCAGTGTCTCTCTACACTGCTCCTGCCTGTGCCTCAGCATCCTCCTCTGAGAGGTGGGCCTGTCGCTGCACGTGAATGGCGAGCAGGTCACTGTGGGGAAGGGCCTCCTCCTTCCTCTTTCCTGGGCTCCTGGTGCCTGTCTCCTGGGGGTATGGCAATCCAGCCTACCCATGAGTCCAGGCAAAAAGGCAGCCCTACTCCAGCCCCCAGAAAGAAGAAAAACTAGTTGAGCTTTCGGGGGAGGAATGGTGAAAGCCTGCACACTAGGACAAAAAAGAGTTGAGGCCTCCAGGAGGCCATGCTTACTGGTGCCTGCTGGGCCCTGGAGCTGTGCAGGAGGTGGCTTAGGGACTCAGAGACTTGTGGGCCAAGGCTTCTCAGCTGCTTCTGAGGCTCCTAGCTCTGCAAGGGGCTGGGTTTCCCCTCCTGGTAAAGTGCTCTCACTGCCTGTCCTGGCTTGTTCACTTAGCTGGGCTACCTGCTGGGCCACCTTCCTCATGGGCCCTCCCATTGTGCCTCCCTGGGTGGGTGGGGGCTCCCCTGTAGAGACTCCCTTATTCCCTGAGGCTTTCAGTCCAGGAAGAAGCACCCCAACTTCTCAGCAGGAGTAGCCACTTGGGGGAAGCAGAGGGAATGGGATGGGACACTTGGCCCATCTCTGAGCATGACTGGATGGGAACATCGTGTTGTAGCTCCTGGGAGCCTCAGGCAGTGCAGGAAGAGGTCCTTGAAAGGCCAACACTCTACCTACACAGAAGGGAAAACTGAGGCTGGGGGTGGGCAGGGCGACCTTGAATTGGGGGTCTGGTCAGATGGGTCTCTGCTCCTCACCTCAGCTATAGCCTTCATGCACACTTCCATCAGGAGAGGCCCCTTACTGGACTTGGCCCCAGTGGATGGACAGGAAACTTCCAGCGATGGTGGCCACCCAAACCAACTTTCACTGCCTGGCTCCTGGCAACCCCACCGTCTCCATCTTCTGGCTCCCATTTATCTGCTTTTTTATTTTTAGGAAATTGTGGGCATCAGCTCAGGATAGGCAGCAGGAGCTACCACTCAAATTTCTGGTCTCCTTTAATTAGTTCTGTGAGAGGAGATTCTAGGGTGAGGGCAAACCTAGATGAGGCCTTAGTAGAGGGTGGATTCAGGCAGGGCTGCAACAGAAAGTGAGCCTCATGCATCCGATGTCTGTGATGGTGGAGTATTTCCAGCTCTGTTTTTCCTAAGCCTGCCTAATAGAAACTTGACTCCTTGAGTTTGTATAATTTTTAATCTATTTTAGCCATTTTCCTATCAATTTTTATAACACACAATAACAAGGAATTTAACCGAAACTCTTAGCGTTTTTTAGGAAAATTATATGAGAATCTAAAAAGTTTATTTTTACTAAGGTAAAAGAAATAGGAATAATTCAACAACAGCAATAATTCTTCTGTCCACGAGTAGCCCTTTAGTTAGTGACATCGGAACTCACAACAGTCTATGGGAAGTGGAACAAATGCAGCTAAAATCCCCTGTACACCTCCCTTCTTTCTTCTGATCACAGAATGTTGAATTCAATTTGCTCTAGAATGAAAGTATCTGGACAGTATAAACCATACATGTTTCATCTGTTTTTCTAATGGTCATATGATAGAGTTTAGACGTTTGTTCCAAATCTCATATTGAATGTTAATCCCTAATGTTACAGTTGGGGCCTGATGGGAGGTGTTTGAATCATGGGGATGGATTTCTCATGGCTGCGTGCTGTCCATGTCATGGTGAGTACTCGCGAGATCTGGTGGTTTAAAAGTATGTTGTATCCCTCCCCCATCTTTCTTGTTCCCACTCCTACCATGTGAGATGCCTGCTTCAATTTCATCTTTCACCATGATTGTAAGCCAATTCATGGACCCCTTCCAAACCTGCAGAATCACATCACTAAGAGAGAGGCCTAGAATCAGAAATGATTTGTATGTACATTGAAACTGCACAGGCAATGCTTCTCTAAGTGGCTGTCAGCTTAGGCTTCCAACCGTAGTCACATGACCACTTTAAAGACATACCATCACCTGTGCCCTCCCCACAGATACTGTCTGTTGATCTTGGTGGGACCATCCATATGGTTTAAATTAGGAAGTCAAATTGTCCCTTTTTGATGATTACATAATATTATATACAGAAAAATCTAAAGATCACCAAAAACTTTTAGATTTGTTAAATGAATTTAATAATGTTGCAGGACATGAAAATCAATGCACAAAAATTAGTAGTATTTTTATATACTAATAATTATCAAGCTGAGAACCTAATTAAAAAGTCAATTTCTTTTTACAATAGCTACAAAAAAGGTTGAAATACCTAGAAATACAATTAATCAAATAGGCGAAAGATCTCTATAAGGAAAACTACAAAACACTGATGAAATAAATTGTATAAGACACAGACAATGAGAAAAACATCCGTGCTCATGGACTGGAAGAATTATTATCATTAAAATGACCATAGTGCCTCAAACAATCTACATATTAAATGTAATTCCTACCAAAATGCCAATTGTTTTTATAGAATTGGAACAAAATTTAAATTCATATGGAACCATAGAAAAGCCTAAATAGCCAAAGCAAATTTAAGCAAAGACAACATACATTACCTGACTCAGAATTATACTGGAAGGCTTTAATAACCAAAACAGCATGGTACTGATATAAATAGATACATAGATCAATGGAACAGAATAGAGAACCTAGAAATAAAGCCACATACCTACACACAACTGATCTCTTACAAAGTCAACAAAAACATACATGGGAAAATGACATTCTAATCAACATATTGTGCTAGAAAAATTATATTAGTATATGCAGAAGCATGAAATGGAATCCCTAACCCTCACCATATACAAAAATCAACTCAATATGGATTAGAAGACTAAAATGTAAGACCTGAAATGATAACAATTTTAGAAGAAACCCTATGATAAACTCAGCTGGACATTGGCATGAACAAATAATTCATGACTAAGATCTCAAAAGCAGATGCAACAATAACAAAAATATATAAATGGAAACATAGACCAATGGGCCCATGAAAGAGGAAGGAGGCAGCCCCTTCCCCACAGTGATTTAATTAAACTAAAAAGCTCCTGAAAAGAAGCTTTATTTAACAGGTGACCAGACAACCTATGGAATATGAAAAATATTTGCGAACTATGCATGTAACAAAGAACTAATGTCCAGAATATACAAGGAAATCAAACATCTCAACAAGAATAAAACAAGTAACCTCATTAAAAAGCAGTCAAATAATGGGAACATATATTTTTCAAAAAGAAGACAACAATAGCCAATAAGCATGTAAAAAATGCTCAACATTGCCAATGATCAGAGAAATGCCAATTAAAAACCATTTTACATCATTCATAATGGCTAATTATTTAAAAAGCAGAAAAATGACATATACTGGCAAGGATACAGAGAAAAGAGAATACTTATACATTGTGTGTGAGAATGTAAATTTCTACAAACTCTATGGAAAACAGTATGGAGATTTCTCAAAAAACTAAAAATAGAACTTCCATTTGATCCAGCATTCTCACTACTGGGTATCTACCCAAAGGAAAATAAATCATTACATAAAGAAGATAGCCACACCCATATATTTATTACAGCACTATTCACAATAGCAAAGATAGGGAGTCAATTTAAATTTATCAATCAATGATTGAATAAAGAAAATTTGCTATACATTTATACCATGGAATACTACTCAGCCATAAAGAAAAATAAAATCATGTCTTTTGCAGCAACATGAATGGAACTGGAGGCCATAACTGTAAGTGAAATAACACAGAAACAGAAAAAAATACTAAATTTTCTCACTTATATGTGGGAGCTCAAAAATGCATACACTTGGATATAGAGACTGGAAAAATAAACACTGGAGACTCAGAAAGATGAAAGATTGGTAGAGGGTTTAGGAATGACAAAATACCTCATTGGGACAATGAGCACTGTTCAGATGATTGTTACATCGAAAGACCCTACTTCACCACTATGCAACATATCCATGTAATGAAACTGCATTTGTAATTAATAAAGAGAAAAAAAAACTGACTGTTATCAAGAGGGCAGAGTGAATAGATCTCATAATTTTCATTAGTATTTAGGCAGAAAAATAATTATACAAAATAAATAAAGTATACATATATATAGAAGTCTCTTAATTCTCTTACATTTATATATATATATATATATATATATAGTTCTTTTTTTTTTTTTTTTTTTTTGAGCCAAAGTCTCGCTTTGTTTCTCAGGCTGGAGTACAGTGGTGTGATTTCGGCTCACTGCAACCTCTGGTTACCAGGTTCAAGCAATTCTCCTGCCTCAGCCTCCTGAGTAGCTGAGCCACCATGCCCGGACAATAATATTGTATTTTAAGAATGGTATAAAGAGATAATTTGATGAATTAGAGTAGTTAGTACTTATCACAGAGAATATGCAAGGAAAGATTCTAAGCCATTAGACATTTGTAGACAGAATATTTAGCAGTGTAAAATAAATAACAGGAAGATTCACTGGCAATGACAAATTGACATATTTTAATCATATTAGATGATATTAAAGCCATTATAAAATTTACTGTTTTGTTTCATAATAAAGGGTCATAATGTTAAATAATTTCATTAAAAAGTTTGACTAATTAGGCATATATATAAATGGGCAGCATGTTGACCAGTAAACAGAGAATACACATTATTTTCAAACACCAAACAAAATTATTTTGTATTTATTTATTTTTGGTGGGGGGAGCGGTTTATTAGCTGGGGATATAGTGGGGTCCTCTCCCTGGGAGGTGGGGTCTTCCGCTGGTCACACCCGGCAGTGGTCCAGGAGGCGCCATGCAATTCAGTGCTGGGCTCAGGTGGGGGCCGGGCCTTGGAGAAGGTGAACTGTGCAGGGTAGCAGTAGCTGTGGGGCTGTCGCTGCCCACTGCGCCCTGCTGCACTGGGTCCCTGGTGCTCCTCAGGCTCCCGCCGAGCCTGAGTCTCTATAAGGCAGTGGCCATCTAGCCTAGAGCCTTATCCTAAGAGCCCAGTTTGACGCAGGCCAGGCATTTCCGCTTACTCCCGCTAGGTTGGACTTTGCGCTCAGATTGCATCCAGTCCACCTTCTGGCCGCTTGTATGCCTGAGCTTAAATTACAGCCTCACAAATGTTCCAGCTGGGAAGGCCGTGTCCATGGTGCCGTACACACTGGTCTCCCAGAAGGCCACTGCACAGGCGGGTGGATTCCTCCAGGGTCACCTGCAGGCCCTGGCGCTGGGCCCCATGAGCTCGGCCCTGCCTGAGCCCCTCTTGCCCACCCCCGGGGCTAGCGGGATCCGCAGCCCTCGCTTCCTTCCGCTGTCACCCAGGCCCTGCGAAGCGGGTATGCACCCCTCAGCTTTCCGAGCCCGCGGGGAGCCGCCTCCTCCCCTTTCCTGCCCCTGGGGCCCATGGCCGCAGAACGCCAGGCAGAGGCGAAGAAACAGGGAGATGTCCCTTTCTCCAAATTGACCTTGGGGTCCGCCTGGTCCTCTCCACTCCCTCCCACCCTGCCCACACTGGGCCCCTGCCCAGGCCGGGAAGCAGTCCTGTTGCCCACTCCCACCCTTCACCCCTTTTCCGACTCATTCTCTCTTTCCACTGGGTTTCCAACAGGACACTCTTTCCTCCCTACTGTTCCCGGAGACCCTCTGTGCTTCTCTTGATCAACCTCCTCCCTGACCGCTTCTCTCTCCCCATCCTGAATCTCTGGGCTCCCACAAGGTGCCTTCCATCCCGGGGCCCAGGCAAAACCGACAAAATTATTTCAAATGGGAACATTTGAATTCCACTGAATTCATGTCAGCATAAACCCTTCTGGTCAGATTTTAAAGAATTACGAAATGATAATAGCAACTATCAATTTGAAGTGTAACCAGGGTTAAGAATACCCATCATTTTACCACCACCACTAAGGAAACCCTGTTAGAGCTAACAAACTAGTACAGTAAAATTGCAGCATACAATATTAACATGAAAATCAGTTGTATTTTGATACAGTAACAACAAAATACCTGAAAAAGGAAGAAAACAATTCCGTTTACAATATTATCAAATAGAATGAAATACTTAGTTCATTAAATAGAATGAGTTTAACCAAGAAAATTAAAGATCTGCATACTGAAAACTATAAAATGTTGATGAAAGAAATTGAAGAATACAAAATGAGAACTATATCCTGTGTTCATGGATTCTAAAAAATAATATTGTTAAAAATCTATAGTGCACAAAGTCATCTACAGAGTTAAAGAAATTTCTATCAAAATTTTAATGCCATTAAAATAAATGTAGAACAAACAATTGTAAAATTAGTATGGAGCCACAAAAGACGCCAAATAGCCAAATACTGAGAACAAAAAGGCTGAAAGCCTCAAACTTCCTGATTTCAAACTATATTACAAAGCTATAGTCATTAAAATAAAATAGTGTAGTATCTACATGAGAACCAGTGGAACAGAATAGAGGACCCAGAAATAAATGCACGCGTATACAATCAACTGATCCCACAGAATTAGGAGAAGATAGACACATCAAGAAATGGTGTAGAAAAAACTAGATATGCGCACACAAAAAGTGAACCCTTCTCTTATATAATTAGAAAAAATGAGCTTAAAATAAATTAAATACTTAAACATAAGAACTGAAATTATGAATCCTCTAAAAAAATAGAGAAAAAGCTCCTTGACACTGGTCATGGCAATGATGTTTTGGATTCTACACAAAGAACACAAGCAACAAAAGCAAAAATAAAAAAGTGATACTATATCAAAGCAAGAAGTTACTGCATGGTAAAAGAAAAAATCAACAAAATACAAAGACAATATATGGGATGGGAGAAAATATTTGTAAACCATATTAGGATAATAAGTTACTATTCAAAAAATATATAATACTAATCAATACAAAAAAACCAGCAGAACAAAAAATCCATTTCCTTGATTAATTGGGCAAAATATCAATTTTTTCCAAAGACATAGAAATGGCCAGCAAGTATATAAAAAGTATATATAAAAATCTCAACATCACTAATTCTCGGAGTAATTAAAATCAAAATTACAATGAGATATCATCTTATCATTGTGTTAGGAGAGCTATTATCAAAAAGTCAAAAGAACAAAGTGTTAGGGTGCACAGAAAGGAGAATATTTGCACACAGTTGCTGAGCATATTCATTGGTGCAGCCATTATACAAAAAAAAAAAGAAAGAAAAAAACAGTATGGAGTTTCCTTAAAATTTTTAAACTAGAAGTACCATTAATCTCAATTTGGAGTATATTGCCAATGGACATAAAATAAGCATAGCCAAGGGTATCTGCACTTCTCTGATACAAATAAATGGATAAACTGTAAGAGAATTTCAGCCTTAATAAGGAATGAAATTCTTTCATTTACAACAATATTGATATACCTGAAGACATTGTGCTAAGTGACATAAATGAAATACAGAAAGACAAATACTGCATGATCTCATTTGTATGTGGAATATTTAAAAAAAGAAAAAAACAGAGAACAAGGGTAGTTACCATGGGCTAGGAAGTGGGGAAAACTGGGGAGATATCCATCAAAGGGTGCATACCTTCAGTTATATAATGAAAAACTGCCGGGGACCTAATGTGCAGAATGGTGACTGTAGTTAATAATAATGTGTAGTTGAAATTTATTACTAAAGTAGATCTCAGATGCTTTCACCACACACACTGAAATGTATAAAGTAACTATGTGAGGGGATAGATATGTTAACCAGCTTCATTGAGATAATTTAAAGATGTATACACATCTCAAAGCACTCTATTATACACCCTAAATAGATACACTTTTAAATACGTAAATCATAGTTCAATAAATGTGGAAAAAATTAAGAGTAATCAGCAGGTCATATCTAGCCACATGTAAACTTTATTTAAAACTCTCTTGGCCACTGTTTCTGGCTCAACCCGAGAACTTCCGGACCACTTCTGGCCCCTTAACTTCGACGCTCCTCCTGCTGTTCCTGTAGCTGAGGAAGATATAATAGTTCCCATGGGTGGCCAGGTGCAATGGCTTATGCCTGTAATCCCAGCACTTTGGGAGGCCGAGATGGGCAGATCACCTGAGGTCAGGAGTTCAAGACCAGCCAGGACAACATGGTGAAACCCCATCTCTACTAAAAATACAAAAATTAGCTGGGCCTGGTGGCGTGAACCTGTAATCTCAGCTACTCAGGAGGCTGAGGCAGGAGAATCACTTGAACCCGGGAGTCAGAGGTTGCAGTGAGCCAAGATTGCACCACTGCACTCCAGCCCAGGCAACAGAGTGAGACTCTGACTTAAAAAAAAAAAAAGTTCCCAGGGATTTTCTGCTTCCCAGGTGGTGCAGATCAGGCAGGACCATCAGCCATCCCCTTGCTTGTTGCCCACAGCCCCGTTTGGCTCCAGGCAACGTGTGTCAGGGAGTGTTGGCGGGGGCTGCAGCAGCCAGCCTGGGCGAGGCTGCCTTTCGCTGCCTGCACTTTGATGTCTGATAAGGCCCCAGTGCAGCCCCTCCTCACACTACCTGTGAAGGCAATGTAACTGCAGAAGATACTGAGGAAGACAATGAAAAAAAAATGCCACCCATGTATTAGAGTAATTGTCATTAGATCACTTATGTTGCAGACAGGGTCACTGTTTATATTTTTTTATTTTTTTATTTTTAAATTTAATTTAAATTTTATTATTATTATACTTTAAGTTTTAGGGTACATGTGCACAATGTGCAGGTTAGTTACATATGTATACATGTGCCATGCTGGTGCGCTGCACCCACTAACTCGTCATCGAGCATTAGGTATATCTCCCAATGCTACCCCTCCCCCCTCCCCCCACCCCACAACAGTCCCCAGAGTGTGATGTTCCCCTTCCTGTGTCCATGTGTTCTCATTGTTCAATTCCCACCTATGAATGAGAATATGCAGTGTTTGGTTGTTTGTTCTTGCGATAGTTTACTGAGAATGATGATTTCCAATTTCATCCATGTCCCTACAAAGGACATGAACTCATCATTTTTTATGGCTGCATAGTATTCCATGGTGTATATGTGCCACATTTTCTTAATACAGTCTATCAATATTGGACATTTGGGTTGGTTCCAAGTCTTTGCTATTGTGAATAGTGCCGCAATAAACATACGTGTGCATGTGTCTTTATAGCAGCATGATTTATAGTCCTTTGGGTATATACCGAGTAATGGGATGGCTGGGTCAAATGGTATTTCTAGTTCTAGATCCCTGAGGAATCGCCACACTGACTTCCACAATGGTTGAACTAGTTTGCAGTCCCACCAGCAGTGTAAAAGTGTTCCTATTTCTCCACATCCTTTCCAGCACCTGTTGTTTCCTGACTTTTTAATGATTGCCATTCTAACTGGTGTGAGATGGTATCTCATTGTGGTTTTGATTTGCATTTCTCTGATGGCCAGTGATGATGAGCATTTTTTCATGTGTCTTTTGGCTGCATAAATGTCTTCTTTTCAGAAGTGTCTGTTCATATCCTTTGCCCACTTTTTGATAGGGTTGTTTGTTTTTTTCTTGTAAATTTGTTTGAGTTCATTGTAGATTCTGGATATTAGTCCTTTGTCAGATGAGTAGGTTGCAAAAATTTTCTCCCAGTTTGTAGGTTGCCTGTTTACTCTGATGGTAGTTTCTTTTGCTGTGCAGAAGCTCTTTAGTTTAATTAGATCCCATTTGTCAATTTTGTCTTTTGTTGCCATTGTTTTTGGTGTTTTAGACATGAAGTTCTTGCCCATGCCTATGTCCTGAATGGTAATGCCTAGGTTTTCTCCTAGGGTTTTTATGGTTTTAGGTCTAACATTTAAGTCTTTAATCCATCTTCAATTAATTTTTGTATAAAGTGTAAGGAAGGGATCCAGTTTCAGCTTTCTACATATGGCTAGCCATTTTTCCCAGCACCATTTATTAAAGAGCGAATCCTTTCTCCATTGCTTGTTTTTCTCAGGTTTGTCAAAGATCAGATAGTTGTAGATATGTGGCGTTATTTCTGAGGGCTCTGTTCTGTTCCATTGATCTATATCTCTGTTTCGGTCCCACTACCGTGCTGTTTTGGTTACTGTAGCCTTGTAGTATAGTTTGAAGTCAGGTAGCGTGATGCCTCCAGCTTTGTTCTTTTGGCTTAGGATTGACTTGGCGATGCGGGCTCTTTTTTGGTTCCATATGAACTTTAAAGCAGTTTTTTCCAATTCTGTGAAGAAAGTCATTGGTAGCTTGATGGGGATGGCATTGAATCTGTAAATTACCTTGGGCAGTATGGCCATTTTCATGATATTAATTCTTCCTACCCATGAGCATGGAATGTTCTTCCATTTGTTTGTATCCTCTTTTATTTCCCTGAGCAGTGGTTTGTAGTTCTCCTTGAAGAGGTCCTTCACATCCCTTGTAAGTTGGATTCCTAGGTATTTTATTCTCTTTGAAGCAATAGTGAATGGGAGTTCACTCATGATTTGGCTCTCTGTTTTTCTGTTGTTGGTGTATAAAAAGAAAGAAGAATCAAATAGACACAATAAAAAATGATAAAGGGGATATCACCACCAATCCCAAAGAAATACAAACTACCGTCAGAGAATACTACAAACACCTCTACGCAAATACACTAGAAAATGTAGAAGAAATGGATAAATTCCTCGACACATACACTCTCCCAAGACTAAACCAGGAAGAAGTTGAATCTCTGAATAGACCAATAACAGGAGCTGAAATTGTGGCAATAATCAATAGTTTACCAACCAAAAAGAGTCCAGGACCAGATGGATTCACAGATGGATTCTGGCCAGGGCAATTAGGCAGGAGAAGGAAATAAAGGGTATTCAATTAGGAAAAGAGGAAGTCAAATTGTCCCTGTTTGCAGACGACATGATTGTATATCTAGAAAACCCCATTGTCTCAGCCCAATCTCCTTAAGCTGACAAGCAACTTCAGCAAAGTCTCAGGATACAAAATCAATGTACAAAAATCACAAGCATTCTTATACACCTGCTCCTGCCTAATTGCCCTGGCCAGAACTTCCAACACTATGTTGAATAGGAGTGGTGAGAAGTCATCCCTGTCTTGTGTCAGTTTTCAAAGGGAATGCTTCCAGTTTTTGCCCACTCAGTATGACATTGGCTGTGGGTTTGTCATAGATAGCTCTTATTATTTTGAAATACATCCCATCAATACCTAATTTATTGAGAGTTTTTAGCATGAAGCGTTGTTGAATTTTGTCAAAGGCCTTTTCTGCATCTATTGAGATAATCATGTGGTTTTTGTCTTTGGTTCTGTTTATATGCTGGATTACATTTATTGATTTGGGTATATTGAACCAGCCTTGCATCCCAGGGATGACGCCCACTTGATCATGGTGGATAAGCTTTTTGATGTGCTGCTGGATTCGGTTTGTCAGTATTTTATTGAGGATTTTTGCATCAATGTTCATCAAGGATATTGGTCTAAAATTCTCTTTTTTGATTGTGTCTCTGCCTGGCTTTGGTATCAGGATGATGCTGGCCTCATAAAATGAGTTAGGGAGGATTCCTTCTTTTTCTATTGATTGGAATAGTTTCAGAAGGAATGGTACCAGTTCCTCCTTGTAGCTCTGGTAGAATTCGGCTGTGAATCCATCTGGTCCTGGACTCTTTTTGGTTGGTAAGCTATTGATTATTGCCACAATTTCAGATCCTGTTATTGGTCTATTCAGAGATTCAACTTCTTCCTGGTTTAGTCTTGGGAGAGTGTATGTGTCGAGGAATTTATCCATTTCTTCTACATTTTCTAGTTTATTTGTGTAGAGGTGTTTGTAGTATTCTCTGATGGTAGTTTGTATTTCTGTGGGATCGGTGGTGATATCCCCTTTATCATTTTTTATTGCATCTATTTGATTCTTCTCTCTTTTCTTCTTTATTAGTCTTGCTAGTGGTCTATCAATTTTGTTGATCCTTTCAAAAAACCAGCTCCTGGATTCATTAATTTTTTGAAGGGTTTTTTGTGTCTCTATTTCCTTCAGTTCTGCTCTGATTTTAGTTATTTCTTGCCTTCTGCTAGCTTTTGAATGTGTTGGCTCTTGCTTTTCTAGTTATTTTAATTGCGATGTTAGGGTGTCAATTTTGGATCTTTCCTGCTTTCTCTTGTGTTCATGTAGTGCTATAAATTTCCCTCTTCACACTGCTTTGAATGCATCCCAGAGATTCTGGTATGTTGTGTCTTTGTTCTCGTTGGTTTCAAAGAACATCTTTATTTCTGCCTTCATTTTGTTATGTACCCAGTAGTCATTCAGGAGCAGGTTGTTCAATTTCCATGTAGTTGAGCGGTTTTGAGTGAGATTCTGAATCCTGAGTTCTAGTTTGATTGCACTGTGGTCTGTGAGATAGTTTGTTATAATTTCTGTTCTTTTACATTTGCTGAGGAGAGCTTTATTTCCAAGTATGTGGTCAATTTTGGAATAGGTGTGGTGTGGTGCTGAAAAAAATGTAGATTCTTTTGACTTGGGGTGGAGAGTTCTGTAGATGTCTATTAGGTCCACTTGGTGCAGAGCTGATATCAATTCCTGGGTATCCTTGTTGACTTTCTGTCTCGTTGTCTAATGTTGACAGTGGGGTGTAAAATCTCCCCTTATTAATGTGTGGGAGTCTAAGTCTCTTTGTAGGACACTCAGGACTTGCTTTATGAATCTGGGTGCTCCTGTATTGGGTGCATATATATTTAGGATAGTTAGCTCTTCTTGTTGAATTGATCCCTTTACCATTAAGTAATGGCCTTCTTTGTCTTTTTTGATCTTTGTTGGTTAAAGTCCGTTTTATCAGAGACTAGGATTGCAACCCCTGCCTTTTTTTGTTTTCCATTTGCTTGGAAGATCTTCCTCCATCCCTTTATTTTGAGCGTATGCGTGTCCCTGCACGTGAGATGGGTTTCCTGAATACAGCACACTGATGGGTCTTGACTCTTTATCAAATTTGCCAGTCTGTGTCTTTTAATTTGAGCATTTAGTCCATTTACATTTAAGGTTAATATTGTTATGTGTGAATTTGATCCTGTCATTATGATGTTAGCTGGTTATTTTGCTCGTTAGTTGATGCAGTTTCTTCCTAGTCTCGATGGTCTTTACATTTTGGCATGATTTTGCAGAAGCTGGTAGCAGTTGTTCCTTTCCATGTTTAGTACTTCCTTCAGGAGCTCTTTTAGGGCAGGCCTGGTGGTGACAAAATCTCTCAGCATTTGCTTGTCTGTAAAGTATTTTATTTCTCCTTCACTTATGAAGCTTAGTTTGGCTGGATATGAAATTCTGGGTTGAAAATTCTTTTCTTTAAGAATGTTGAATATTGGCCCCCACTCTCTTCTGGCTTGTAGAGTTTCTGCCAAGAGATCCGCTGTTAGTGTGATGGGCTTCCCTTTGTAGGTAACCCGACCTTTCTCTCTGGCTGCCCTTAACATTTTTTCCTTCATTTCAACTTTGGTGAATCTGACAATTATGTGTCTTGGAGTTGCTCTTCTCGAGGAGTATCTTTTTGGCGTTCTCTGTATTTCCTGAATCTGAATGTTGGCCTGCCTTGCTAGATTGGGGAAGTTCTCCTGGATAATATCCTGCAGAGTGTTTTCCAACTTGGTTTCATTCTCCCCGTCACTTTCAGGTACACCAATCAGAAGTAGATTTGGTCTTTTCACATAGTCCCATATTTCTTGGAGGCTTTGCTCGTTTCTTTTTATTCCTTTTTCTCTTAACTTCCCTTCTCACTTCATTTCATTCATTTCATCTTCCATCGCTGATACCCTTTCTTCCAGTTGATTGCATTGGCTCCTGAGGCTTCTGCATTCTTCACATAGTTCTCGAGCCTTGGTTTTCAGCTCCATCAGCTCCTTTAAGCACTCCTCTGTATTGGTTATTCTAGTTATATATTCTTCTAAAATTTTTTCAAAGTTTTCAACTTCTTTGCCTTTGGTTTGAATGTCCTCCCATAGCTCGGAGTAATTTGATGGTCTGAAGCCTTCTTCTCTCAGCTCATCAAAGTCATTCTCCGTCCAGCTTTGTTCCGTTGCTGGTGAGGAACTGCATTCCTTTGGAGGAGGAGAGGCACTCTGCTTTTTAGAGTTTCCAGTTTTTCTGCTCTGTTTTTTCCCCATCTTTGTGGTTTTATCTACTTTTGGTCTTTGATGATGGTGATGTACAGATGGGTTTTTGATGTGGATGTCCTTTCTGTTTGTTAGTCTTCCTTCTAACAGACAGGACCCTCAGTTGCAGGTCTGTTGGAGTACCCTGCCATGTGAGGTGTCAGTCTGCCCCTGCTAGGGGTTGCCTCCCAGTTAGGATGCTCGGGAGTCAGGGGTCAGAGACCCACTTGAGGAGGCAAACTGCCCGTTCTCAGATCTCCAGCTGCGTGCTGGGAGAACCACTGCTCTCTTGAAAGCTGTCAGACAGGGACACTTAAGTCTGCAGAGGTTACTGCTGTCTTTTTGTTTGTCTGTGCCCTGCCCCCAGAGGTGGAGCCTACAGAGGCAGGCAGGCCTCCTTGAGCTGTGGTGGGTTTCACCCAGTTGGAGCTTCCCGGCTGCTTTGTTTACCTAAGCAAGCCTGGGCAATGACGGGCGCCCCTCCCCCAGCCTCACTACCGCCTTGCAGTTGGATCTCAGACTGCTGTGCTAGCAATCAGTGAGACTCCGTGGGCGTAGGACCCTCTGAGCCAGGTGCAGGACACAATCTCCTGGTGCGCCGTTTTTTAAGCCCTTCGGAAAAGCACAGTATTCGGGTGGGAGTGACCAGATCTTCCAGGTGCCTTCTGTCACCCCTTTCTTTGACTAGGAAAGGGAACTCTCTGACTCCCTGCGCTTCCCGAGTGAGGCAATGCCTCGCCCTGCTTCGGCACACGCATGTTGCGGGCACCCTCTGACCTGCGCCCACTGTCTGGCACTCCCTAGTGAAATGAACCGGGTACCTCAGATGGAAATGCAGAAATCACCCATCTTCTGCATCGCTCATGCTGGGAGCTGTAGACCGGAGCTGTTCCTATTCGGCCATCTTGGCTCCTCCCTCTATTAAAATAAATTTTTTAAAAAACTGAAAAAAACAGACATCAGTGTTCATTTAGTTAATAGTATTCCATTATCAAGTGTATCCATTTAAACTCCAGAAAATAAAATAAAATGTATTTTAGCATTATTTTTATTGTAATAAATACAGGTTGGTAGAAAACTCATAAATATGAAAGGAACTAATTCTACATGTCCAGAATGCCCATCCTAATTTTTTGTTTTACATCTATTATAAATCAGATAGATTCTGTTCCATATTTTATAGTGGACCTTAACATAAAACTTAAATTGTTTAATTTGTGAGATTGATTATAAGCTCACCAGGGAGGTTTTCACTCAGTGTGGGAATTCAGAGAGCATAAAGTTGCAAAAGCAGAAGCAAATGTTTTGAATAAATCCTGAAGGACAATACTCACAGGAGTGGTTCCCACTTTTATCAGTTGACTCATATAATCTTACTTTAGGAGAAACTGCCTCTAATTGTAGACACTGGTTCATAGCAGATGCTAAATGAACCAGCACCAAGTTCATATTCAGAACTGCTCACTGCAGAGGATTTTGTCTCCTGGCTGATGACATGATTGTGTCTTTCAGAAGGTACTCCACAACTTCTATAATGATGGTAGAGTTCAGTGAAGGGGAGCCCCAGGTCTGCCATCCCCATGTTCCTGGACAGCAGCAGCATCTCCCCTGAGCATGGTGACATAGGCATGCCATTGACACCCACCTAGCTGCTGTTCACCTCCACATAGTAGGTCACTGTACACTTTGCAGTGGAACTCCACCTTGCTGTGTCTGGTTGGCCAGAAGCCCAGTGGGTAGAATGGGATGGTCAAGAGAGCACATTGAGAGAATAGATGAGAGCTCAGAGGCTGCCCACCTTCCTGACCCCTGCCCATGGGCCACAGCCCTCACCCAGCTGTCCAGCGTGTATGTCTGCTGAAGGCTGTTGAACTTGTTCTCCATCACAGAGGTGGAGTGACAGCAGTCTGAGGGCACCATACTCCATGAGCAGGCTCTACTGCTGGTGCCACAGCTCCAGGTGGAAGTGTGGGTGAATGGAGGACAGGTCCCACCTTTCACAATCAGGCCACATTCCCACCAACTTCCAGGGACCCCTTGATGTCCTGATGTGATGCTCTGCTTAGAACCCTTGTGGTTCTTCAGCCAGGAGATGGAGAGAGTGGGGTTGCCAGTAGCCAGGCAGCGAAAGTTGGTTTGGGTGGCCAGCATGGTTGGCAGTTTCCTGTCCATCTACTGGAGCCAAGTCCAGTAAAAGGCCTCTGCTTGTGGAAGTGCAAGTGAGGGCCGTAGCTGAGGTGAGGCGCGGAGGCCCATCTGACCAGACCCTGAATCCAAGGCTGCCCTTTCTCAACCCCAGCCTCAGTTTTTCCTCCTGTATAGGGAGAGTGTTGGCCTTTCAAGGACCTCTGCCTGGGCTGCATGAGGCTCCCAGGAACTTCAAAACAATGTCCCTGCCCCGTCATGCTCACAGCCGGGCCATGTGTTCCCTCCCATTCCCTCTGCTTCTCCCAAGTTGCTGCTCCTGCTGAGAGGTCGGGGTGCTTCATCCTGGCCTGATAGCCTCAGGGCATAAGGGAGTCTCCAGGGAAGCCCCCACCCACCCAGGGAGGCACACTGGGAGGACCCCCCAGGACGGAGACCCAGCAGGCAGCTCAGCTAAGTGAACGAGCCAGGACAGGCATTGGGAGCACTTTACCAGGAGGGAAAACTCAGCCCCTTACAGAGCTGGGAGTCTCAGAAGCAGCTGAGAAGCCTTAGCCTGCAAGCCTCTGAGCCCTGAAGCCACCTCCTGCAGAGCTCCAGGGCACAGCGGGCACTGGTGAGGATGGCGTCCTGGAGCCCTCAGGTCTTTTTTTGTCTTAGTGTCCAGTGCTGTTACCATTCCCTCCCACACAGCTCAACGAATTTTTCTTACTTCTTAGGACTGGGGTGGGTCAGCCTTCCTGTCTGGACTCGTGGGTAGGCTGGATTGCCTTACCCCCAGGACAGAGGCACTGGGGGCCTAGGAAAGAGGACGGAGGGAGCCCCTTTCCAACAGTGACCTCCTTGCCATTCACGTGCAGCAACAGGCCCACCTCTCAGAGGAGGATGCTGAGGCAGAGGCAGGAGCAATGTAGAGAGACACTGGGAAGAGACACCTATCACAGCTCCAAGCTGTCCTCTAGGCATCCAGGGGTGAGGGAAGGAGGTCCCTGGGTGATGAAGACAGTTCAGTGGGCTGTGGCAGAAACTGTTCCCAGGACTTGGAGATGACAATGACTCAACGCTGCCCACTTCTAGACTGTACCTTCTGAAAGTGGCCCTTTAGTTACTCCCACAGCTCTAGCCCACACCTGCCTAGGATGGCCAGGTAGGCAGAGGCAAGCAGAGACTCAGGGCGAGGGCACTAGGGTATGTGGGCAGGGGGAGAGGCCAATGGGGCAGGTGAGCAGAAATTTTCATCCTGTTCCTGGGTCTACTCCTCTCCTTGGGCCTACTTTCCTTTTTTTCTCTCTCCTGTGTCTCCCTGGCTGATTCTTTCTCACTTTCTTGCCTGCTTATCCCAGAGGTCCCAGGGGCTCAGCCCACCACCAATGGTCCCCAGGTTGTAGCTGCCCCTTCGATTTCCATCCCACAAGGACCCTCATCTGCATGAGCACATCTCTGGGATCCTCTGAAACCAGAAGCCCCACCTCCCTGACAGACCCCTCCACAGCTGGGCAAAGTCCACCTGCCACTCTTCCAGGCCAGAATGCCTAGGCATTGTCTCCCTTCCTGATCTCTCACGCCCACAGTCCATCCCCCAAAAATGCTGTTGGCACCCCTTTTACAGCCCCCACAGCCACCCTCCCCTCCTGCTGGGCTGTAGCTTTTATCTCCTGGTGCCTTAACCCTTCCATCCATCTGCCCCACGGCAGCCACCTGAGTCCATACCAACTGCTGTGCTCACACCTGCAGTAGTCACCTCACCCAGAACCCCAACATAAAAGTCTCCACAGGCCAGTCCTGGCCTCCTCACAGCTCCTGGGACCCCAAGAGGCCTTGCCTTAATCTCCCCATCTGCAGCATGGGCATCTCCTCCCACCCCCAGCCAGCCACCCAGAGCCCAGCACAAAGCATCGAGGGACATCTGGATGGCCCAGCCCCACCTTCACCCTGAGGGGATGTCAACCATTGTGTGACTCCAAGGAGGTCATCCCCAGGCCTCAGTTTCTCCCCTGCTACTCAAGGCCACAGCTAGTTGGAAGGAAAGCAGGCCTCACCCCTAGACAATCTGTGTGCATGGAATCTGATCTTGCCTGTGTCTTAGCTTGGTCCTCCCATCTTCCCCACCTCCCAAGGATGGAGCATCTGCAATGTAGGGGAAGGTGGGAGTGGACAGTGGCCCCAGGATGGCCCAAGTCCAGATGCCTGCTGCTTCTCAGCTGGGGGCAATGGATTTCTGTCTGGATCTCAGTCTTTGTTGTGCCCCAGGGAACCCCAGGTGGCCCTCACAGGTGGGGCTGGAACCCCCTTTTCAGGCATTATCTCCTGGGGTGAACTCCTATTCACCAAGATCAGGGAGACCCTCAGAGCAGGGGTGCTGCACCCACACCTCCTGAGACCCCAGCAGCTCCTGGCCATGCACCCACTCAGGGAACTCAGTGGCCCTGGACCCCTCCATCCAGTTTCATGCAGCCCCAGAAGGCAAACATGGCCAAGTGCGTGGCTCACACCTGTAATCTCAGCACTTTGGGAGGCTGAAGCGAACGGCTTGCTTGAGCCCAAGATTTCAAGACCAACCTGGGCAACATGGCAAAACCCCATCTCTACAAAAAAATTATTAAAAATTAGCTGGTCATGGAGGTACATGCGTATAGTCCCAGTTAGGAGGTTGGGGTGGAAGGATCACTTGAGCCCAGGAGGTCAAGGCTGCAGTGAGCCATGACTGTGCCACTGCACTCCAGCCTGAGTGACAGAGTGAGACCATGTCTGAAAATAAAAAAAAGCACTCACCTGTCACATAGACAACAAAAGGGCACAGCATGCATGGGGTGAGCCCTGGCAGCTCTAGGACCCAGCATCCTGCTGAGAGGCATCCAGCACCCACAGCTCCTGGGGCCCCACAAAGATGTGATCCAGGAAACCAGTCCTGTGCCATTGTTGACCAAGAGAGTGGCTTCATCAAACCAACTGTTGTAGAAGACCAACTGCTCTTGTTGGCTGGGCTCAGGCCTGGGACCTCTGCAAGTCAGGTGGGTGACTGGCAGGAAGATACCCCAAAACCTGGCACAATGAGGCTCAACACCCCCATGGTAGGCAAAGTGATACCCCCACTTTACTGACACACCAGCATGGGTCTGAGACTTAGTAGGTGCTCAATAAACATTAGTAGATCAATGAACGCTCATTAATTTGGACAGTAAAATTGTGTCTATGGTACTCCAAGAGAAGACTGATACGATAGTCTCCCATTATCTACTGTTTTGCTTTCTGGGGTCTCGGTTACCTGCAGTCTGAAAATACTATATAGAAATTTCCAGAAGTAAACAACTCATAAATTTTAAATTGTTCACCAATTTTGAGTAGCTTGATGAAATCTCACACTCACCTGGGATGTGAATCATCTTTGCTCAATGTTTTCACTCTGTACCTGCTACTTGCCTGTTAGTCATGTTAGTAGCTGTCTCGATTATCAGATTGACTGCTATGTTATTGTAATGCATGGGTTCAACAAACTCTTATTTTGCTTCATAATGATTCCAAGGCACAGAGCAGTGATACTGGGAATTCAGATATGCCAAAGAAAAGCCATAAAGTGCTTTTTTAAAAAACGAAAACCCAAAAGTTCTAAGCTTAATAAGAAAAGAAAAACAATCTTGTAGGCTGAGGTTGCTAATGTCTATTGTAGGAACAAATCTCCTAGTGGGAAATTGTGAAGAAGCAAAACGAAATTTGTGTATAGTATAGGTAAGGTGTGGTACTATCTTTGGTTTCAGGCATTCAGTGGGTTCTTGGAACATACATAGTCCCCGCAGACAGGGGGGGATACTGTACTTGACTTTCTTAGTTTCATCTGTTGTCAGCAGTAGAAAAATACAGCTATAGGCAAAATGTATATTGTCTCACTTGGGAGCAAACTTTGTGAGACTGAGTGGGCTTCTATTTGTTGAACGAGCAAAAAGAAGCAGCCTTGTATGTGGGGAGCAACCTGCTCATGCCACTGTCTCCATGGGTCTACAGCTGCCACCCCCGCCTTGCCTACTGTCCTCTCAAAGGCCTGGAGTTGACAGAACACAACCCACACACTGCTCAGAGCCTTAGGGACATGCCTAGAGCCACTGGTTTAACTTAAAAACCCAAATAAGGCTGAACTGAGTCAGTTGGCTACTAAGCTGGAGAACTATATGGAAGAGTGAAGACTGTCTGAGGGCCTTTGGATATCTCTGAAGGTTTTGTTGGAGTGGGTGAGCTGATGTCCCATCAGTATTGAGAATATTAATAATAACATCAAAGATATTAATAAGAATGCCAATAATAATTCATGCCAGTTACCCAGCATGTGCCAGGACTTGCATTCATTTCAGGAGTATGACTCTGTTGAATCATCAGACAGATCTATGAGGTGAATGCCCTTATGCCCACTGCACTGAGGACTGGCCTCACTCAGGCCAGAAGCAGCAGGTCTCCATCGAGATCACACAGCTGCTGAGCTGCAAAGCCCCACCAACCTCATCACTAGGCTTGTGATGTTATAGCATCACATCTCTTCCCATTTGGGAATTTCTGTGCTCTGGGTCTAGGTATCAGTGATATAACAACCCAGTGGGAAGAGTGTGTCAGTACTTCTGAGGATGCCCAGGCTCCACCAAGTTTCCTGACCCATGCTGTTAGGAAAATACTATATCACTTGGATGTTCTCCCAATGCCTGTTCTCTTTTCTGTCTCAGTAAAGGGCCCCACTACATCTCTGGAAATTCTTCTGACTTGACTAACATGTAGCAGTAGTCTTGAAGATCCTTTGCCCTTTCATGCAACAAATCAACAGGTCCTATAGCCTCATGCTCAAATGTATCCCCAATCCACCTACTTCATTCTGATTCTGCATCACCCAGTCAAAGCCACCATCACTTTCACCTGACCTGTGACAAAAGACTGCTTGTTTCCATATTTGCCCTCTTTAGAATGCATTCTCCATAAAACACCTGGAAAAAACTTTTGAACATCTGATTCTTATTGTGCCTCTTGCTTAAAACCCTCCAATGACTTCTCACTGCATAGGGAATGAAATCACAGTCAGGTTTACATGTCTTACCAAGACCCTGTGAGTTCACCTCCTCCCCTTGCTTTTTGTGCCCCCTTTTTGGTCTGTGGTTTCTCAAACTCACCGTATTCACTCACATTTCAGGACCCTTGCTCCACAGAATTCTTTGCCTGGAATTTTCTTCCCAGAATCTTTGCATGTCATTCCCTCTGTTGCTGAGTTACCGGGATCTCAATGTAAACGTTACGTACTGACAGAGGCTGCTGTGAACTGAATTGCGTGCTTCCCAAAATTCATATGTTGATACTGTCACCCCCGGTACCTAAGGATGTGACTACATTTGGAGATAGCATCATCAAAGAGGTAATTATATTAAAATGAGGTATTTGGGGGTAGAGATGAGGGAGTGGGGAGATGGTCAAATTATACAAAATTTCAGCTAGACAGGAGGAATAAGGACATCAGATCTATTGCATTTGGTGACTACAGTTAATGTAATCTGTTCTTGAACATTGCTAACACTGTAGATTTTGAGTGCTCTCACAACAGAAAAATGATGGGTATGTGCAGTAACACATATGCCAATTAGCTTGGGTCAACCATTCCACAATGTATGCATATTTAAAAACAGTTCCACAAATGTAGACAATTTTTATTAGTTACTAGTTACAATAAAAAATGTTTTAAAATGATGACATTAGGGTGGGCCCTGATCCAATCTAACTGATGTCTCCATACAAGAGGAGATAAGGATACAAATGTGCACACACAGAGAAATGACCACGTGAGGACACAAGGAGAAGGTGGCCACTTACAACCCTAGGAGAGAAGCCTTGGGGGCAACACACCCTGCCCACACCTTGACCCTGGACTTCATCCCCCAGATAAAGTCCTTCATCCTCCAGATAAAGTCCTTCATCCTCCTTCATCATATGGAACCTTCTGACCCTGAATACTCTCCAAATGCTGTAATGTACCAAGGTGAAGGGACAGCACAGACCTCAGGGTGAAAAGTTTAAAGAAAGTAACATTTTCCCATTGCCCTGTCCCATCCCCAACACACACCTGTGCCAGCCTTTATTGGTCTTTTGTATTCCCCTGTCCTGGATATAGGGTAACTTATTAATCTGTGTTTATGTATAGGATAACATAAAACAAAGATAAACAATAAAATAAAAATAAACAGCAAAACTCAACTAATAGTGTTTGGGCAGGGTGACAGTGAAGGCAGGAAGATCACATAACAATGGAGGTGGAGTTCTTGGAGCTCAGTCCACATCCTGTTGTGTTTCTACATCAGAATCTATAGTAGCAGTATTCAGGTTTTGTGGTTTTGTCCTTGCCTGCCCCATAAGTGCCAGAGGGGATTATTCTAATCAGGGTGAGGAACTGGTAACTTGCACTTTGCAAGTGAGACAATCTTCCTTGCCATTTGCCACAGTGGCATGGCAGAATTTATCATGAGTGTCTCTATCCTCTAATGTGCAAAAAGTTCAACTCTGTAGGTGAGGTTCTGTTGGCTGCCAATTTGGAAGCATCTGCCTTCATGCTCTTGTCTAGGATGGTAACATCTCTCTGCCAATAGCTGATACAATTCTCAAAATCCCGTAGTCCTGTTTTCCAGTTAAGGTTCACTGGAACTATGCGGGCAGATTTACATAGCTCAGTTCTTCCAGCAGCCAAAAAATACTTGATATTGTTTTCCTCTGAAGCCTCTGAGAGAGGGAGTCAGCCTCCACCTAGAGGTGGCCCTTAGAATTTTTGACACATAGTCTCCCTGACACTACTACTTAACGCTGATTTGAAAGTCAGTGACAAGCTTGCTCCCAAGCTCCTGTCAAATTGAATCCTGACAGATCAAGGGCTTGGGGTTTCCCAGCTTGATATTCCAATATTGAACTGAGTAAATTTGAGTTCTATAAGACATCAGAAGGCTACTTAGAATACAACACATTCTAAGAGAAAATTGGGCTGCCACAGGAACATTAGCTGTAAAAAAAAATATATGTTCTTTGGTGAAAATTTTATGCTCCTTGATATGGATTGGCTGTGTCCCCACCCAAATCTCATATTGAATTTTAGCTCCTGTAATTCCCAAGTGTGGTGGGAGCGACCCTGTGAGAAATAATTGAATCATGGGGGCAGTTTCCCCATACTGTTCTCAAGGTAATGAATAAGTCTCAAGAGATCTGGTTGTTTTATAAGGAGAAACCCCTTTTGCTTTACTTTACTTTACTTTCATTCTCTCTCCTTTTGTCTGCCACCATGTGAGATATGCCTTTCACCTTCTGCCATAATTGTGAGACCTCCCCAGCCATGTGGAACTGTGAGTCTATTAAACGTCTTTTTTTGTAAATTGCCCAGTCTTGGATATGTCTTTATCAGCAGTGTGAAAACGAACGAATACGCCCCCTCCACTGTTTGAAGCAAAACTGCTGGCTCTATGGGGTCTTCAATTCACTAAATATTTCCTAAATGCCTGGCCCTAATCCCCTGACAAGTCAAGAAAGCTGCCACCTTTTGGTGCTCGCTGGGCTGCTATGGATGTCTAAATTTAGTGCCAACCACACAGAACCTGAAGCAGGGGTGGTTGTTCCACTTAATGGTAAGAGCTCAGGTTTGTGGGTCATTGCCCATGTTCTAACTGTTTGGTCTTTCACATTGAAACTAAAGGCTATTTGAGTAAGGACATCCTTTTTTGGCTTCAAATCAGAAAGAATTTCAGCTGCTGATCTGTCAGGTCATTCATTTAGGAGTCCACTGTAAGGGTCTGTTCGCTGAAAATACTAACCACAGTTAAGCCAAAAACCAAGCCTGAATCCATGTGTAATGCAGAGGTCATCACTGCATGCCAGGCTTGTGTTTCTTGTTGCAAGTTGACCTATTTGTCTCATGGTTCAGAAGGCCCCAGACCATTCCCAGCATGATAATGGCACTGGCCTTTGGCCTACCTCCTGAGGTATCAATCATGTCTCATCACTATTGACATCTTTAGCATAATAGTCAGCTGACTCCAGCCACACCATATGTCCCTTGAAGCTCATTCGTGTAACCTTTAGGCTTTTGAGACTACTTGCATTTTAATCACATTATAGCTTTTATCACTAAATCTATTAACGTGGCCAAACTATTTGATTTTACTTTCTTTTTTTCTCTTGTTCCACAAATGTTGGCTAATTTGTTGATTGAATGTGACTGTCCCCTCAGAACCCCGAAATCTCTTCTTGACTGACTCCAAGATGAAGAGAACATAATTGAAGTCTATAGGCATCCATTTTCAAAATTTGAGATTTCTCACTGACCATTACTGGACGAGATGTGCCTTTCTTTTCCTCAACTGCACACCAGGAAAATCTTGTTGCTAGATTCTCTGAATGGCAGTCCAGCCCATAGAGGGGTTGTGGTACCCAACTTACTTATGGTGAACTTTTATATAGAAGTTCTTGTGTCCATATCATCTGGCTCTACTAGAAAAAAAAAATGACTACAAGACAGCATGGGTGACTAGACCTACTTAAAATTATAGGTACTGGAATAGGGCACACAAATTCTGTGAATGTAGATGGAGGACAAAAACCCAAAACCTAAAAATGAACAAATTAGACCCCAGCAACTACAGAAATGGAGGGACATTAATAACTTTTTGTCTTTCTGAACTATCCCTAGTGAGACCCAGGGAAGAGTTGGGGAATCCTGTTGGGGCAGAAGGAGGAAGAGTATTAGTTAGACCAAATGGTAGAACAGGACCTGTGGGTTCAGCCTCTCTTAGGAATTCCATCCCTCTGTGATATAGGCATGGAATCCCAGGGAGCATCCTGCACTCTCAGTGTCCAGCTGTCTGAGGCCACACTTGTTTCTGATGATAGAGAACAATTGCTTTTTTCTGAGAGACTTAGCACTCCATGGCTGAGGTAAGCTGCATTCTATAGAGCATTGATTCCATTTTCTCATTACTCTGTGGTTCCTTCTTTAATTTTTAATCTAGAGATGAAATTATATTTGCCAATATTTGTGTAAAATAGAAATATAAGTCTGGCAAGTAGACCATTAGATGCAGCCCTCAGCAGAAATTCTTGCCTGTTTCTCTTCTCACTTTTATTCAACTATTGGCACAGAGAGATGCCCTGATATGTGGTCTCTCAGGAGTAATTAGAACATTGTACTTCTAGAAAAGCTGATGGGACAGGGCAGGGCTCAGAGTGAGGATCAAAGCTTCTGTCCAAATCTCTCAGTCTCTATCTGTATGTGGTAGCTGGACTCAGGAAAGACCCTAGAGCTCTGGAAGGGATCATTAAGAGAAAACAAAATCCCTGTAAATTAGAGTGCCAGGGAACATGTTCATCAGTCACCTTCAGGGTCAGATGCTCAGGGCTGAGCCTGTGTGGGAGGGCGCAGAGCAGTGCATGCCTGGGAAAACCTCTGATTATGTATGAGTGATGAGGCTCTGCCTCAAGGAGAAGTCCTGTATCTGACAGAACATGCTGTTTCTGTGCGTGTGAGATTCAGTGCCCTTCCTCAGCAGAGCACCACTGAGTGAATAATTGTTTTAGGATCCAGCATATGGAGGCCAATTTTATTTTGAATTTCTCATAGACAGAAACAGAAAGGATAATTTTCCACTTTGAAATTGAGTAAGAGTGTCATAAACATCAGTAAAAAAGTCACAGGAGAAAAATCTGGGGTCTTATTTATCCCCAGAAACCACAAAAATCCTGATACAACCTGTAAGAATTCACCTTGTAAAAACTTGTTTTTTTTTTTCAGTATAGATTTATCTTTCATTTGACCTTCATTTTATTGCAGGTTATAATTACTACATGATTTTTTACCTTTATGATAGAAACATCAGATTCCTAAACCCAAATCATTAATGATGGCTCCCCAGCTGTAGTTTTTATTGCCAATTTACGTTTTGCTATGATCTGAATTTGTGTCTCCTTCTAAAAACTCATTTGTAAAAGTTTAATCCCTAATGTGATAGTTTTAAAACATGGAGCTTTTTGGGATGTGACTAACTCAGGAGGGCTTCATCCTCGTTAATGTAATTAATACCCTGTAATAAAGGTTGAAGCGAGCACCCTTGTCCCTTCTGCCATGTGCAGACACAGCAAGAAGGCATCATTTATGAGAAATGGGACCCTCACCAGACACTGAATTTGCTGGTGCTTTGATCTTGAACTTTCCAGCTTCCAGAACTGTGACCAATACATTTCTGTTATTTATACATGACCCAGTCTAATGTACTTTGTTTTAGCAGCCTGAACAAAGACACTTTCTCATGTACTGTGGTTTATTTTTGAATTTATACTTCCACTGAGCTATCCATATATTCATTAATCAACTTGTCTCATAGAGTGTAATAGCCACTCTAATTATTTTTTTCAAAGTGTTCTCAGCTGTTCTTATTTGTGTTTTCATCTATAGGAGTTCTGCAATAAAATGCCTGCTTTCTCCACCAGATGGTATGTCTATTGGGACAAAATTAAATTTTTGAACTACTTGTAACAAATTGATGATTGAGTAATATTGAGTTTTTCTATCTTAGAACATGATGTGGTTTTCCACTTTTTTATGCTGATTTTCTCATATTTCAAAAACTTTTTATGATCTTTCTCATACTTTTTACAAATTTTTGTTAGATTTATGTATGGCTAGTTTATTTTACTTTGTACTGTTAAAAAGTAAACTGTAGCACAATACAAATTTTAAAAGTTTTATTGGCTGGGAATGATGGCTTATATCTGTGATTCCAGCACTTTGAGAGGCCAAGGTGAGAGATTACTTGAGCCCAGGAGTTTGAGGCCAGCCTGGGAAACATAGTAAGACCCTATCTCTATGAAAAAATAAGAAGAAATTAGCTGGGTGTAGAGGTCCATTCCTGTACTTGTAGCTACTCATGGGGTAAGGTGGGAGGATGGCTTGAGCTCAGGATGTAAGGCTTCAGAGAGCTCCGATTCTGTCTATGCATTCCAGCATGGGCGACAGAGCAGGAATCTGTTTCAAAAAACATTTTCTTGAGTAGGAAGCAACTAATGAATTGTGGAACATGAGACCAAAAAAGGTTTAGCATTTAAATGACAAAGTGTCAGAGGTAAGATTGTATTGAAAATATGCAGAAGGAAAATATTAAAGTTATTTGATTAGTTGCAGTTAAAAAACTGTCTTTTTTGGTTTACCTTATAGACATATATTACTATACCTTCTTGGGTACTTCTGATAAACTTAAGTTCTGTTATTGTTGATTTTTAATACAGGTATTCACAAAAATAGCTCACATTATGTTTTGCTTGTTTGCAAGTCAACAAGATGAGGTCACCGAAAAGGTCTAACTGATTCTGTCTGCTCAGGAATGTTTCAGGCTTGGTCTCCCTTTTAATTTACCTCGTAAATCATTTTGTAATTTTTATCTCCTACCCATTCTGTAACTTGTTAATTACTTTTATACACATGTAATATCTTTTATGTGTGATTTCTAAGTATATTACTAGTGAACATTGACTGTTACAAGGCATACCTTGTCTTATTGCAATTTATTGTGCTTCCCAAGTGTTGGATTTCTTACAAATTGAGGGGTTTTGGCAACCTTACCTTCAGTGACTCTGTCAACAATATTTTTTCCAACACCATGTGATCTGTGTGTGTGTGTGTATCTTTGTCAGCATTTTTATCAATAAAGTACATTTTTTATTAAGGTATATACATTGTTATTGTAAACCTAGTCTGTTTCAGTCTTATTCTACAGTACAGTGTAAATATCTCTTTTATATGCACTGAGAAACAAGAAAAGCTGTGTGACTCACATTATTGTGATATTTGTCTTATTGCACTGCTCTAGAGCAAAACTAGATATCTCCAAGGTATATTTGTATATTTTCATTGAATTGGCTCCATTTACTGGAATGATAAATCACTATTCTTCGACTAAAACAAGAGCTGTGGAGTGTGGAGAGGTCAGGATGAAAATAAAGAAGAAGTGAATATAAAAAGGCCCATAACTCACACATAGAGTAAATACAAGTTCAGTATGGATGAAATACAAAATTATCTAAAATTGAATATTCTCAAAAACATTAATGTTTGTATCATTATGTGTATGAAAATTATCAGGCAAAGAACAAAAGTACATTTAGATGATGAAAGATTTCATCTCACTGTAAAATTCAAGAAGAAAAATATAAATATAGCAATATGTGAAATAAATGACAATATATTACATTTAATGTCCTACAATACAGTACGATCAACTGAAATGTATAAAATAGAAGAAAGTTTAAATTTAGAAAATTTACAATGAAGCAAATGTGAGTTGGGTGAAGAATAAATAAGTATAATCAATTACATTTAACATATCTTGACTTCAATTTATGTAAAAAATATTAATAGTAAACACCTTGTGTAGTGATTTCACCATAATTTTATTAAACTATAAAAATATATTGACATTTTTTCATAGGGAGTACTATTAAAGGTTTGTGGATATTAGTCCTCCATGGATTCAGCGTGGGAGAGTGAGAGGTTACAACCTTTTCTAAATTAAAAGAGAAGAATATAATTTTATATTTATTTTTCTACAATTTAAAATATGCAAAGGCATATGAATGATTACATTCCAATATTTGTTTGATAATACAGAAATGCAAGACTTTTTCAGACATCCAAAAGACATCAAACGTCTAACAAGAAATATAAAATTTGTTTAGAATCTTAGCCCTCTACAAAATGCAGGTTTCACCATTTTGAGTATGTTGTTCAAGTCCCTTTCCTATGACTGCTTCAGGTTTTGTCATGTATTAACATAGTGCATCTAAAATTGTCATTGTTGCTTATCTGGAAGAATCTGAGAAGTAGCAGGTTATTATTCTCATTCCAAGAGCTGCATTCTCTGCTGAATAGGGTGTGGGTGCAGCCAGCTCAAGCCTCATCTGATCCACTGAGAGGCTCAGTTATCTCCTGCCCAGGCAAGGGGTGGGCTTCTCTATCCATGGCTGGATCCCCAGGGCCAGGAGTGTGGCTGAGGCAAGCCATTTCTTAGCAGGAAAGACATAACCTGCCTGGGTGGCCATAATATAGAATGTCTGCACTTGAGCGCACAGAGGTCCCAAGAGCCAAGCAAGCCGAGTGAGCTGCTCCCAGGTCAGTGGAGAATGGACCTGCTGCACCAACACCTGGAGTAGGTCTTGATAAATGGCCTTTGACCTACCTTGCAAAGTCACGAAGCTTTCTGAAGTGACGGCTATTGAACTCCTGGAGCCTGAGGCCTGTGCCGCTTGTTGCACCCAGTGTGAGCCATGAAAGGCCTTCTGTGGTGGGCCTCACAGGTCTCCTGGATTTCACTGCTGTGCACAGGGGTGGAGGACTTTAGTTTCCTTTTCAACATCAAGCTGCGCTCCTCTCCTGGACAGGTCCCTGCAGAGGAAGCATGTGAGCGAGAGACTCTCCAGAAAAGTGCCCACAGACCCTCATTTCCACAACCTCCCTTGCACCTTCAGGTGAACTTCATTTGTCTCTTCTCCATCCTGACCATCTCAGCACTTTAATGAAGTGAAGCTTAACCTCTTTTGAGTCCCCACATATTCTCTAAGTGCCAGGATCTCAAGAAATTTCCCAGTCTCTAAGAAGCCTCCTTGCTGTTCCAGCCCTGTATAAAAGTCTCCTATTTGTTTGCCCTTTGGGGCAAAAAAAAAAAAAAAAATTCTACTTGCTCTGTCTTGGCAGCCGTCCTTGGAACTGATTTTCCTTTTCTTGGAGTTTCCCTCATGTGAGCTCGACTCCGGTTCTGTTGATCTGTTGATAAAACGAGAGTTTGAGTTAGTGCCTCCAACCAAACACCCTAAGACTTAGTTCATCCTGAACACACAGGAGCTGAAGTTGCCACCAAACCAAGCTCTGCTCTGTTCTCCAAAGTCCAGGATCTCTAAGGCCCTGGCTGCCAAAGAGCTCCCAGTTTCCTTGCCAGGGGAAACGGTGTTGCTGCCATCTCTTTTTACCTTCAAAGAGTCTAATTTTACCAGATCTAGCTGTGCTGTTTCTGTCTTTGAGCTTAGTTTATTCAGAATTCTTCTCCTCATTTGGCTTTGATCCTAGCACAACATGGAGTTTAGGTGACTCAACTCTTCCAGGCACAGAGTCCCATAATCTGTCTCTGACAAGTATTTGTGGATCAGTCTTTCAAGTGAAGTTCTTCTGCCACTGTCATGAGTGAATACATTTCTCAAAGTGTCCTCGGGAATGTAAGCCATTTCCCATTTCCAATTTCAAAATAAAACCCCACCAAAGACCATACTTCAGTATCCCTGATTCCAAACCTCCTTCCAGCCTCCATAGGAACAGCCCAAGGCCATACCCTGCCTTTGCATGTGCTCCTCACTGGAATGGGAGGAAGGGGTCTTGCCTTTTTCTTTGAATAATCTCTTCACCTGAGCCCTTTTCTGTAAAGGAGATCTGTTGGAAAGAAGGCTGGTCAGTGGGGCACTGGATGGAGGAGCAGTGGGGAATCAGGGTCTTCATTTCCTTTTCCCGTGTTCAAGCTCAAGTGAAACATGCTCTGTCTTACACGTCCAGATTCAGACTATGTGTTATCCTGCTGGCCTGCCTTTTATATGCCCGTCAGCTGGCCATGTCTTACTGTTATTGGCTGAATAGTTTTCTTTTTCCTGCTACTCATTAGGGCCTCAATTAGAAAAGTTTCATGCCATATAGTTTTACTAGGGACCTAAACAAAGTTAAGGGGAGACATTTTCTGGGTCTTATCATAGTGTCCAAAAAAAAAAACCCTAAAAAACAAAACAAAACAAAAAAACAAAGCCGGGGCACAGGAATCAGAAGATAAGGGAATCATTTATTCTAATTTCTGTCCCAATTCCTACCTGGTAGTAATTAAGTTACTGCTTATTTTTCAAGATGCAGAATTAAACATACTTATATTGAAATGTGTCATATATTTTGCAAAGAAAGAAAATTTTACATAATGTTAAAATCATGTACATGGATATTATAATTTCTCAAATGCTTGGAAATGTCAAATTAAAATTATGGTTGATTGTATTAGATACAAACATATATTATAAAATAAAAATATAGAGAAAAGTAAATACCAAATAAAATGGCCCTTTCTACCTTAACGATAGGGATGATAGTTAGATCAAATACAATGGAATTGAATTGATTAGATTAGAGCTGATGCTAACTTAATCAGCCCCTGATTCCTGAGGTAGCAAAAAGTCTAGGTGGAGAGAGAAACTTCCCTATTTGTCACCCTTCCTCAGTCATCCTAGGAGCTCCACTTTTTTCTGTAGTATTTATTCAACCTCCCTAGTAAAAATGGACTTGGTCCCAAACAGGTAACCCAACTGACCACAAGAAAAACAGCCTAGATCCTGAGCATTCAGCTCCTATACTCACACAACAGACACCACCTGAGTCCCACCAAAGCCTGTGTGGTTTCCTAACATCCACCATCGAGATATTCCAGAGCAGCCTCTAAAAATTGCTTACACGAGATGGGACAAGGTATGGTGGAGCTCCAGGATCAGGACAGCTGCCTCATCCCTTCCTACTGTGAAGTCTGTATCTGCTGGTTAGAGCTCTCAAACCATAGAAGGTTTAGTGTATGTCCCAGCAAGTGTCACCTAAAAGGACCTTCTTGTTTTTCCCTCTTCTGAGAAAAGGATGCTGAAATGAGACCTTTTATGTCAGAGACTACTCGGCCTCCACTCTAAAATGACTTGGTTGATGGAAGAACTGATTCCCTGAGGAGGGGAAAGATTCAGGGAAGAGCCTGTCCTGGGTGAGTCTGTGTTTCCCCAGCTGTGCCGTCTATGCAAATAGTGCAACCCAAAAAAATATCAGATGGTAGACATATGGACACTGCCTAACAAAACTGTCTGAATTTAAATAAGATTTAAATGGAACTTATAATAGCATTATACATTGATACCATAATATCATATAAAATTTATTTGACATATAAACAAATTTTGATATATTATTTTATCATAATATCATAAAGCAGTTATTTACACAAGAGCAGATAATGTTCTTAAGTTCCATTAAATTTATATGTTAATGTTGTTACAAAATTTAACTCAATTGTCTTATAAAATTACCTAACACAGTTTTATATGTTATTATGATAAGACATACAAATTATGTCCTAATATAGTCTTATGTCATAATACATACAAATTATGATGTTACAATCTATTGTGATATCATAATATATGAATTTTGATGTCATAATATATTGTGACATCATAATATGTACTAATTATGTCATAATATATCGTTATAATATATAGATTATGATATATTGTGATGTCATGACACAAATGATATACTATATTGTGATTATATAACATCATATTTATGATATGATAACAAAGTTTTGTCAGGTAATTTTATGAAAATATTGAGTTAAATTTTGTAACAACTAACATATAAAGAAGCTTACAATCATGGTGAAAGATGAAAGAGGAGCAGGCATCTCATGTGGTAAGAGTGGGAGAAAGAAAGATGGGGGAGAGATACATCTCACTTTGAACCACCAGCTCTCGTGGGTAATTACCATGACAAGGACAGCAGAGAGCTATGAGAAATCCATCCCTGTAATTCAACCACCTTCCATCAGGCCCCACCTGTAACATTAGGGATTAAAATTCAATATGAGATTTGGAACAAACATCTAAACTATATCATATGACCATTAGAAAAACAGATGAAACATTCATGGTTTCTACTGTCCAGATACTTTCATTCCAGAGCAAATGGCTAAATGATTGAATTCAACATTCTGTAGTCAGAAGAGAGAAGGGAGGTGTAGAGGGGACTTTGGCTGCATTTGTTCCACTTCCCTCAGGCTGTTGTTGTGAGTTCTAATGTTACCACCAGAAAGGCTATTCATGGACAGAAGAATTATTGCTATTGTTGTGATTATTCCTGTTTCTTTTACCTTAGTAAAAATAATTTTTTTAGCTTCTCATATAATTTTCCTAAAAAAACCCTAAGAGTTTGGTTAAATTCCTTGTAATTGTGTGTTATAAAAACTAACAGGGAAATGGCTAAAATAGATTAAAATCACACAAACTCAAGGAGTCAAGTTTCCATTGGGCAGACTTAGGAAAGACAGAACTGGAAATACTCCACCATCATAGACGTCAGACGCATGAGGCCCACTTTCTGTCGCAGCTCTGCCCAGATCCATCCTCTCCTAAGACCTCATCCAGGTTTGCCCTCACCCTAGAATCCTCTCTCACAGAATTAATTAAAGGAGACCAGAAATTTGAGTGGTGGCTCCTGCTGCCTCTCCTGAGCTGGTGCCCACAATTTCCTGAAAATAAAAAGCAGATAAATGGGAGCCAGAAGATGGAGAGGGTGGGGTTGCCAGGAGCCAGGCAGTGAAAGTTGGTTTGGGTGGCCACCATCGCTGGAAGTTTCCTGTCCATCCACTGGGGCCAAGTCCAGTAAGGTGCCTCTGCTGGTGGAAGTGCACATGAAGGCCATAGCTCCTGAGGTGAGGAGCAGAGACCCATCTGACCAGACCCCCAATTCAAGGTCGCCCTGCCCACCCCCAGCCTCAGTTTTCCCTTCTGTGTAGGTAGAGTGTTGGCCTTTCAAGGACCTCTTCCTGCACTCCATGAGGCTCCCAGGAGCTACAACACAATGTCCCTGCCCAGTCATGCTCAGAGTTGGGCCAAGTGTCCCATCCCATTCCCTCTGCTTCCCCCAGTGGCTACTCCTGCTGAGAAGTTGGGGTGCTTCATCCTGGACTGAAAGCCTCGGGGAAGAAGAGAGTTTCCAGAGGAGCCCCCACCCACCCAGAGAGGCACAATGGGAGCTCCCACGAAGACGGAGGCCCAGCAGGTAGCCCAGCTAAGTGAACAAGCCAGGACAGGCATTGGGAGCACTTTACCAGGAGGGCAAACCCAGCCCCTTGCAGAGCTGGGAGCCTCAGAAGCAGCTGAGAAGCCTTGGCCCACAAGTCTCTGAGTCCCTAAGCCACCTCCTGCACAGCTCCAGGGCCCAGCAGGCACCAGTAAGCATGGCCTCCTGGAGGCCTCAACTCTTTTTTGTCCTAGTGTGCAGGCTTTCACCATTCCTCCCCCGAAAGCTCAACTAGTTTTTCTTCTTTCTGGGGGCTGGAGTAGGGCTGCCTTTTTGCCTGGACTCATGGGTAGGCTAGATTGCCATACCCCCAGGAGACAGGCACCAGGAGCCCAGGAAAGAGGAAGGAGGAGGCCCTTCCCCACAGTGACCTGCTCGCCATTCACGTGCAGCGACAGGCCCACCTCTCAGAGGAGGATGCTGAGGCACAGGCAGGAGCAGTGTAGAGAGACACTGGGAAGAGGCACCAATCACAGCTCTGAGCTGTCCTCTGGACCTCCAGGGGTGGGGGAAGGAGACCCGTTGGTGATGAAGACAGCTCAGCGGGTTGTGGCAGAGGCTCTTCCCAGGACTGGGAGACGACAGTGACTCAATGCTGTTCACTTCTAGACTGTGCCTTCTGAAAGTGGCCCTTCAGTTACCCTCACAGTTACCCCACACCTGTCTGGGATGGCCAGGTAGGCAGAGCAAGCAGAGACTCAGGGCGAGGGCACTAGGGCGTGTGGGCAGGGACAGAGGCCAACGGGGCAGGTGAGGGGAAATTTTCATCTACTTGCTGGATCTGCCCCTTTCCTGGGCTCTACTTTACTCTTTACCCTCTGCCTCTGGCTCCCTGCCTGGCTCCTCCTCACGTTCTTGCCTCCTCACTCCAGAAGTCCCAGGGGCTCAGCCCACCACCATTTGTCCCCAGGTTGTAGCTGCCCCTTCCATGTCCATCCCATGAGGACCTTCATCTGCATGAGCACACCTCTGGTCTCCTCTGAAATCAGAAGCCCTATCTCCCTGACAGACCCTTCCGCAGCTGGGCAAAGTCCACCTGCCACTGTTCCAGGCCAGAATGCCTGGGCATTATCCCCGTGCCTGCTCTCTCACACCCACTGCCCATCCACCAAAACTGCTGTTGGCACCCCTTTTACTGCCCCCACAGCCACCCTCCCCTCCTGCTGTGCTATAGCTTTTGTCTCCTTGTGCCTTAACCCCTCTGTCCATCTGCCCCACGGCAGTCACCTGAGCCCCCGATCACTGGTGTGCTCACATCTGCAGTAACAATCTCACCCAGAGCCAACATCTAAGTCCCCACAGGCCTGTCCTGACCTCTTTACTGCTCCTGGAACCCCAGGGCCCTGTGCCCCAATCACTCCCTCTGCAACCTGGGTGCCTGCTCCCACCCCCAGCCTGCCCCCCAGAGCCCAGGGCATCCAGAGCAATCTAATACACATGTAATACATATGAATTACATAATAATTTGTAATACATCATATTATGTGCAAATTATGTAACATGAATTCATCATAATACATATAAATTATGATGTCATGATATATTGTGATGTCATAACACATATGAATTGTTAAGTCATAATTATAGTGATGTCACAACACATACGAATTACGATGTCATAATATGGTGTGATGTCATAATATCTACTCATGATGACATCATAATATATTGTGATGTCTTAATACAAGCACATCATGGCATCATGATATATTGTGATGTCACAGTGGATGCATATTATAACATCGTAATATACAATGATGTCACAATACATAGTGTTTATGATGTCATAATATATTGTGATGTTATATGAATTATGTGATGTTACATGAATTATACTGTAATATATTGTGATGTCATATCATCTTTATATTTATCATATTTATCATAATATATTTTGATGTTATAAATACATATGAATTATGATGTCATAATTTGATGTCATAGTATTTATCATATTTATGATATAATAATATAAAATTTTCTCAGGTAATGAGAAGAACATTGAAAAGAGCATCACATCAGAATATCGAGGTGGGCCTGGAAGTTGGTGGGAGTGTGGCCTGGATGTGGAAGGCGGGACCTGTCTTTGGCTCACCTGCCTTCCCACAGCTCACCTGGAGCTGTGGCACCAGCATTAGAGCCCGGTCATGGAGTGTGGTGCCCTCAGACTGCTGTCACACCACCTCTGTGATGGAGAACAAGTTCAGCAGCCTTCAGTAGACATACAAGCTGGACAGCCAGGTGAGGGCTGTGACCCATGGGCAGGGGCAGCAAGGTGGGCAACCTCTAAGCTCCCATTTATTCTCTCAATGTGCTCTCCTGACCATCCCATTCTACCTGTAGGGCTTCTGGCCAACCAGACGCAGCAAGATGGAATTCCACTGCAAAGTGTACAGCAACTTAGTATGTGGAGATGAACAGCAGCAAGGTGTTTTTAATGGCATGCCCTATGCCACCATGCTCAGGGGAGATGCTGCTGCTTGCCAGAAGCATGGGGATGGCAGGCCTGAGGCTCCACTTCACTGAACTCTACCATCATTATAGAAGTTTTGGAGTAGCCTACGAAAGACAGAATCATGTCATTGGTCAGAAGACAAAATCCTGTACAGTGAGTAGTTCTCACTGTAGATATGTAGATTTATTACCCTAAAAACAATGCTAATTTGGCATTGGTTCATGTAGCACCTGCTATGAACAAATGCCTAAAATTAGAAGCAGTTTCTCCTAAAGTAAGATTACATGAGGCCAGGCGTGGTGGTTCACGCCTGTAATCCCAGCACTTCAGGAGGCCAAGGCGGGCGGATCACGAGGTCAGGAGATTGAGACCATCCTGGCTAACAGAGTGAAACCCCGTCTCTACTAAAAATACCAAAAATTAGCCGGGGGTGGTGGCTGGCACCTGTAGTCCCATCTACTCGGGAGGCTGAGGCAGGAGAATGGCGTGAACCTGGAAGGCTTGTTGACCAATGACGGTCAACAAGCATGTAAAAAATGTTCAACATTGCCAATGATCAGAGAAATGCTAATTAAAAATCACAATGAAATTTTGTACAATTTTTTACAATCACATTTTACACTTTCATAATGGCTAATTATTACAAAGCAGAAAAAGGATAGATATTGGCAAGCATACAGAGATTTTTCAGAAAACTAAATAGAATTTCCATTTGATCCAGCACTCCCACTATTGGGTATCTACTTAAAGGAAAATAATTCATTATGTAAAGAAGATACCCACACTCATATGTTTATTGAAGCACTATTGACAGTAGCAAAGATAGCATATCTTCAATTTAAATTTATCAATCAATTGAAATTTATCAATGACTGACTATACATTTATACCATGGAATACTACTCAGTCAGAAAGAATAAAATCATCTTTTGCAGCCACATGAATGGAACTGGAGGCCATTATTGTAAGTGAAATAACTCAGAAACAGAAAATCAAATACTGAAGTTTCCCACTTATAAGTGGTAGCTCAATAATACATACACTTGGATATAGAGACTGGAAGAATACACACTGGAGACTCAGAAAGATGGGAGGTTGGTAGAGGGTTTAGGAATGAGAAAATACCTAATTGGGACAATGAGTACCATTCAGATGATTGTTACACAAAAGCCCATACTTCATCACTGTACAACATGTTCCTGTAATGAAACTGCATTTGTACTAACATACTAATAAAGAGAAAAAGACCCTGACTTTCATCAAGAGGGCAGACTGCATAGACCACATAATTTTCATAAATATTTAGATTATGCAGAAAAATAATTTTAATAAAAATAAATACAAAATGATATTGTATTTTAAGAATGGTGTAAAAAGAAAATTTGTTGAATTAGAGTAGTTAGTACTTAGCAGATACAATATGTTAGGCAAGATTGTAAGCCATTAGACATTTGTAGACAGAATATTTAACAGTGTAAAATAAGTAACACAAAGATTCATTGGCAATGACAAATTGACATATTTTAATCATATTAGATGATATTAAAACCATTACAAAGTTTACTATTTTGTGTCATAATAAAGGATCATAACGTTAAATAACTTCTTTCAAAAGTTTGACTAATTAGGCATGTAGATAAATGGCAGCATGTTGACCAGTATATAGAGGATACACACCATTTTCAAAGACCGAACAAAAATTTAATTCATTTTTATTTATTTTTGGTAGGAGAAGCAGCTGTATTAGCTGGGGATATAGTGGGGTTCTCTCCCTGGGAGGTGGGGTCTTCCACTGGTCACCCGCGACAGTGGTCCAGGAGGCGCCATGCAGTGCTGGGCTCAGCTGGGGGCCGGGCCTTGGAGAAGACGAACTGTACAGGGAAGCAGTAGCTGTGGGGTCCTCACCTCCCACTCCCCCCAGCTGTACTGGGTCCCTGGTGCTCCTTAGGCTCCCGCCAAGCCGCCGTCTCTATAGGATACTTACTATCAGTGCCGGAACCTTCTCCTCAGAACCCAGTTTGACTCAGGCCAGGCATTTCCGCTTCCTCCCCTTGGGCTGGACTTTGCGCTCGGGTTTCTTCCAATCCTTCTTCCTGCCGCTTTTCTGCCCCAGCTTAAATTCCAGGCTCACGAATGTTCCAGCTGGGAAGGGCGTGTCCACCGTGCCTTCCATACTGTTCTCCCGGAAGGCCACTGCATGAGCGGGTGGCTACCTCCAGGGCTACTTGGAGACCATTGCGCTGGGCCCCCTGAGCTCGGCCCCGCCCACGCCCTCCGCTCCCACCCGCGGGGTCAGCGGGATCCGCAGCCATCGCTTGCTTATGCCACCACCCCGGCCCTGTGAAACGGGTGTGCGCCTCTCAGCTCTCCGAGCCCGCCGGGAGCCGCATTCTCCCCTGCTCTGCCCCTGGGGGTGCCTGCCATGCCCGCAAAACTCTGGGCAGAGGTGAAGGAACCGGGAAATGTCCCTTTCTCCCAATTGACCTTAGGATCCTCCTGGTCCTCTCCACTCCCTCCCACCCTGCCCGCACTGTTCACTGGGGCTTGCAGTTTTAGCAAATTTCCCTGCCCACTGCCCTGGCGGGGAAGCAGTCCTGTTGCTCACTCCCACCCTTCATCTCTTTTCTGGCGCGTTCTCTGTCCCCACTGGGTCTGACACGACCCCTCTCCTTGCTGCTGTTCCTGACCCCCTCTCTGCCTCCCCTGCTTAGCCTCTTCCTTGAGCGCTTCTCCCTCCCCGTCCTGAATCTCCTGGCTCCCTCGGGGCGCCGCCCATCCCAGAGGGCAGGCAAAACCCACACAATTATTTTTAGTGGAACATTTGAATTCCACTGAATTCATGACGGCAGAAACCCATCTGGTCAGATTTAAAGAATTATGAAATGATAATAGCAACTATCAATTTAAAATGTATCCAGGGTTAAGAATGCCCACCATTTTACCGACAACAACAACAACAACAACAACAACAAAACCCTGTTATAGATAACAAACTAATTCAGTAGAGTTGCAGGATACAATATTAACATGAAAATCAGTTGTATTTTGATACAGTAACAACAAAATATCTGAAAAAAGGAATAAAAATAATTCCATTTACAACATCAAATAGAAAGAAATATGTAATTTATTACATAGAATGAGTTTAACAAAGAATATTAAAGATCTGCATACTGAAAACTAAAATGTTGATGAAACAAATTGAAGAATACAAAATGAGAAATATATACTGTGTTCATGGATTCGAAAAATTAATATTGTTAAAATACCTGTACTACACAAACTCTTCTGCAGAGTTAAATAACTTCCTATCAAAATTTTAATGCCATTAAAATAAATGTAGAACAAACAATTGTAAAATTTATATGGAGCCACACAATACCCTAAATAGCCAAACACTGATAGGAACAAAAAGGCTGAAAGCCTCAAACTTCCTGATTTCAAACTATGTTACAGAGCTATAGTCATCAAAGTACTATGGTATCTACATAAAAACCAATGGAACAGAATAGAGGACCCAGAAATAAAGTCATACATATTCAGTCGAGTGATCTCACATAATTAGGAAAAGATAGACACATCAAGAAATGGTGTGGGAAAAACTAGATATGCATACACAAAAAGTGAACCTTTCTCTTATACCACCACAAAAATGAGTTTAAAATAAAGACTTAAACATAAGAACTGAAATCATGAATCCTCTATAAAAAAATAGGAAAAGTGCTCCTTAACACTAGTCGTGGCAATGATGTTTTGGATTCAACACAAAGAAGACAAGCAACAAAAGCAAAAATTAAAATGTGGAACTATATCAAAGGAAAAAGTTTCTGCACAATAAAGGAAACAATCAACAAAATATAAAGGCAATATATGGGATGGGAGAAAATATTTGTAAACCATATGTAGGATAATATGTTGCTATCCAAAATATATTTAATACTACTCAATATGAAGAAAAAAAAAACCTTCACAGGAGAACGAAACACAAGCCAATTCCCTGATTAATTGGGGAAAATATCTAAATAGCCATTTTTTCCAAAGACATACAAATGGCCAGCAGGTATATAAAAAGATTCTCAACATTACTAATTATAAGAGTAATTACAATGAAAATCATAGTAAGATATAACCTTATCATGGTTTTAGGATAGCTATTATCAAAAAGTTACAAGATAAAATGTGTTAGGGTGCAAAGAAAATAGGATACTTGTAGACAGTTGCTGAGCATGTCCATTGGTGCAGCCATTATAAAAAAACAGTATGGAGATTCCTTAACATTTTTAAACTTGATCTACCCTTAATCCCAATTCAGAATATATAGCCAAAGGACATAAAATCAGTATCGCCAAGGGTATCTGCACTCCTCTGATACAAACAAATGGATAAACTGTGAGAGAGAGATAATTTCAGCTTTAATAATGAAATTCTTTCACTTATGACAATATTGATGAATCTTGAAGACATTATGCTAAGTGAAATATGCCAAATACAGAAAGACAAATACTGCATGATCTCGCATGTGGAATCTAAAAAAAAAAAAAAAAAAGAAACAATAGAATGGTAGTTACCACAGGCTAGAAAGTGGGGAAAAGTGGGGAGATACCATTGAAAGCAGCATACCTTCAGTTATATAATGAAAAACTGCTGGGGACCTAATGTGCAGAATGGTGACTATATTTAATAACAACGTGTAGTTGAAATTTGTTACAAAATTAGATCTAAAGTGCTTTCATCACACACAAAGAAATGTATAAAGTATGTGAGGGGATAGATTAACCAGCTTCACTGAGATAATTTAAAGATGTATACACACCTCAAAGCACTCTATTATATATACCCTAAATATATACACTTTTCAATGTGTAAATCATAGCTCAATAAATGTGAAAAAAATTAAGAGTAATCAGCAGGTCATATCTAGCCACATGTAAACTTTATTGAAAACTCTCTTGGCCGCCATTTCTGGCTCAACCCAGGAACGGCCCAAGAGCTTCTGGCCCCTTGACTTCTGCAACACTCCTCCTGCTGTTCCTCCAGCTGGGGAAGATGTCATAGTTCCCAGGAGTTTTCTGGTTTCCAGGCCCTGCAGCTCGGGCAGGGCCATCAGCATTCCCCTTGCTCATTGCTCACAACCCTGTATGGCTCCAGGTAACGCGTGTCAGGGCCTCCTTGTGAGGGCCACAGCAGCCAGCCATGGCCAGGCTGGCTTTTGTCGCTGGCATTCCCGTGGCCTCTGGCTCCGCAGACGTCCTTTAGGGCCCCAGCACAGCCCCTACTCACATTACCAGTGAAGACAATGTAATGCAGAAGACACTGAGGAGGAAAATAAGACAAAACATTGGCCCCCATGTATTAGGGTAATTGCCATTAGATCACCTGTGTTGTATACGGGGTCACTGTTTATTATTACTGCTGTAAAACCGGCTACAATTGGAAGAGAAAATGATCTAGAGCATACTCTTTCTTTGAATCCCTGAAGTTGGTGTCTGTAAGTTTCAGGCAGAAATTTGACCATGACTAGCAAACTTATGTCCTTGTAGATCAGGACGGTCAAAATGGAACAATTGTTAGTGAAAAACGGATTGTTCAAGTGAAAGCTAAATGTGACCCTTACATACTTGAGCATACATAGACATGAAATGAAAATTGGAGAGACTGTGTTACCCTTTCGCATTCACCCTGGCAGTGATACCTGTGATGGCTGTGACCCACAGCAGGTCAGAGCTCACTTTCACCTTGATAAGAAAGGTGAATGTTTGTTGGTCCAACACTAAGAAGAAAAAGATTTGGAAATAAGAAAATAATTTTAAAAATGTGAGTAAAATATGGTTTACAGAATACAGACTATGAAGATGAATAGACACTAAAGCTTCCAAAATATAAAAATAGAGCTGGAAAATGTAGTGAGAAGATTGGAAGTGAAGGAACTTTCCAAAAAGATGATGCTTCTGCATCTATTCATTCTGAAATTACTGACAGCAACAAAGGTCAGAAGACGTTGAAGAAGATGGGTTGGAAAAAAGGAGATGGACTGAGGAAGATGATGGGGGAATGAAAACTCCAATTTAGTGTCAAGTTCACCAACACACATAGGCTCGGAGACAGGAAATCCATCCTCAATTGAAGATGTTCACCTTCTCCGAAACAAAACAAACAAACAACAACAACAACAAAAAACTGGGACAAAGCATGAGAAAGGTTTGCTGAAAAGTTCCCAGAAACTAAACCTTGAAAAGATGACCCAGGAACCATGCCTTGAGTAAAAGGGACTGTAGAGTGAAGTTTAATGATAGAAAAAATCTCAAGCTTTTTAAAAAATACAATTTGGAAACACTTATTTTATTTTATTTTTTGTGGAACATTTCTCCCCAAAAAAGTCTGTGGCACAAGGGAACTCTGTCACAGTTTACCTCTTCCTGATTTTGAAATGTGTAATAAAGTTTAGTTTGCAGCTTTTTAAAACCAGCTGTTAAACTAATAAATAATGACTGAATCAAGTTATACAGTAAGTGGACTAAAATTTACAGGGCACAGATAAGTTTATCAAACTTCATTATTTTATCTTGTCATTTACAACTTCAATATAAGCAAAAAGTCATATATGCAAAACACATATAACAACTAATAACTTAAATGTACATTTGTCTTTGTCTCCTTATAGTCACGGTAAGGCGTACAGCAAAAAAAAAGTAGTTTATAAAAATAAATCTGACTATATGCATCTTCGTTTATGCCCTTTAGAACCTAGATAAAAGAACTTCTTGTACTTGAAACAGCCTAAATAATATTATTGAAGAACTAATGAACAGGTGACATATTGTAGAAAATTAGTCTGTTATTGTTGTCTTCTGTGAAGAATCTGTTTATTTGTGCTATATATTCAGCATTTATATTTGGCTTGTTTCATAGCTAATGAGATATTTAGATATGAACAACTGAGTACAGTGTTGAAATAGTGTGCTGGCATTTGTAGTTTTCATAAATATTATTGCAGGCAGTGGAGTTGTGCCAGAGAAATCTGATTTCTAGTACAAAAGAAATACTTAGCCAAGGCCTTAAGTTTAGGATATTTATTGAAAATGTCCTCAATTGCAATAAAAACATTATAACATTAAAAAATCCTCTTTTGAACAATTCTAAATTAAACAAAAAATTCAAATGATGCCTTTTATGGAGGTAGGGAAGTGCTAATGAGGTAGAATGGTAATCGAAGCCAAAAGATCTTAATTCAGGTAAATAATTTTGCTCATATTAGTTTTATGTTAAATGAAACAATAATTGTAACCATATACTATTTACTGCAGTGCAGTATTTCAGAAATTCGTGCATAATACATAATTAATTTTCTAATGGTAAAAAAGGAATCACATTCTGTGAATTATTAAGGGAGGAGACAACCCCTCATATTGTCTTATGCCCAATTTCTGCCCCCAAAGAAAGAAGAAGTAAAAACTAAAAGGAAGAAATGAAATCCACAGGCAGACAGCTCGTTGCTGCACCCTGGGCCTGGTTAAAGATTGACCCCTGACCTAATCGGTTATGTTATCGATAGGTTTCAGACATTGTATGGAAAAGCATTGTGAAAATCCCTGTCCTGTTCTGTTCAGTTCTGATTACTGGTGCATGCAGCCCCCCAGTCATGTACCCCCTGCTTGCTCAATCGATCATGACCCTCTCATGCAGACCCCCTTAGAGTTGTAAGCCCTTAAAAGGGACGGGAATTGCTCACTTGGGGAGTTCAGTTTTTGGAGACATGAGTCTTGCTGATGATCCCAGCTGAATAAAGCCCTTTCTTCTTTAACTAGGTGTCTGAGGGGTTTTGTCGGCAGGTTGTCCTGCTACATTATTACAATATGGTCTATGGAAGAGAGCAGTATTTCAAATGAAGAAACATGGAATTTCTCATGAGGGGATGATCTAAGCCATAGAAAATCTATGTAAAATATTTTACTCATGTATGCAACTGTTGACATTTCTGCTTCTTAGGAAAACAACATGCTTTAAAAACTTAATGCAGATACTAAAATCACCAAGAAGTTACAAGAATTCACAAAATGCCTAATATAGTTGAAAGAAAATTATGGAAACTTTTCATGACCAGAAGAAAATAAAGGTAATGATCCACAGAAGTAACAACCTAAGAGGCCATTGCTCCATTCAGATGCATCTGATCAGAAGGATGTCAGATCCATGTGTGTTGCTCAGCTTCTGAGGAGGCATATGGAATAAATCCAGGTAAACTGCCTTCAGGCATCCCAAGTATGCTGTGTTCCATATGTGAGAACTAAATTATGAATTACATTGCACAAAAGGAGATACACTACTAGTGTGAAGCCTTAGATAAATTATACAGCACATAAAACTCAGATATAAGGTTTATATTTAAATGTTTGCCAACATAATAAAAAAACATGAAACCAAAATACTGTGGGAAAAAACTATGAGCTTGTCCAGTCATATTTGGAAAAGAGGCAAATGAAAAGTAAACTATTGAAAATATAGTAAAACAATTTAATGTACAGCATACAAATTACACATTAAAATAGACTGAGCTGATGAGCAGTCTACTACACTGAAATGTTGAGCACAATTAACGTAGTCATATACTTTATAGAGTGCAAATTAATACAAAATACAAATATTTATATGAAGATTAGATGAGAAGAAACAAAAATGATTTAATTGTTTTACTAGATTATATAAACAGGAAGGCAATATTGAAAGGATTGGTGACTCATAAGTTTCAGAAATTGGAAACAAGACATGAATCCTATTAAAGTTTAGTGTGTAATGTGTCAAAAAAGATAAAAAATACTTAAAGAATGGTTTTGGTTATTGTGAATGGTGCTTTAATAAACATGGGAGTCCAATTATCTTTCTGAAGATTGATTTCATTTCCTTTTGACATATAACCAGTGGTGAGATTTCTGGGTCATGTATATGGTAGTTCTTTTTATAATTTCTTGAAAAACCTCCATGCTGTTTTCCCTAATGTTTGTACCAATTTACACTCTCACCAATAGTGTATAAGTGCCCATCTACAGATGAATGAAGAAAATGTTACACACACACACACACACACACACACACGAATAATGTTCAGTAATAAAACAGAATGAGCTATCATTCATGTTAACATGGATGTATCTAGAGGACATTATGTTAAGTGAAAAAGCCAGTCACAGAAAGAAAAAGACCACATGATGTCACTCATATGTGAAATCTTAAAAAATTGATCTCATAGAAGTAGAGGGTAGAATGGTGGTTACCAGAGGCTAGGGAGAGTGAAGGAATGAAGGGATGGGGAGAGGATTGTCAAAGTTCCAAAGTTACAGTTAGAGAGAATAAATTCTGGTGTTCTATTACATAGTAGGGTGACTATAGCTAATAATAATGTACTATTCTGTTGGAAACAGGCTCCCAAATCTGGCCATAAACAGGCCCCAAATCTGGCCATAAACAAAATCTCTGCAGCACTGTGACATGCTTGTGATGGCTATGACACTCACGCTGAAGGCTGTTGGCTTACCAGAATGAAGGCAAGGAACACCTGGCCCACCCGGGGTGGAAAACCGCTTAAGGTGTTCCTGAACCACAAAAAATAGCATGAGCTATCTGTGCCTCAGGGACATGTTCCTGCTGCGGATAACTAGCCAGAGCCCATCCCCTTGTCTCATGTTTTAGTTAATCTATAATCTATAGAAACAGTGTTTATCACTGGCTTGCTGTCAATAAATATGTGTGTAAAACTCTGTTTGTGGCTCTCAGCTCTGAAGGCTGTCAGCCCCTGATTCCCACTCCGAGCTCTAGATTTCTGTGTGTGTTTCTTTAATTCCTCTAGCGCCACTGGGTTAGGGTCTCCATGACACAGCTGGTCTCAGCACTGTTTATTCCAACACAGCTAGTAGAGAGGTTTTTATTAGCACAGATAAATGTTTAAAGTGCTAGATATGCAAATTACCCTGATTAGGTCATTGTACAGTGTATGAATGCATTGAAATATCACACTGCACCCCATAAATATGTACAATTATTATGTATCATTATATATAAAATAAATCTTAAAAGAATAATGATCAAAATGCAAGGCATCAAAAAGAAAAAAACTCCTAAAAGTAGTGAGATAGAAGACAGATAACCTATGAAGCTGAGGGCCAACTCTTACCTCTCTATCAAGTCAGAAAACAGAAAAATTAATATCAGTAAAATATTAAAAGCTTCTGGACAGCATAGAAATTTATTAACAGAGTGAAAGGACAATCTAGAAAAGAAAATATGTGCGTGCATTTGCCAAGGAATTAATATCCAAATTACATGAGACTCAACTCAGCAGCAATAAAAATAAAAAAAAACCCAACTGAAGAGTGAGCAAAAGACCTGAATAGACATTTTTCCAAAGAAGACACAAAGAAATGCTCAACATCACCAATCATCTGGAAAATGCAATCCAGAATAACGTGAGATAGCACCTCGCCCCATGTAGAATTATGAAAAAGACGAAAGATAACAAGGTTGAATGAGGATGTGGAGAAAAGGGAACACTTATGCACTGTTGATGCGAATGTAAATTTAGTCCATTTTCAGATTTATTCATCTCTTAGAAACGTGCATGGAAAACTATGCAGGTTTCTTAAAACGAAAATAAAAACAAAACAAAAAACAAAAAGCAAAAACCTAAAAATGGAACTACCATACCATCCAGCATTCCCACTATTGAGTATATTGGAAAGGAGCAAAATAAATTTGTTTAGATACTTGGGGATATTGGTTTGCATGTGACTAGCCAAATTTATTTCACAAAGGAAGCTCCCACCATAGAGATTCACTTCAGAGTTCATGAAGTATTTTGAGGCTACAAGTATATTAATGTATTTGTTAGGGGGAAGAGCATAAGAACTTTAAGTGTTATAAATTCAGATAATGGAATGTAATTCATAGAATATAATTCAGTTTGGGGGGCATGGGAGGAAGCACACATTCTTCACATATAAGTGTAATGTGCAATAGTATTTCTTGCTCTTAAATGTGAGCAGTTTTTAATTTGGGTTGGGTTAGAATTAGTTAAATTTAAATCTAATAAAGAGGTTTGTTGTAATACTGAGGCAATATAATACCCTTAAAATGAAAGTTACAATATAGTTCTTGTAAAAGGTAACTAAATATTTTTTTCTGTTGGAAATAGTTGATTTCTGAGTAATGGTACTAGCGTTGATGACATTTTAACAGTAATTAGCTATTTTGGCACTTAAAACTTGAGTGAAAACATTTTGTTTCTCTTCAAACCAAAGCAAAATCATAATGTTGTTTTGTGTCACTTTGGAGCAACTGTACCCTGCCTCTTGTGTTTTGTAAACTCATTGACTCATTCTTTAGTGTGCCACCAAGTACCTTTTTCTTGAGAGTCAAAATATATTTGTTTCCCAATAACCAAAAAGGTACAATAGTGTAAAGGTGGTTTTTAAAAACATAACTAAGTGTGGTGGCATATGCCTTTAGTCCCAGCCACTCAGGAGGCTGAGTCAGGAAGATCCTTTGAGCCCAGGCTGTAACGCACCATGATTATGTTTGTGACTAGCTGCTGCACTCCAATCTTGGCAACATAGTGATACCTCATCTCTAAAACAAAGAAAACAAAACAAATGACATTTAAGCACTATTGCTTAATTTTAAATTGACAGTCTTTAATTGATTGTTTTGGATAAGACATTCTGGGGCTTCTCGAATCTTGGCCAAAACCCAGTTGTTTTGGAAAATTGTTTTAAATTCAGCATATTTATGTATTTTGAATAAAAATATACTACAGGGAAATTTTCAAATTTTTCATTATATTAGTCTTTTTGAAAGAGAACAACTTAGGTAAGCTAAATATATAATGCTCCATTTTTTCATGCTCTATTAAGAAGGAAACAGATTCCATATATCTAAATCAATGTTTCTCCAGAATCATGACTTTGTCTGAAAAAAAAATTATCCGTGGATAAAATTCAAAACTACATTGCTGTAAGAAAAGTTACAAGGTAAAGTTTAGAGACATAAATAATTTAATTTGGACTCAAAAACTGAATTTGTTTAACATTGCTACATAATTTGAGTGAAGTTTTCTCCTGCTCCATTTTTCTTGACCTATATAAATACATTTTAAGAAATCAAGATCTATGAACGTCAACCAGCATTGACATTGGATTGTGTGATTACAATAGAAGGTGAGCTGTCTCTTTGTTATTAATAATTAGGTCTTGAAGGTCATGGAATAGCTAAACAGGGAAGTAACATGTTGCTTTAGGACTAAAAAAGAAGTAAGACACTGAAGCTTAATACCTTAATGACCCAGAAGACCTAAATTTATGAAGCCACATAAAATAAAAATGTTAATTTATTGGTTTCTTCACAGAATTATATTTTAATGACTCTATAAATACATTCCAAATAGTCAGAGACTAATGAGAAAGAATTCTTACTAAACAAATGCTTAAAAATAACAATTCTTTTTGTTTATGTTTTGCACTTTTTATAGAGATCGGTCTTTTTGTTGTGTCCTGGCTCAGAAAGTGAGATTTGTTTTTTCATCTAAATGAGCTAAAAGACCAGCCTCTGAGAATTGATTTGGGGGCCTGAAGACATTCTTCTGCCAGATAAGATGGAGTCAGAACAATTTACTCTGTGAAGATCCTGTGGATGTGGCCTTATGTTGTGATATTGAGGTTTCCTGTAGTTTCTAACCCTAAAACCTCATTATCTGATGTACCCATTGATTCCAAATGGTTCACAGTAACAGATTTTTGCTCAGCTTTCTTTAGGATTCCAGTTGGAAAAAACTCACTGTTCATTTGTCTTTCTGTGAAAAGAATCAAAAGTACCCTTGGATGGTGATTTCCCAAGGGTTTACTGAAGCACTTTCTTATTTATTTCTGGTTATTACCTCAAGACTTAATGAATCTGCATTTTCCTGGAAACTCTATTCTCATTCAGCATGTAGATAATTGGTTGTTACACTAGAGTACACTAAAGAGTGCTCTGAAATTAACAGAGTATTAGAACACTTCTAGACCCACAAATTAGAAAATCTAGACAAAATGGATAAAATAGTTTTATTTGACTAAAATCAAGGTTAAGTGTTTGTTCTTATTTTGCTCAGTCTGTGAGCTGTATTGGACATGGATAATCCAATGGAAGACTTACTTCTTGAAACACTTTCCTGTTGAAGACCCCACTCATGATTTTTTTTTGACCTTTTCCATTCTACTCATTCTTTTCCACCACATCTCCAGTAATTCTTAGTCCTCTTCTCTCCCTACGTCCCTCTCTTCTCAGAGTGGTCCCACATAGTTTCAAAGTTTTAGGTACCATGTCTCTGCTGATGACTCCCAGGCCTGGGGCCTCTTCCCTGAGGGGAGCACCAGAAGTTATCCCTGACTACTTTTTTCCTTCTCACATCCCCATGAAATCCCACCACAAGTCCTGTCATAACAAGTAGGAGTTGCTGAGCAGGCGTTGCTGGGACATGTGACTATTGCAACAGCAGAAATACATCAGAGACCTCCTTCCTACTGAGCCTGTATATGACTTCCAGTCTTCTTTAGCACAGGGTTCCAGACAGCCACAAATTCAGTGTTGTCAGCTTACAAGATCAAAGCTAACATTGTACAGCACAGTAGAAACTGTACCAGAAGCTTCCATAAAAATTTAGCCACCAAAAGTATATGATGAGCTCTGTGCAAGAACTTGAGATCCCAAAATTCTTCCTGGTAAGGACTCAGAGCCAGATGGCTGCATTTTCTTTCTCTTAACTTATTCCCCTTCTAACCATATAAATATATTAAAATTGCAACGTTGGCCACACCAATATAAATAAGTGAATAAATAATGTAATATTGTAAAAAAAGACAAAACAACTTGCACAGTCTGATGACAGCTCTGTCACATATGTTCATTAAAAATGTTCAAGAGAGAATTTGGAAAGTATAAATTTTAAAAATAAAAATAATACTTTTAGTTTGTTTAAAGTTAAAAAAAAATGTTTGACAATAATTTGACACATAGAAAATTTAAATCTTAGCTATCCTGAAACTTCAAGTCTCTAGAATGAGTCCTTCTCCAAAGGTTCATGTCACTCAAATATTATTACAGTTTAGTAACTTTTAATGCAAAAAACTTTTAATGAATAATGCATTTTATGAAATATTATAGATTTACAGAGAAAGGACTAATCACTATAATACTACATATATTAATTTTATAACATTATATATCTTATTATATATGCACTATTGTTGTAACCGAGTGAGTTATAGAGAAAAGCCACACTTTGAGACTAATTCAGGAGTCCTTTATTTGCCAGTGACCAAGAGATGGCTAGTGCTCAAAATTCTCTTGGCCCTGAAGAAGGGGCTAGATTTTCTTTAATACTTTGGCTTAGAAAGGGGAGGGGGAGCCTAGCTGAAGCAATCTTACAGAAGCAAAACAGGCAGCAAAGTTGAAAAGATAAATTGTTACAGGAAAACAAACAGTTCCAGGTACAGGGGTCTTAAATCTATCACAAGGTGATAGACGTGGGGGCTTTGGGTGCTGTCAACCAGATACAAATGTGGGGGCTTTGGGTACTATCAACTGGGCGAATTCCTGGGAACTGCGGATGTAACTTGCCACAGTATCTTATCAGTAATTGCATTCTTGGATGTGCTGGGAATCAGCTTGCACAGGTTAAGTCCTTGAGGAAGGTGGGTGGGTAAGGGGCTGCAAGTGAAGGAGCCAAAATGGAGTCTGTCTGGCTCTCTCAGCTAAGGGAGTCAATTCAGGTTAAAACAAGGTAGGATATCACATTTCCCACTTGTGTTTTTGGGGAATCAAATCACTGATTCCTCAGTTATAACAAGGGGGCTATATTGGGCTTTAAGATACATAAGCTTGACAGAAGCTATGTGCTGCTTTACCGAAACCTATTTAATATACAAGGCCCAAAGACTAAACCTACCAATAGGAAGAGAAGGGGTCCAGCTAACCCAGTGATTAGAGTAGTTAACCATGGATTCCAGTTAAACATGCTTTGGTACCAGGGGGTGTTATTTTCCCGTTCCTGCTGGCGTCTATCTAGAGTCTCTTGAACTTTTTGAAGAGTATCTTTTATGACTCCAGACTGATTGGCTTAGAAGCAACAACTCTCTCCCAGAGCTGCGCATAACTCTCCTTGAGAGAGAAATAGCAGATCTAAGCCTCAGCGGTTTTGAAGAAATACTTCAGCTAGAGACTCTACCTGGGTATGTAGTATATTTATGGCTGATTGGAGATGGCTTAAATCAGCATCTACTTGTTGAGGTAGGGACATTAGCCCAGTTTCTCCCTGAACCAGGGCAGCCATGCCAATGGCTGCTGACCCAGCTATGCTTAGGCCGACCAGGAGGGGAACAAGGAGTGGGGCAGCTCAGTGAAACTTGGGATGCAGTTCAGGGGGAGTGATGAGAAGTTGTCCTTCTGGCCCACTGTACATGTAGGCCTGGGGGAGCACATGCACCAACACACACAGGAGAGGTCCTGGTTCAGTCCCACTGATGCAGCAAGTGAGACCTGAAGTGCAGGCTAGCCTGGTATTGTTAGGTGCCTTGTAGGAGACTGAGGTGCTTAAGGAAGTAAGTAGAGACTGATTACAGGTAGCCTGAAAGGGAGAAGAAGATAAGTTATATCCAGTGCTAATTAGACAATCACCTGAATCAGTTAAAGACCCTATTGGCTTAGGAGGGCTCCATGAGACCAGGATTTTCTTCTGGATGGTGAACGTAATTCCAACATCAAATCCTAGGATATAAAGTCTTAATACCCATGACATGCTGTAATACCATTGAGCTAAATTAGGGTTATGGATGGTTATAGTAAGAAGATTGCAATTTCCCCTAGTACAGTTTAGGATGGGAAGCACGAGGTATGGAAAGGGTTGAAGATCGGGCTGATCTCCCACAGTAGGTGGCCAAAGTTGCACGTATCCAGTCAGGGCAGAAAAACTGGTAAGAATCTCGACAACTAGAGCCAGGGTGATTTCCAGGACAGAGGTAAAAGTCAGCATTTTGGAGTCCTTTTTCTGCACCTTTGGAGCTTCCACATCAAGTCTGGCTTTAGGAGTATCCAAACCCTGCAGCAAAGTTGATGTTTCCTGCTCCTATGATCAGCAGATTGTGTTGCTCTTCGAGGGTATGGGCAGGCTCTGGGAACAGAGCACATAAATCAACTGCAAAAGAGACTTCCTTGGAGGTCCCCGCCTTCCAGGTGGTGTTTGCAAACACACGTCCTGTCGTGAAAGAAGTAAGGAGAAAAGAGTAGGAAGGAGCAGAAGGCATGACAGGCTGAAACAAACAAAAGAGGTAAAGAATTAATTTAATGGCTTCAGTCGACTTAGACACAGTTTTAAGGGGCCTGTCCCAGGCTTGGGGACCCATGTTTCTTGCTGGGCTTTGTTGGTCTTCTTGATGTGAGGGTGATGAATCCAAGCAGGAATGCTGTCTACTTTCAGAGCTTTTGGCATGGTGAGGATAACAGTATGAGGTCCTTTCCAGGCAGGAGTGAGTCCTTCCTTCTGGAACTTTTTAACATATACCAGGTCACCCAGCTGGAAAGAGTGGCAGATCCCTGTCTGGTCAGGAACTGGATTGGGATGTGCTCCCTGGACAAGTGGCTGGATGATGTCTTATACCTGTTGGAGAGACTGCAGATACTGTAACAAATTAGCTTGTGAGATTTCTGCTAAATGGGTATCCCTTAGTTTGGGCAAGACAGGCAGAGCCCTCCCATACATGATTTCAAAAGGTGAAAACCCAGCCTGGTAAGGGGTACATCTTACTTTAAGAAGGGCTAGAGGAAGGAGCTTTACCCAATTCTCACCAGTCTCTAGGATTAATTTTGTAAGAGTACTTTTTAGGGTGCGATTCATGTGTTCTATCTGCCCAGAGCTCTGGGGTCAATAGGCACAATGGAGTTTCCATTGAATGTTTAATGTCTTACTGACTGACTGAGCTGTGGACGAGGTGAAGGCCAGTCCATTATCAGACCCTATGGCAGCAGGCAGCCCATGTCGAGGGATGATTTCATTGAGTAAAAGCTTAACTACCATGGTGGCAGTCTCGTTTTTGGTGGCAAATGCTTCAGTCCATCCAGAAAAGGTGTCTACTAGCACCAGGAGCTATTTATACTCTGCCCGGTGTGGTTTTATCTCTGTAAAGTCAATTTCCCACCTTTCTCCTGGTAAGTCTCCCCAGAGGCAGTGGCCTGGGCTGGTTTAGGACCTGGCCTGGTATTTACCTGAGCACAAGCTGTACACCGGAGAGCTGCTTGGTTAGTTAAGTCCAAAGGTGGGGTATCTTGAAATGGCTCCTTAGAAGCTGGGCCAGTTTTGCTCCTTGCAAATGGGTGGTAGAATGCAGACGACTGATTAAAGTTTCCCCGAGGACTCGGGGCATGAAGATTCTGGAATCAGGAAGAATCCACCAACCTTCCTGATTTTTACTGGCCTGAAGATCCGAAGCCTGTTTTTTCTCCTTTGGGGAGTATTCTGGGTGGCCCGGCAAGTCAGGCTGCAGAAAGGATATAGCGGGCAGCAGGGTCAAAGGTGTGACTGGGTACTGAGCTGCCTCTTTAGCTGCAGAGTCTGCTCTTTGGTTACCACGAGCAACGGCCGTGTCTTCTTTTTGATGTCCTTTGCAGTGAATTACAGCCACTTGTTGAGGGAGCCAAACAGCTTCAAGCAAGGCCAAAATTTCTTCTTTATTTTTGATAGTTTTTCCTGCTGAGGTGAGTAGCCCACACTCCTGATAGATGGCTCTGTGTACATGCACAGTAGCAAAAGTATACCTGCTGTCAGTGTAGATATTAACGCGTTTGTTCTTACCCCATCAGAGGGCTTGAGTGAGGACAACTAATTCAGCCCTCTATGCTAAGGTGCCTGCTGGCAGCACCTGGGCCCACACTATGTCTGTTGCTGTAGTAACGGTTGCACCAGCCTTTCGTACTCCTTGTTCAAGGAAGTTGCTACCATCTGTAACTATGGTGGCATCCACCTCCTTTAAAGGCACATCTTGGAGATCAGGTCGGCCAGTTTCCATAGTCACTAACAGTTCCTGGCAGTCATGGATAGGTGGGGTAAGGTCTGAATCAGGGAACAAGGTACCTGGATTTAAACACCTTGTGGGAGAGAAAGTTAAACGAGGCTGATCTAACAGTAAATTGTGATACTGCAGGATGCGAGCGTTCAACATCCATTTGCCAGAAGCACTTCTTAACAATGTCTCTATGGCATGAGGAGCCATAAGGGTTAAATTTTGACCTAGAGTCAGTTTATCAGCCTCTTGAACCAGGCTTGCTGTGGCTGCTATGGCTCACAGACAACTTGGCCACCCAGAGGCCACAGGGTCCAGTCTCTTAGACAAATAGGCCACTGGGTATCACCATGGCCCCAAAGTTTGAGTGAGTACCCCTTTAGTGACTCCCTGGCTTTCATGAACAAAAAGGTAAAATGGCTTTTAGATATTTGGAGGGCTAGAGCAGGGGCCTCAGTTAATGCTTTCTTAAGGTTTTGAAACGCCTCCTCCTCTGTGTCAGTCCAAACTAGTGGGCCATTTCCTCCACTAGTGGAGTATAGGGGCTTGCCAATTTCCATGAAACCTGATATCCGTAGACAACACTATCCCATGGCCACCAGGAATTCACATACCTGTCTCTTGGTGGTGGGAATGGGGATCCACAGGATGGTTTCCTTTCAGGCACTGGCGAGTGCCCTTTTTCTCTTGTCTATCACATACCCCAGGTAGGAAATCCTGGGGAGACAAAGCTGGGCCTTCTTAGCTGAGACCCGGTACCTGAGTTCCTGGGGAAGGCAAAGCAGGTCCCTAGTATGTTGCAGGCAGCTGTCAGTAGTTTCAGTAGCTAGTAAAAGGTCATCCACATACTGGAGAAGAGTGCAGTTAGGGTGACTGGCATGGAACGGTATGAGATCTTGTTGGAGGGCTTCTCTACAAAGTGTGGGGGAATTTTTAAAACCCTGGGGTAACCGAGCCCAGGTTAATTAGGTGGTGTCTCCCAAGCCAGGATCTGTCCATTCAAAAGCAAAGATAGGTTGGCTTTTGGGGGCCAGAGGAATAGCAAAGAGGGCATCCTTTAAGTCAAGGACAGTGTATACTGTATGTTCTGGCAGGAGCAGGCTGAGTAAAGTATAAGGGCTAGGGACAGTCGGATGGACAGTAACTGTCCACTTGTTAACTTCCTGCAAGTCCTGTACTGCCTGGTAATCATTTGTTATGGGTTTCTGGACTGGCAAAAATGGAGTATTCCAGGTGGACTGACATGGTGTGAGTATACCAGCTTGTAACAGTCACTGAATATGGAGATTGATCCCCTCTCAGCCCACTGACTCACAGGATATTGTTTTACCTGGAATGGCAGGGCAGTGGCCAGGAGTTCTACAACTACCAGTGGATGATGCTTTGCTAGTCCTGGGGGTTTGACTCAGACCAAACTCAAGGAAAGAGAGTCTGTAGATCCAATAGGAGAGGATTAGCTTCATTCTTCAGCAGTTGTGAGGGTGAAACAAAGAGATATTCCTCCAACAGAGGGGTAGTAAACAGGAGTCGGGCAGTAGGGGGCATTGTGTCCCCTAACGTGAGGTGAGCTTGTTGGCCTGAGAAAGAGATAGATGCCTGTAGCTTATGGAGCAGGTCTTGTCTGAGAAGGGGAATGGGGCACTCTGGGACTACAAGAAATGAGAGGGTTACTCTTTTCTGTCCCAAACTCACTTCTTGTGAGTGTGTGACAGGATATTCCTGAATAGCTCCAGTAGCCCCTTGTACAGCCACCTTTTTATTAGAGACACTGCTCAAGGGTGTGTGCAGTACCAAGTGTTCTGCCCCAGTATCTACTAGGAAGCGTGTGTGCTGGCCCCCCACTGTAGCAGTCACCATGGGTTCCTGGGGGGCCAAATGAGAGGGAGCCCTGGTCCCATCAGTCATCAGACTCCTCCGCTGTGGGGAGGGTGAGGACCTTTTTCTTTTCTGGTTTTTCCTCTGGCTTTAATGGGCATTCCTTCTTCCAGTGTCCAATCTGCTTGCAATAAGCGCATTGGTTTCTTTGTAGGGAAGCCCACTCGCTTTTCTGGCTTTTCTGGTGTGGACCTAGGGTCCCCTGGCTAGTGCTCTGTGATGGGGGCCCTTCCTTTTTGGCTTCCTGGATGGCCACCATTAAGATTTTTGCTTGTCTTTTGGGTGCTTTATCAGCAGGCTTTTCAGCTGCCTGAGCTGCCTGTTTTTGCTTTTCAAACTCTCGATTGTCAAAAACTCTCTGGGCTACTTCTAAAAGCTGGCTAATGTTCATTCCAGCAAATCCCTCCAGCTTTTGTAATTTTCTTTTAATATCAGGGGCTGACTGAGCCACTAATGCCAAATTAATATCCCGACTATTCTTGGGAGCCACCAGGTCAAAAGGGGTGTAAGTCTGAAAGGCCTCCTGGAGGCATTCTAAAAACGCTCCAGGTGACTCATCAGGCCCCTGAACCACCTCAGTTGTCTTAGACAGATTCATGGGTTTTTGAGCAGCTCCCTTGATACCCACAAGAAGATACCAGTGAAAATCATTTAAAGCTCTCTTTCCACCCGAGGAGTTTGGATCCCAATTAGGCTGGGTAGATGGAGGAACCTCCTCTAGGAGGTTTTGGGCTTCCTCCTCTGGTCTACCGGCTGATGTAAGGAAATACTTTCTGGCCTCTCTTCAGATATGGTCCCTCTCTTCAGAGGTGAAAAGGGTTAAAAGGAGTTGCTGACAGTCATCCCAGGTGGGCCGGTGAGTCCAGAGCATGAGCTCCATCAGTGAGGTCAAGATCTGGGACTTTTCAGAGAAGTGGGGATTATGAGCCTTCCAGTTGTACAGGTCAGAAGTAGAGAAGGGGACATAAACTAAAAATAGAGCAGAGTGCTCCTCACCTAGAGGGATTTGTGCTTCTCTCATTGGGAGGAGGGGGACTACCTCCTCCTGCCAAGGCTATAATTGGGAGGCTACAGGTGGAGAGGCCACAGGGGATGTAGTTGAAGAGACTAGGGAAGATTCTGGGGGAGCAGGAGGGTTATAGGGCAGTGGAAATGGGTGAGGAAAACTTTCCTCTTCTTCAGAAGGAGGCAGTACAGGAGGAGCTGAGCGAGCTGAGGGTTGGGAAGACAGTGAGGTCTGGCTCAAAAGGACCTTGGAGGTAGGATTATAAATTGCGCATGAGCAGAGCCAAGTGGGAGGGCTCTGGACCAAGTTCAGCCATTGATCTATGTAGGGAAACTGATCAGGGTGACTGGGAGTTCCAGCAATGACCCACCACACAGCCTGAACAGCTGTGAGATTCAGTGACCCTTCTAGGTGCCACCCGGTTCCAAACTGTGGCCATTCTACTTCACAGAGTGTCCAGAGTTTGCCTTTTTTAAGGTGGACCCCATAATCCTCTGAGAAGCCTAGAGAGAAATTTTGTAACATACATTGGAGAGGGCTCCAATCTCTATGAGGCTGGGAAGAAGAGTTTCCCATTCTGGAGGCAATTTAACAAGGTTTGAGCAGAAATATTAAACCCAGCATTGACAGAGAAATTCACAACCTGGGGGACTGTAGTATCAGAAGAAAAGAAGTATTATAACCAGAAGAAGTAGGAAAACAACTATAGCCAACACTTCTTGCCACATAAGGTCTGTCTTCTTACACTTTGAGATCTAGGGAGAGAGGAAAAGAGGTGGGTCCGAGGCCAGTGGGACCTATGTGATCCCCCTCTCTTTTTTGACTTATAGCCCAAATATTTTTGGTGTCTCCATGACTTGAAGGCAAAAAGTTCAAACTTGGCCTTTTCTTTTAAGGGTTTTAGGAGGGAGAGCAGAGCCAAGTCTTGGAGGTGCTGGACTTGCTGTGATACAGGAAAATGAGATGTGTGGGGTAAGGGATGGGGATATGGAGGAAAGGGGCCACTCAGATCTTTCCTAAGGTAGGAGAATAGCCACAGAAGAATAGAATAGGAGTCCAGAAGGAGTAAAGCAGTATGGGCTTAGGTTTCTCTGTACAGTGCCTTATCCAAGGGCATGGGAAAATTTACAGGATGACAGAAAACGTGAATAAGGAGGTCTGCAGGGTAGCTATTTCAAAACCACCACTGGTCTAAGGAGGAGGTGGTCCAGTCATTGGGCACAGGGTATGGCAATTCAAATGCCAGCAACCTTTATGGTGCCAGAAGTCCCAAAGAGGCTAATGTTTCCCACACCCTTCCCCATAACAACACCTGATTTGTTTCTGACAGAAAAGGCAGGACTGGGATGACCAGCCCAAACAACTAATGAGAGATTTGACCTCCTGGGATAGAAAATCTGTACTGAGGACCTTGAAGAAGTCCTTGCCCAGTCATCTTGGGCAGTATCAATGACCTGACATAGGAAACTTAGACAAACAGCAGACAGCACAATAGACACTGGGATATAAAAACAGTTATGACAGTGTTTATAGACAGACAAGGGGAGGGGTTCCCGTGATGGGATCAGTCAAATGCCCACCTGGCTGCTCCCCTTGTGGGGACTTAGGCTCCTCTTGGCATTGGCAGGCTGGTATAAATCCCCAGCTCAGATCGAGCTACGCCCGATGCTGCCCTAAGCCTTATGAGGTCACCACGGAACTGCAGGTGAGGGCCCACTCGAACTCCATAGCTTTTACCATACAGCTACAAACTGGAAATTCAAGTGCAAGCCCTTCAACTCCACATTCACTCACTAACTCACTCACTCAGAGTTTATTACAATTTTTTTATACCCGTTTAAACAGAGGTCTCCTTGAGACCTGAACGAGAAAAGAAGAGACAGAGAGAGAGAGAGAGAGTCTTAACAGGAAGCCTGACAGAAACCAGCATCCTGGAGTGTGTATGGAGTCTGAGGGAGGGCCCTTGTCAGGGCCGTTTCCCTCCCAGAGAAACAGAGTCAGATCTGACTTAACTTCCCAGGACCAGAGACTGAAGATTCAGGAGTTGAATTTGGTGGGCACACACCAGCAGTCGATCCATTCCCCTCTGGAAGACTGTGGCCTATGGGGCCCTGGAGCGTCTTCAGGTGATGCCTCCCCTATAAGCCCGCCATCTGTCTGGGGGATCCTGGAATGAGTCCAGCACTCACCCAGTGGAGAAATCTCACTGGGGCCTCCAAATGTTGTAACCGAGTGAGTTATAGAAAAACACCACACTTTGAGACTAATTCAGGAGTCCTTTATTTGCCGGTGACTGAGAGATGGCTAGCGCTCAAAATTCTCTCAGCCCCAAAGAAGGGGCTAGATTTTCTTTTATCCTTTGTTTAGAAAGGGGAGGGGGAGCCTAGCTGAAGCAATCTTACAGAAGCAAAACAGGCAACAAAGTTGAAAAGATAAATGGGTACAGGAAAACAAACAGTTCCAGGTGCAGGGCTTTAAATCTATCACAAGGTGATAGATGCAGGGGCTTTGGGTGCTGTCAACCGGACACAAACATGGGGGCTTTGGGTAATATCAACTGGGTGAACTCCTGGGAACTGCGTATATAACTTGCCACAGTATCTTATCAGTAATTGCATTCTTGGATGTGCTGGGAGTCAGCTTGCACAAGTTAAGTCCTTGAGGAAGGGGGGTAGGTAAGGGACTGCAACTGAAGGAGCCAAAATGGAGTCTGTCTGGCTCTCTCAGCTAAGGGAGTCAATTCAGGTTAAAACACGGTAGGATATCACACTATTGGACACCTACAATGAGTCAAGCACTGCTATGAGAATTTTGCATTTATTGTCTCAAGAATTCTCTTTGAGGTAGAGTTCAGTATCTTCAATTAAGAGGCTAATTTATAAACAATGCATATATTTGATGAAGAAACTAAAACATGAAAGGCTTTTAAAATTACAATGTTGAATAACAGAACACTACAGAAGTATGTACAGCATGCATCATTACAGAAAGTTGAGGAAGAAACTAAAACATGAAAGACTTTTTAAATTACAATGTTGAATAAGAGAACATTACAGAAGTATATACAGCATGGATCTTTACAGAAAGTTTTAAAACTTACAAAGTTAAACAATGTATTATTTATATACCTACATATGTAGTATAATTAATAATAAAAGTCAAATGGATTATACTTTCTCAAAACTTAAGATGAATGATGATTTTCTGAGGTAGAGCAGCAAATAATTATATTTGGGAAACACTGTGTAGACAATACAGACAGCTTCAAATGTAGGGGTAAAGTTTTATTAAGTAGTTGATAGGTACAGGGTGTTGAATTTATTTTTCTACACTCACACACAAACGCACACACACACACGATTTGGCCCTTGAAGTCCATGAATAACACATCTGTGAATTCAAACCAACCTTGAATAAAATATGTAGTTAAGCATACAATGTTTACTTTTGTACTGAACATGTACAGATATTATTGTCATTATCCCTCAGCAATACAGAACTATTTACATAGCATTTATGTTGCTTTAGATATAATAAGTAATCTAGAGATGAATTAAGTATTATACAGGAGATTGTGCCTAGGTTATATGAAAATAATCCTTCTCTTGGCCGGGTGTGGTGGGTTACGCCTGTAATCCCATCACTGTGGGAGGCCAAGGCAGGTGGATCACCTGAGGCCAGGAGTTCAAGACCAGCCTGCCTGACATGGTGAAACCCCGTCTCTACTAAAAATACAAAAAATTAGCTTGGCATGGTGGTGGGCACCTGTAATGCCAGCTACTCAGGAGGCTGAGGCAGGAGAATCGCTTGAAACCGAGAGGTGGAGGTTGCGGTGAGCCGAGATCGCATCACTGCAATCCAGCCTTGGTGACAAGAGCAAAACTTCCTCTCAAAAAAAAAAAAAAGGTAATAATCCTTCTCTTTATATAAGAAACTTGAACATCTAGAATTTTGGTATCCCAAGGGTGTCTTGGAACAAATCCCCTATGGATACTTGCTTATCCATAAGGACAAACATGTAATAAACAACTATGTGTGTGTGCCTGTGTATGTGTATTTGTATGTATAATTTTACACATACAAATATATAATATAATACTAGTGCTTGATATTATAATTTTTATTATAAATGCTTGATATAAACAAGCATTACATTTCTATGGCATACAGTACAGTGTTTCATTTAAAGTCATTTTCCATCTGTACAACAAACCCCCATGACACAGGTTTACCTATGTAACAAATCTGCACTTTTACATCTGAACTTAAAATAGAAGTTTGAAAAATGTCATTTTTCAAGATCCTATTGATGACATTAAGTGGACACTTATTGAACACTCGTTTTTGTGATGTTTAGTATAAGCCAGTTATGTATGGATTTATGCAGTCTCATTTTACTTTCTTGTTGTTGCTTATGCCTTTTTATGTCATATTCAAGAAAATATTGTCAAGATCAAAGTAATAATTCTCCCACCTTGTAAAATGTACTTGGAATATTTTATTCAAAAACTTTTATAATTATAGTTTTTACATTGAAATATTTAAGATAGTTTTATATACGGTGCAAGAGAAGGGTCCTACTTTGTTATTTTTCTTTTGGTGGATAGTCAGTTTTCCAACACCATTTGTTGAAAAGATTATTCTTTCTCCATTGTATGGTCATAGCAACCCAAGTGCAGGTCATCTGATTATATTCACAAGGGTTTATTTTGGGGTTTCTATTCTATTTCATCACCTCTTTGTCTTTATACTATTACCTTATTGTTTTAATTTCTGTAACTTTGTGATATGTCTTGAAATCAGAAAATATGATGTCTTTAACTTTATACTTTTCTTTCTTTCTTTCCTTCTTTCTTTCCTTCCTTCCTTCTTTTCTTTCTTTCTTTCTTTCTTTCTTTCTTTCTTTCTTTCTTTCTTTCTCTCTTTCTCCTTTCTCTCTCTCTTTCTTTTCTTTCTTTCTTTCTTTCTTTCTTTCTTTCTTTCTTTCTTTCTTTCTTTCTTTTTTGACAGAGACTCACTCTGTTACTCAGGCTGGAGTGCAGTGGCACAATCTCAGCTCACTGCATTCTCTGCCTTCCAGATTCAAGCAATTCCCTGCCTCAGCCTGCCGAGTAGCTGGGATTACAAGTGCCCACTGCCACACCCGACTAATTTTTGTATTTTAGTAGAGACGCGATTTCACCTTCTTGGCCAGGCTGGTCTTGAACTCCAGACCTCTTGATCCACCCACCTTGGCCTCCCAAAATGCTGGGATTACAGGTGTGAGCCACCGCACCTGACCAACTCTATACTTCCTTTCTAAAGCTATGGTGGCTATTTATGGTGGCTTGAGATTTTATGTAAATTTTAGATTTTTTTAATGTTTCAGTAAAAAAGTACCATTGTAATTTTCATAGGGATTACATTGAACCTGTATGTCAATGTAGGCAGTGTTAACATTTTAACAATATGAAGTCATCCGACTCTTGAGCAAGAGTGGGTTCAAAGGTGTATTGCTTAAGTTATGCATATTTTGGGATATGACAGTTTTCTTTCTGATTTTAGCTACTAGTTTCATTTTATTGTGGCCAGAAAGAATACATTGTATAGTCTCAGTCTTCTTAGATGTAATAAGACTTGTTTTGTGTCCTAATGTGTTGTCTATTCTTAAGGGTGTGTCATGTGATTGGGAATATTGTTTATTCTTCTATGGTTGACTGAAAAGCTCTACATATGTCTATTAGGTCTAATTGGTCTTTAATGTTGTTCAAGTTTTCTTTTGTACTGATCTTTTACCTGTTTTTTCTATTTATTATTAAAAGTGGGGTATTAAAGTCTCCCACAATTATTGTGTTGATGTATATTTCTTGCTTTGCTTTGGTCAATATTTACTTTACATATTTGGGAACCCTTATATTATGTGCATATTTATATTTATACCTCCTAGAGATTCCTGGCAAATAGACTCTTTTATCATTATATCATATTATTCCTTGTCTCTTTTGACAGTTTTAATCTGAGGCACATTTGGGTTAAAATAAGTATGATGACTCTGTCCTATTTTGGTACTATTCATGTGGATTATCTTTTTTCATTCTATTTCTTTCAGCCTATTTAATTCCTTAGACCAAAAGTGAGTCTCCTAAAAACAGCATATTTTTGGATATTGTTTACTGTGAATCCACTTATGCATTTTATGCCTTTTGTATAGAAAGTTTAATGAATTTATATTTAAAGTAATTACTGTAGAAAAAGAATTTCTATTGCCATTCAATTATTTTCTGTTTCTTATAGTTATGTTTTTTTCTCCTTTTCCTTCTTACTGCCTTTTTTTGTGCATTGTTGATTTTGAATGGATATATTTTGATTTCTTTTTTATCTTCTTTTGTGTACTTCCCATAGATATTTTCTTTGTGATCATCAGGAGGAATAGAGAGTATATAAAACACTTTAAAATTATGTAAATATATTTTATCTCATAACAACTTAACTTTAATTGAATACAAAAAACTACCTCTTTACATCTCTTCTTTGCCTTATTATGTTAAAACAATAAAATTTTACCTTATTAATTTTTACAACATATACATTTTTATATTGTGTACTTATTAACAAACATATTTGCAAATTTTTAGTGTTTTTATTTTTACAATTTTATAGCAGAATTATGTGTATTTTATACACTATCATTATGATAATAGAAAATTCTCTATTTTTTGTATATTTACCTTTAACAGAGAGTTCCTTATTTTTACATGGTTTTATAATTAGCTGTCTAGCATTGCTTTATTTTTCAACATAAAAGTCTCTTTTTAGCATTTCTAATATGGATGTTCTAGTGATGATGAACATCATGTATGTTTTTTAAATTTTAGTAACAGGTGGACTTACTATGGCTACTATACTAGTCTTTTAAAACTGCTATAAAAACTATCTGAGACTGAATAATTTATAAATAAAAGAAGTTTAATTGACTGACAGTTCTACAGGCTTAACAGGAAGCATGACTTGGAGGACTCAGGAAACTTACAATTATGGTGGAAGGGAAAGGGAAAACAAGCATGTCCTCATAATGGTGGAGCAGGAGAGAGAAAGAGGGGGGGAAGTGCCACACTTTTCAATCATCAGATCTCGTAAGTAGTCACTCACTATCATGAGAACAGTATGGGGAAAATCCACCCCCATGATCCCATCACCTTTCATCAGGTCCCTCCCTTGACACATGGGGGTTACATCTTGACTTGAGATTTGGGTGGAAGCACAGAGCTAAATCATATCAGTTATATTGTTACTTGTGTTTCCTTTTTGTAGCTATTATTTTTTGTCATTTTCTCCCTTACTGCTTTTCTTGTGTTTCATAGATTCTTTTCTTTTGTAGTGATATGCTTTGGTTCCTTTCTGATTTTCTTTTCTGTATTTCTATGGGTATTTTTGTGGTTATCAGGTTGATTAAATAAAACATCCCGAAGTTACAATATATTTTAAGCTGGTAAAAAATTAACTTTCATTGCATACAAAATGTTCTCTCTGCATCTCTCCTCAAACTTAATTAAACTAAAGAGTTTCTGCACAGCAAAAGAAACTACCATCAGAGTGAACAGGCAACCTACAAAATGGGAGAAAATTTTCACAACTTACTCATGTGACAAAGGGCTAATATCCAGAATCTACAATGAACTCAAACAAATTTACAAGAAAAAAACAAACAACCCCATCAAAAAGTGGGCAAAGGATATGAACAGACACTTTTCAAAAGAAGATATTTATGAAGCCAAAAGACATGAAAAAATGCTCATCATCACTGGCCATTAGAGAAATGCAAATCAAAACCACAATGAGATATCATCTCACACCAGTTAGAATGGCAATCATTAAAAAGTCAGGAAACAACAGGTGCTGGAGAGGATGTGGAGAAATAGGAACACTTTTACACTGTTGGTGGGACTGTAAACTAGTTCGACCACTGTGGAAGTCAGTGTGGCGATTCCTCAGGGATCTAGAACTAGAAATACCATTTGACCCAGCCATCGCATTACTGGGTATATACCCAAATGACTATAAATCATGCTGCTATAAAGAAACATGCACACGTATGTTTATACTGGCACTATTCACAATAGCAAAGACTTGGAACCAACCCAAATGTCCAACAATGATAGACTGGATTAAGAAAATGTGGCACATATACACCATGGAATACTATGCAGCCATAAAAAATGATGAGTTCATGTCCTTTGTAGGGACATGGATGAAATTGGAAACTATCATCTCAGCAAACTATCGCAAGGAGAAAAAACCAAACACTGCATGTTCTCACTCATAGATGGGAATTGAACAATGAGAACACATGGACACAGGAAGGGGAACGTCACACTCTGGGGACTGTTGTGGGGTGGGGGGAGGGGGGAGGGATAGCATTAGGAGATATACCTAACGCTAAATGACGAGTTAATGGGTGCAGCACACCAGCATGACACATGTATACATATGTAACTAACCTGCACATTGTGCACATGTACCCTAAAACTTAAAGTATAATAATAATAAAGAAAAGAAAAAAAACTTAAATTACCTTATATATTTGTTTTTATATTTTTATATAACATATCCATTAAGAAAGGTTTATAATTGTTTTTATGCTCTAGCCATTCAGGTTCTATAAAAGAAATAGAATGCTTTATGCATCATCATTATGATGCTACAGAATTATATATTTGTATATTTATATACCATTCGTAGAAAGCTATACAATTATATCATTTTGTTGTCTTTTTTTAAGGCAGAGTCTCACTGTCCCACAGGCTAGAGTGCAGCAGTTTGACCACAGCTCACTGAAACCTAGAACTCTCAGGCTCAAGTGACCCTCCTCTTTAGCTTTTTGAGTAGCTGAAACCACAGGCCTGCAACACACCATGTCCAGCTAATTTTTAAAATTTTTTGTAGAGATGCAGTCTCAACATGTTGCGCAGGCTGGTCTTGAACTACTGGGCTCAAGCAATTCTTCCATAGTGCTGGGATTACAGGTGTGAACCACCACACCTGGGCTGAGTTTGTGTTTCTGTCTGGCATCTCCTATTCACTCTAGGATGTGAATAGGGGTTGTACATTGTATCTGAGTTCAAGTATAAATGGTGAGAAGAAAAGTAAGAAGCAAGTACCATAGGAAGGTATAGAAGGTGACCAAACAGGTGGGGTGAATAAGTGTCCCTGAGGAGTGTGATATGTGTTGGGTTTTGGTAGATGGAAATTGAGCAGAGAAGAACATTCCAGAAAGAGAGAGGAGACCAGAGGCCCAAATCAGAGACAAATGGGAGGTCAGTGGCAAATTTGGTACCGTTTTTCATAGTAATAAAATTTCTGCACCTGTCTGGGTGCCTGGTCTTCAGTTCTACTTGCAGAATCTCTGCATGCCGTTTAAACTTTTTGAGCTCTGGTGTCTCATTTCAGCCTCTTCTTGTTTTGGAGACAGATCTCAGGTCCGGGAGGCCCAATTTGATGAGCTCTTGAACCAAATGAGGCATCGAAGCCATGAGGAAATACTAAAGTTTCATCTAAGAAAGGCCAAAGATTTTCTGAAGAACATGAAATCCAGGTCGGCTGACGAGATGCCAAAAGACAGAAAAGGCTGGCCTGAAATTTATAATTATGGTCACAGGCAGCCCACTCAGGTGCCTAGCAGCTTAGTCAGCAAGCTAAGGACTAAAGTTTTGCCTCTAACTTAAGGGAGTCTTGTGGTCCTTTGTAGCTTTGCTCTCAGCCCACATAGAAGCTTTAAAAGAGAATGTTGAAACGTTTGTAGAGGATGGTTTTAAGGCAATGTACTTTAAAGTGTGACATAAATTGTGTGTTGAAAAAAGTAAAATTGTTGAGTTTTTTTATGCATAGAAGATAAATTGTTACTATCTTAAGCAAGACTCATAATTATGAGATGTTTTATGTAAGTCTCTTGGTAATTACAAGAAAAAAGTTATAATAGATACAAAAAAGAAAAGAGATCAAAGCATATAACAGTAATAAAAGCAAAAAAAAAAACAAAAACACAAAGGAAGACAGCATAAAAAAAACAAAGAAACTACTAAATGATCAGACAACAATTAACAAAATGACAGTAATATGTACTTACTTATCAATATTTTTAAATATAAAAAGTCAAATTACCCAACAAAAACACATTGCTGTGGTATGAATGTCCCTTCCAAAACTTATGTTGAAATTTAACTCATTGTTATGTAATTAGGAGGATAGACATTTATTAATTTACTAGGTCATGAGGGCTCTACTCCATGAATGAATTAATGTCATTATTTCCAGGATGGATTAGTTATCATGAGAGTGGTTCCGTCATAAAAGAAAGCTCTCTGATATACACCTTCTGCCCTCTTTATGCCTTTGACCATTTTGTGACTTGGAAATATGGTTCTTATCAGATGGCAATGGCATGTTCTTGGACTTTCGGCATCTAAAAAAATGAGCTAAGTAAACTTTCTTCTTTATAAATTGCCCACTCTAGAATATTCTGTTATTGAAACAGAAAATGAACTAAAACATTCACAAAATGTCTAAAGAGATTAAAAACTTCAATGCTATCCCCATCAAGCTACCATTGACTTTCTTCACAGAATTAGGACAAGATATTTTAAATTTCATATAAAACAAAAAAAGAGCTCACATAGACAAGACAATCCTAAGCAAAAAGAACAAAGCTGGAGGCATCATGCTACCTGACTTCAATCTGTACTACAAGGCTACAGCAACCAAAACAGCATTGTACTGGTACCAAAACAGATATATATACCAGTGGAACAGAACAGAGGCCTCAGAAATAACAGCACATATCTACAACCATCTGATCTTTGAGAAACCTGACAAAAACAAGCAATGGGGAAAAGATTTCCTATTTAATAAATGGTGTTGGGAAAACTGGCTAGCTATATGCAGAAAACTGAAACTGGACCCCTTCCTTACACCTTATAAAAAATTAACTCAAGATGGATTAAAGACTTAAACATAAGACCTAAAACCATAAAAACCCTAGAAGAAAACCTAGGCAATACAATTCAGGACATAGGCATTGGCAAATACTTTGTGACTAAATCAGCAAAAGCAATGGCAACAGAAGCCAAAATTGACAAATGGAATCTAATTAAGCCATCTCACACCCGTTTGAATGGCGATCATTAAAAAGTCAGGAAACAACAGATGCTTAAGATCATGTGGAGAAATACGAACGCTTTTACATTGTTGGTGGGAGTGTAAATTAGTTCAACCGTTGTGAAAGATAGTGTGGTGATTCCTCAAGGATCTTGAACCAGAAATACCACTTGACCCAGAAATCTCATTACTGGGTATATACCCAAAGGATTATAAATCATTATACTATAAATGCACACAATAAACATGCACACGTACATTTATTGCAGCACTTTTCACAATAGCAAAGACTTGGAACCAACCCAAATGCCCATTAATGATAGACTGGATAAAGAAAATGTGGCACATATACACCATGGAATACTATGCAGCCATAAAAAAGGATGAGTTCATGTCGTTTGCAGTGGCATGGTTGAAGCTGGGAGCCATGATTCTCAGCAAACTAACACAAGAACAGAAAACCAAACACCACATGTTCTCACTCATAAGTGGGAGTTGAACAATGAGATCACATGGACACAGCGAAGAGAACATCACACACCAGGGCCTGTCATGAGGTGGGGGGATAGGGGAGGGATAGCATTAGGAGAAATACCTAATGTAGATGACAAGTTAATGGGTGTAGCAAACCACCATGGCACGTGTATACCTAAGTAACAAACCTGCATGTTCTGCACATGTACCCAAGAACTTAAAGTATAATAAAAAAAGACATTAAAAAATATAATAGTATGTTGTACACCAGAAACATTTTTTAGATTTAAGGTCACACACAGGTTAATGGTTAAATAATTAAAAAAATTACTATGCCAATAATAACTAAAAGAGTGTATTAGTGGCTATATTTATATCAGACAAAATAGACTTCTAGAAACAATCTGTCACAAGATATAAAGAAGTTCACTATATAATGACAACAAGCTAATTTATCAAAAGGTTATAACAATTTATATATGCATCCAACATTGGAGCACATAAATATGTAGACATATTTATATATGTATATAAAAATATCTATATAATATCTATATAATAATATATATTTTATATATTACTGTAGAAAAAACAGACCATTATGATAATAATGGAAGCTATTATTACTCTACTGAAAGCAATAAATTATTCAGACAGAAAGTTAGAAAGAAAACAATGTACTTGTTGCAGCTACTTGGGAGGCTGAGGCAGGAGCATGGAGTGAACTCGGGAAGGGGAGCTTGCACTCCAGCCTGGACGACAGAGCAAGACTCCGTCTCAAACAAACAAACAAACAAAATCCTTTCAGATCTCTTATTACCCGACTTTAGCCATGTCAAGCAGCCAATATTTCTAGCTTCTGAACTTTACCAAAGGTAACCCCCTAGGTGCTTAGAGAAAGGAAAATTTAAGACAGTCCGACGAGGAGAAGAGAATAGACAAGGTCACTCAGATACTAAACCAGAAATGACTTATTCTGAAGGTGGGGAATCGAACAACAGACAGTCACTGTGAAAGTGCAAGACCCTGACTACTGAGCTACAGCACAGGAAGGTCGGTACTTTGCCTCCCAGAAAAAGTCTAGAGTAGTTAATTTTGAGCTTGAAAATGTTTTTAACCATTTAATATGATTTTTAGAGCTAACTATGACATGAAACTTAAAATTCCTGCTCCCTGAAGGTGGAGACCAAAAGAAAGCACCACCACATGGTTAAAAGATCAAGCTCCCAAGGACATAATACAAGAGCAAAAATACATGTGATAAAACATAGACGTGGTGGAGCCAACATGGCCGAATAGGAACAGCTCCAGTCTACAGCTTCCAGCATGAGCGATGCAGAAGACGGGTGATTTCTGCATCTCCAGCTGAGGTACTGGGTTCATCTCACTGGGGAGTGCCAGATAGTAGGTGCAGGACAGTGGGTGGAGTGCACACTGCATGAGCTGAAGCAGGGCAAGGCATCACCTCACCCAGGAAGCACAAGGGGTCAGGGAATTCCCTTTCCTAGGCAAAGAAAGTGGTGACAGACAGCACCTGGAAAATCGGGTCACTCCCACCCTAATACTGCGCTTTTCCAATGGGCTTAAAAAACGGCACACCAGGAGATTATATCCCGCACATGGCTCAGAGGGTCCTACACCCACGGAGTCTCGCTCATTGGTAGAACAGCAGTCAGAGATCAAACTGCAAGGTGGCAGCGAGGCTGCGGGAGGGGTGCCAGCCATTGCTCAGTTAGTTGTTTGATTAGGTAAACAAAGCAGCTGGGAAGCTCGAATTGGGTGGAGCCCACCACAGCTCAAGGAGGCCTTCCTGCCTCTGTAGGCTCCACCTCTGGGGGCAGGGCACAGACAAACAAAAAGGCAGCAGTAACCTTTGCAGACTTAAATGTCCCTGTCTGACAGCTTTGAAGAGAGTAGTGGTTCTCCCAGCACGCAGCTTGAGATCTGAGGTCGGGCAGACTGCCTCCTCAAGTGGGTCCCTGACCCCCGAGTAGCCTAACTGGGAGGCATCCCCCAGTAGGGGAGGACTGACACCTCACACAGCCGGGTACTCCTCTGAGACAAAACCTCCAGAGGAACCATCAGGCAGCAGCATTTGCGGTTCACCAATATCCGCTGTTCTGCAGCCACCGCTGCACATACCCAGGCAAACAGGATCTGGAGTGGACCTCTAGCAAACTCCAACAGACTTGAAGCTGAGGGTCCTGTCTGTTAGAAGGAAAACTGACAAACAGAAAAGACATCCACACCAAAAACCCATCTGTACGTCACCATCATCAAAGACCAAAGGTAGATAAAACCACAAAGATGGGAAAAAAACAGAGCAGAAAAACTGGAAACTCTAAAAATCAGAGTGCCTCTCCTCCTCCAAAGGAACGCAGCTCCTCACCAGCAATGGAACAAAGCTGGATGGAGAATGACTTTGACAAGATGAGAGAAGAAGGCTTCAGATGATCAAACTACTCCTAGCTACAGGAGGAAATTCGAATCAATGGCAAAGAAGTTAAAACTTTGAAAAAAATTAGATGAATGGATAACTAGAAAACCAATGCAGAGAAGTCCTTAAAGGACCTGATGGAGCTGAAAACCAAGGCACGAGAGCTATGTGACGAATGCAGAAGTCTCAGTAGCCGATGTGATCAACTGGAAGAAAGGGTATGAGCGATGGAAGACGAAATGAATGAAATGAAGCAAGAAGAGAAGTTTAGAGAAAAAAGAATAAGAAGAAATGAACAAAGCCTCCAAGAAATATGGGACTATGTGAAAAGACCAAATCTACGTCTGATTGGTGTACCTGAAAGTGACGGGGAGAATGGAACCAAGTTGGAAAACACTCTGCAGGATATTACCTAGGAGAACTTCCCCAATCTAACAAGGCAGGCCAACATTCAAATTCAGGAAATACAGAAAATGTCACAAAGATATTCCTCGAGAAGAGTAACTCCAAGACACATAATTGTCAGATTCACCAAAGTTGAAATGAAGGAAAAAATGTTAAGGGCAGCCAGAGAGAAAGGTCGGGTTACCCACAAAGGGAAGCCCATCACACTAACAGCCGATATCTCGGTAGAAACTCTACAAGCCAGAAGAGAGTGGGGACCAATATTCAACATTCTTAAAGAAAAGAAATTTCAACCCAGAATCTCATATCAAGCCAAACTAAGCTTCATAAGTGAAGGAGAAATAAAATACTTTACAGACAAGCAAATGTTGAGAGATTTTGTCACCACCAGGCATGCCCTAAAAGAGCTCCTGAAGGAAGCACTAAACATGGAAAGGAACAACCGGTACCAGCCCCTGCAAAAACATGCCAAATTGTAAAGACCATCGAGGCTACGAAGAAACTGCATCAACTAACGAGCAAAATAACCAGCTAACATCATAATGACAGGATCAAAGTCACACGTAACAATATTAACTTTAAATGTAAATGGACTAAATGCTCCAATTAAAAGACACAGTCTGGCAATTTGGATAAACAGTCAAGACCCGTCAGTGTGCTGTATTCAGGAAACCCATCTCATGTGCAGAGACGCACATACACTCAAAATAAAGGGATGGAGGAAGATCTACCAAGCAAATGGAAAACAAACAAATGCAGGGGTTGCAATCCTAGTCTCAGATAAAACAGACTTTAAACCAACAAAGATCAAAAAAGACAAAGAAGGCCATTACATAATGGTAAAGGGATCAATTCAACAAGAAGAGCTAACTATCCTAAATATATATGCACTCAATACAGGAGCACCCAGATTCATAAAGCAAGTCCTTAGTGATCTACAGAGAGACTTAGACTCCTACACAATGATAATGGGAGGCTTTAACACCCCACTGTCAACATTAGACAGATCAACAAGACAGAAAGTTAACAAGGATACCCAGGAATTGAACTCAGCTCTGCACCAAGCGGACCTAATAGACATCTACAGAACTCTCCACCCCAAATTAAGAGAATATACATTCTTTTCAGCACCACACCACACCTATTCCAAAATTGACCACAGAGTTGGAAGTAAAGCACTCCTCAGCAAATGTAAAAGAGCAGAAATTATAATGATCTGTCTCTCAGACCACAGTGCAATCAAACTAGAATTCAAGATTAAGAAACTCACTCAAAACCGCTCAACTACATGGAAACTGAACAACCTGCTCCTGAATGACTACTGGGTAAATAATGAAATGAAGGCAGAAATAAAGATGTTCTTTGAAACCAATGAGAACAAAGACACAACATACCAGAATCTCTGGGACACATTCAAAGCAGTGTGTAGAGGGAAATTTATAGCACTAAATGCCCACAAGAGAAAGCAGGAAAGATCTAAAATTGACACCCTAACATCACAATTAAAAGAACTAGAAAAGCAAGAGCAAACACATTCAAAAGCTAGCAGAAGGCAAGAAATAACTAAGATCAGAGCAGAACTGAAGGAAATAGAGACACAAAAAACCCTTCAAAAAATCAATGAATCCAGGAGCTGGTTTTTTGAAAAGATCAACAAAATTGATAGACTGCTAGCATGAGTAATAAAGAAGAAAAGAGAGAAGAATCAAATAGACGCAATAAAAAATGACAAAGGGGATATCACCACTGATCCCACAGAAATGCAAACTACCATCAGAGAATACTAGAAACACCAGTATGCAAATAAACTAGAAAATGTACAAGAAATGGATAAATTCCTCGACACATACATCCTCCCAAGACTAAACCAGGAAGAAGTTGAATCTCTGAATAGATCAACAACAGGCTCTGAAATTGAGGCAATAATCAATAGCTTACCAACCAAAAAAAGTCTAGGACCAGATGGATTCACAGCCGAATTCTACCAGAGGTACAAAGAGGAGCTGGTACCATTCCTTCTGAAACTATTCGAATCAACAGAAAAAGAGGGAATCCTCCCTGACTCATTTTATGAGGCCAGCATCATCCTGATACCAAAGTCTGGCAGAGACACAACCAAAAAAGAGAATTTTAGACCAATATCCTTGATGAACATCAATGCAAAAATCCTCAGTAAAATATTGGCAAACCGAAACCAGCAGCACATCAAAAAGCTTATCCACCATGATCAAGTGTGCTTCATCCCTGGGATGCCAGGCTGGTTCAACATATGAAAATCAATAAATGTAATCCCACAAATAAACAGAACCAAAGACAAAAACCACATGATTATCTCAATAGATGCAGAAAAGGCCTTTGACAAAATTCAACAACCTTCATGCTAAAAACTCTCAATAAATTAGGTATTGATGGGATGTATCTCAAAATAATAAGAGCCGTCTATGACAAACCCACAGCCAACATCATACTGAATGAGCAAAAACTGGAAGCATTCCCTTTGAAAACTGGCACAAGACAGGGATGCCCTCTCTCACCACTCCTATTCAACATAGTGTTGGAAGTTCTGGCCAGGGCAATCAGGCAGGAGAAGGAAATAAAGGGTATTCAATTAGGAAAAGAGGAAGTCAAATTGTCCCTGTTTGCAGATGACATGATTGTATATCTAGAAAACCCCCATCATCTCAGCCCAAAATCTCCTCAAGCTGATAAACAACTTCAGCAAAGTCTCAGGATACAAAACCCATTTACAAAAATCACTAGCATTCTTATACACCAATAACAGACAAACAGAGAGCCAAATTATGAGTGAACTCCCATTCACAATTGCTTCAAAGAGAATCAAATACCTAGGAATCCAACTTACAAGGGATGGGAAGGACCTCTTCAAGGAGAACTACAAACCACTTCTCAAGGAAATAAAAGAGGATACAAACAAATGGAAGAACATTCCATGCTCATGGGTAGGAAGAATCAATATCGTGAAAATGGCCATACTGCCCAAGGTATTTATAAATTCAATGCCATCCCCATCAAGCTACCAATGACTTTCTTCACACAATTGGAAAAAACTACTTTAAGGTTCATATGGAACCAAAAAAGAGCCCACATCAACAAGTCAATCCTAAGCCAAAAGAACAAAGCTGGAGGCATCATGCTACCTGACTTCAAACTATACTACAAGGCTACAGTAACCAAAACAGCATGGTACTGGTACCAAAACAGAGATATAGACCAATGGAACAGAACAGAGCCCTCAGAAATAGTGCTGCATATCTACAACAATCTGATCTTTGACAAACCTGACAAAAGCAAGAAATGGGGAAAGGATTCCCTCTTTAATAAATGGTGCTCGGAAAACTGGCTAGCTATATGGAGAGAGCTGAAATTGGATCCCTTCCTTACACCTTATACAAAAATTAATTCAAGATGGATTAAAGACTGAAATGTTAGACCTAAAACCATAAAAACCCTAGAAGAAAACCTAGGCAATACCTTTCAGGACATAGGCACAGGCAAGGACTTCATGTCTAAAACACCAAAAGCAATGGCAACAAAAGCCAAAATTGACAAATGAGATCTAATTGAACTAATGAGCTTCTGCACAGCAAAAGAAACCACCATCAGAGTGAACATGCAACCTACAGAATGGGAGAAAATTTTTGCAACCTATTCATCTGACAAAGGGCTAATATCCGGAATCTACAATGAACTCAAACAAATTTAGAAGAAAAAAGCAACCCCATCAAAAAGTGGGCAAAGGGCATGAGCAGACACTTCTCAAAAGACGACATTTATGCAGTCAAAAAACACATGAAAAAATGCTCATCATCACTGGCCATCAGAGAAATGCACATCAAAACCACAATGAGATACCATCTCACACCAGTTAGAATGGTGATCATTAAAAAGTCAGGAAACAACAGGTGCTGGAGAGGATGTGGAGAAATAGGAACACTTTTGCACTGTTGGTGGGACTGTAAACTAGTTGAACCATTGTGGAAGTCAGTGTGGTGACTCCTCAGGGACCTAGAACTAGAAGTACCATTTGACCCAGTCATCCCATCACTGGGTATATACCCAAAGGATTATAAATCATGCTGCTATAAAGACACATGCACACGTATGTTTATACCTGCACTATTCACAATAGCAAAGACTTGGAACCAACCTAAATGTCCAACAACAATAGACTGGATTAAGAAAATGTGGCACATATACACCATGGAATACTATGCAGCCATAAAAAATGATGAGTTCATGTCCTTTGTAGGGACATGGATGAAACTGGAAACCATCATTCTCAGCAAACTATCGCAAGGACAAAAAAAATCAAACACCACATGTTCTCACTCATAGGTGGGAATTGAACAATGAGAACACATGGACGCAGGAAGGGGAACATCACACACCGGGGCCTGTTGTGGGGTAGGGGGAGGGGGGAGGGATAGCATTAGGAGATATACCTAATGCTAAATGACCAGTTAATGGGTGTAGCACACCAACACAGCACATGTATACATATGTAACAAACCTGCACGTTGTGCACATGTACCCTAAAACTTAAAGAATAATAATAATCAAAAGGAAAGAAAACAATGTACTTGCATAGCACTATAGAACAAGTGCACCTAATAGATATACACAGAAGATTTCATCCAGCAGTATTTGAATACACATTCTTCTCAAGCACACATGGAACGTTATCCAGGATATATCATATGTTGGGCCAACAACAACAACAAAATCTCTCCAAATTTAGAAAGAAGAAATTTATATCAACGTTTTAAATCACAGTTTTATAAAACTAGAAAACAATAACAGAAAAAATTTAGAAACTCACAAATATGTGGATATTAAACAACATGTTCCTGAACAACAAATGGGTCAAAGTGGAAAAGAGAAAGGAAATCACAAAGTATCTTCAGAAAAATAGAAATAAAAACACAACATACAACATCTTCTGGGATGCAAAAAAGCCATTGTTATACAAGAGTTTACAGTGATATATTTCTATAATAAGAAGAAAGAAAGATCTTAAATAAACAACGTGACTTTGATTTGCAAAAGCCTTGGAAAAAACTAATTAATCCTAATGTTAGCATAATAAACAAAATAATAAAAATTAGAACAGAAAGAGATTCAATAAAAGACAACAGAAAAGATAAAAGCAGAGAAATAATTTACATATAAAATTTATCTAAATTAAATAATTTAAGAAAAATGAGAGGGGTAAATTTTATTTTTTATTTTCAAGTTGAAACATTAAGTCTCTTATTTTTATTTTATTTTGTGTTTATGCTTACAATAAACGGTTCCTAAAATTTTATCCTTAACTCATAGACATTCAATTTGTCTATAGGGTTTGTATTAGGTACCTAAGGTGTGGCCTTGGGTTTGTGAAAGAGGATTTGTGGAGAAGAAAAAAGCAGACTAAGAGAAAGTGATACAAAAAACCCATGGGAAGGGGACAGTGCACAGTTGGTGAAAGGACTGGTTAGTGCTACAAACACTGTTCCACGCAGGGTAACTCTGATTTCTAAATGTGTGTATGCAGGCAGATGAGAGAGACAGAGGGCCTAGAAGCCTAGGATAGTGGAGAAAATAGGTCACTGGTGCAGATACAAGATGTGGGCATAGAAGTAAGCCACAAGTCTTCTGGGCACTTACGTAGCCTATTAGTAGGAAACTCTAGATGCAGAGGTTCAGCACAGTTCCTGAGGGTGAAGCCTTGTTATGGGAGGGGTGAAGCTACATCATTGCCTAGTGTGCATGTGCATGAGTGTGCAGGAATCACTTTATAGCAGCAGGGTGGGGAGAGGAGTCTTCCCTCAGAACTCCATCCCTTTTAGTCCTCAATTCCCTCTGACCCTGGATAAGACCTCTTATCACAAGACAATTCACATTGTGACAGCATGTGTGTAAAAAAATAGAGTCTTTATTCCCCAAAAGACCCACAGTATACCTCCAGCCAAGGTTGCTGTGATATCTTTGTTCTAAGACCAAATATATGGAGTTTGTTGAACACCAACCAATTCATCAACACCAACTGGGAGTTTAACAACCTAATTCTGACACCACCCAGATTCGGCATAGACCCCGAAGTTCAGGACTCAGTCCCACATTATCCCCACTGCACATGCCTGTCACAACCAATATGGTCACATCCATGCTTCTGAGCAGCTATCTATAAATCATAAGCTCCCATAACCCTCTTCGTCAAGCTTAATAATTGAGAAATTACTCACAGAACTTGGCAAAATATTTCACCTGTTTACCAGGTTATTATAATAAATACAATTCAGAAAAAGCCAAATGCTAAGAATGGATACAGCAAAGAAAAGTAGAAAAGAAAGATGGGTTGGGTAGCGAGTCCTGGTAAATAGTGATGTAAGAAAACTCTCTAATTCTTTGTGTTCTGTGAGAACAGCTTATTGCAAAGAAACACCTTTACCATTGTGACCTAGATGGTACATCCTCTTTTAGATATCACAGATTCGCAGATTCTCCACATTCCCATTTGTTCCTCATAAACAATTAAATACTTTTGTCTTCAGAGTTCAGAAGAAAATACTTGTTAGGCTCAGTTTGCTTGTTTCTTTTTTCCCCCAGGCCCCTGGCCTCTGCTCCACCTTCAGTCTGAGTAAACATACAACCCCTCTTTATACCCCTCCCAAGAACAGGCTGATTTCAAGGTGAAACCTTCTCTAATCTTGAATGGATTTTGCCACTCTGCATTGTTCCCTTCCTCTCCCACCCTTCTTTCTAATGAGGCTCTCTCTTCCATTCGAAAGACAGCTCTTTTCTGCCTAGTATTTTAGATGTTTGCAGATATTATGCTTGATGCTTCCACTATTGCAATACTCCTTTAGGATAAAGTCTCTAAATTTATTTTATTTGAAAATATCTAGAAATAGCCCCAGGACAATAACAATTACACCCTCACAGAGAACATCTCAGTCCTCCTCCCATCTCAAATCTCACTGCATCTGCTTTGACTCTCATAACTGGGCTTCGAGCAATGGGTAAGGTCCTGGGCCTTCTAATTGTATGGAGGTCAGAGGATTATAAAACCCACGCATATCGAATATGCCCCTTGAGTGGTACAGAGAGTTTCATAACAGGACCCAGTTCACAGGTGAGATATAGAGACCTGGATGACCACACAGCCAAACGTTGAAATTGTCACATGCCCACATGTACACAGCCCACAACTGAGGTTCTAAGCCTCACACCCATGGGCAGCCAAAGGTTGAAGTTGTGACTCTTACATATCGATCCAGTCCACAGGTGAAATGGTGACTCTCCCACCAAGATTCAGCACAGCATTGAGGCTGTGACTCCCTTACCAGGACACAACTTGCAGAAGGGATTGGGGCTCTCACATGAGGATGCATTCCGCTGTTGAGATTGTGACTCATGTACTTGGACCCAACTCACAGGAGCTGTTGACTGTTCTACTTGGAGTGGGTAAATATGTGGGATTGGGGGTCTCATTTCTGGGCCTTCCCACAGGTATAATTGTGACATACACCTCCACCTAGAACCTTAGTGATTTGACAGTTCTTTTGAGCTCAGCACAGAGATATCTTGTGACTTATACCTGGGACAAACACCTAGGTGATGTGACTATTTTGCCTAGACACTTCCCTCAAAGGAATTGTGATATATCTCTCTACTTTGAACATAGGTGATGTAAAGCTTTTCCCCTAACTGGACCCTGCCCACAGGTAAGGTTATAATATATCACTAAGCCTAGTACTTAATGATGTGACTGTCTGATCCTGTTTGTGCCCTGGCCTCAAGAAGCATAATGACATATCACTGGGCTAAGCAACAAGGTAATGTTGCTTATGTGTGCCTTTGGTCTGGCCCATGTGCACAGGGGGCATTGGGAAATATCTCTGTACCAATCACCTAAAAGATATGACTCTCCTCACTTGCCTGGACTCTGCTCACAATAGAGATTTTGACAAATCACTGGGTTCAGCACCTAGGTGATGTGGCTCTTCCTTCTTTCCTGGGCTCTTCCATCAGAAAAGATTGTGATGTTTTCTGAGCCCAGCACACAAGTGAGGTGACTTATCTCCCTGGGACCTCCCCACAGAGAGCATTGTGAAATATCTTTGGGATCATCACCTAGGTAATGTGAATCGCCTCTGCTTCATGGGCTTTGCACTCAAAAGGGCTTGTGACTTTTCACAGAAAGCAGCACCCAGGTGACTTGATTCTTTTGGATGGGGGGCTGGGATCTGCCAACAGGAATAATTTTTACATGTTGCTTGTCTAAACCCTAGGTAATATGACTCTTCTTTCCTGCTGGGATCCTGCCCACTGTGTATTGTGACATATCTCTGGGCCCAGCACAGAGGAGTTGAGACACTCCTTCCTTGGCACTGCCCTAAGGGGACATTATGCCATATCTAGATGATGTGACTCTCCTCTCTTGCCTGGAACCTTTTTACAGTTGGCATTGTAACATATTGCTGGGTCCAGCACCAGGTGATGTTATTGTTATCCCAGGGCCCAGCCCACAAATGAAATTGTGGCATATCTCTGGGCCCATCACCTAGGTGATTTGACTCTGCTCTTCTGCCTGGACACTTTCCACAAAAGGAATTGGGACATATTGTTGGGCCCAGCTCCCAGATGATGTAACTGTCCTGCCTCGGCCCCTGTGCACAGGGGGCATTTTGACATACTTCTTGGCCAAGCAGCTGGGTGATATGACTCTCCCGAATGGGCTATTCTCCCAGAGAGAATTGTGATGCATCACTGGGCCAATCATGTAGGTGATGTGTCTCTCCTCTGTTGCCTAGACCTTGCCCAAAATAAGAATTGGGACATATCACCTGATCCAGCACCTAGGTGATGTGACTTTTGGGTCTGTCCCTGCACACAGGTGAAATTGTGAAATATATATATTCATAGCTTAAAGGTGGTATGATGACTGTCATATACAGAACAAGCTAAGAGAAGAGATTTTGACTCTCATAGCTAGGCTTAGGGCAACAGGCATTGTCCTACGTCTCCTACTTTAACGAAGGTCATAGTGTATTATGGGCACCAAAGCACAATGTATTAAGCCCTCAGGTGGTACAGAGAGTGTCATAACAGGACCCAGCAAAAAGGTGAGATTGTGACTCTCATATGTACAACCAGCTGACAGAATTGTCAACCTCACACATGGACAGTGCCCAATGGTGAGGTCTTAAATCTCACATGCAAGCCCAATTCATATTTGGAATTGTGACTGTCATACATAGATGCAGCCACAGGTGAGATAGTGACTTATTTTTGAACCCATCTCACAGGCATAGCAATAAAACTTATACCTGGGCCCAGTCAACAAGAGAAATTCACAATCCTGTGCATTTTCCAGCTAAAGGTATAAGAGTCAGCCCCTCTTGTGGGTTGAGTCCAAGTATGCAAGTTAGTCCACAACAGTGGACTAAATCAGTGAACGAGAGCCCAAAGCTCACCTGAAGACTGTGTTTTAATAGGGGAAACACAGTCCCCAGGTGTTCTAAATCATGGTCTTGAAGTTATCATCCCATCTGTGGATTGGATTGTCATATGAGATTCACAATTCCAACTTATGGCTTCTTGGCGTGTGACCAGAACCTCAACATTGGGCTCTGTTCACGTCAGAGGGTAATGATCCTTATTTTTGGCTGGGTGTGCATACAACTGCCACAATTTCACCTGTGTGATGAACTACATTATGGCACTCTTGGAGCACTTGATGGCTTTATACAATGTGCATGAAGGTCAAAATACTCCATGACCACCCTACAAGTTGAAGACACAGGACCTTCATTTTTGCCCTAAGACTAACTACAAGAGTCAAATATTTTCACGTATGAGTCATCATCCCACCTGTAAGCTGCACCCATGTATATTTCACAATTCCAGTTGTGGGGAGAGACAAGGCACCAGAGTCACATCACCCGGGTGCTGGTCAGAGATATGTCACAATTGCCACTTTGGGCAGGATCTAGGCAGCAGAGGAGAGCCCCATCACCCAGGTGATTGGCCCAGTGAGAGGTCAAAATCCCCCCTGGGAGCAGGGGCAATTCAGGAAGGTTTCATCACCTATGTCCTTGTCCCAGCAATATGTCACAATACCCTCTGTGGCATTGTTATATCACCTGGGAGCTGGACTTGCTGATATGGTACAGTTATATCACCCAGGAGCTGGACCTGGTGATATGCTACAATGCCTCTTAGGGGCAGGTTCTGGCAGGAAGGCAGAGTTACATCACCTAGGTGACAGGCCCAGGGATATTTCACAATCCCTTCTCTAATTAGAACCCAGGCAGAAAAGTTACATCATTTGCATTAAGGGTCCAGTGATATGTCACAATCTCAACTAAGGGCAGGGCCCAGGCAGGAAAGGAGAGTCACTTCACTTTGATGACTGACCCAGAGATACATCATAATTTCCCTTGAGGGCAGGGCTCATGCTGAAGAGGCACATAAATAAAGTGCATGGTCCAGGTGTATGTGACAATCTCAACTGTACACTGGGCCCAGGCAAAAAAGTAAAATTAACCAGGTGCTGGGAAAAGGTATATGTCACAATCACACCTTCGAAAAGTTTAGGGATAAGATTCAAAATCTTACAAATGTCCTAGCTTCACTTATGACAGTCAACATATCTTGTGAGGTGCGTTGAAGTACTCAAGTCACAACCTCAACAGTGGACTTGATCTGTGCATGAGAATCTGAACCCCTCTTGCAGACAGTGTCCCAGTAAGGGAGTCACGGCCTCACAGGTGTTCTGAATCTTGGTGTGAGAGTCACTATCCTACCTGTGGACTGCATCCATGTATGAGAGTCAAAGTTCCAACTTTTGACTGCCTCTGAGTGTGAGATTCAGAATGTCATAAGTAGGCTGGGTTTTTGTGGGAGGGTGAGAATCTTTACTGTGAGCCAGGTGTGCATATGAGAGTCACAGTCTCACCAGTTTGCTGGTTCCTGTTATGAAACTGTCTGTACCACCTGATGGTTTTACATGGTATATGTGAGAGTCACAATCTGCTTTGAGGTTTTTGTGCTTTCCCAGGTGTATGTTACAATCTGAAATTTATGATTATCCCCATTGCCCTGAGACCAGGCATGACCGTCAACATCTCTCCTGTTTATTGGGTTCAGGTATGACAGCAATTTATGTTCCTGTGATTTAGGTACAGAAATGGGTCAACAGCCCTCCTGTGGCTCAATCCACATGTGACAGGCACAATTCCAACAGTGGACTGTATATTTCGGTGAGGCTCAGGTACTCATTATTCTGCTCTGTCCATGTGTATGGGTGACAAATGTAACAGTCAGCTGGGTGTTCATACAATAGTGACAATCTCAATGTTGTGCTGGGTACTATTAAGACATTCACTGTACCATCTGAGGGCTTTACACAATATGTGTGTGTGTGGTAATCACCTGTTATTATTATTTTTTTAAAGTAGAAAACTCAGGACTTTATTTTTTGGCTTAAGCCTAGCTATGAGAGTCAACAGCTCTCTTATTGGCTGGGTGCAGGTATAAGAGTCATCACTGGGCCTGTAAGCTGGGTATAGATATGACTCACCGTCCGATCTTTGGCCAGATTCACATTTGACCGTCAATATTTTAACTGTGTATTGTGTCCCCATATGAAAGTTACGACCTCACCAGTAAGTTTGGTCAATTTGTGAGGGAAACAATGCTAATTGTCATTTGGGTGTGCCCACAGAGTCACAGTTTTACCCCTGTGCTGGGCCCTGCTATGACATGCTCTATATCACCCAAGGGCTTTATAGAATATGCATGAGTATTGTAATGCATCCATCTTTCTACATGTAGAAGACCTGGATCCTTGCCTGTTTCCCTAAGCCTGACTATAAGAGTCAAAATCTCTTCTATTTGCTAGTCCACATATAAGAGAGTCTTCATCATACCTGTGGGCTGGACCTAATTATATGTGACAATCCCACCTGTGGGCAAAGACCAGGAGGGACAGTCACATCAACTAGGTGCTGGGCCAGTGATATGTCAATATTTTTCCTGTGTGCAGGGTCCTGGCAATAAAAATTGTATCTTCTGAGTGCTAGGCAAAGCAATATGTCACAATCCACCCTGTAAACATGTTTCAGGCAGAAGACAGTCATGTCACCTAGGTGATGGTCCCAGTAACATGTCATCATTCCTACTGTAAACAAATTCAAGACAAAGAAAATGGTCAGATAACATAGGTGATGGGCCCAGAGATATCTCACAATGACCCTTGTGGACTGGCCCAGGCAGAATGGGAGAGCCACATTACCTAGGTGATTGGGCCAGAGATATGTCACTTTTTCCCCAGAGGGCAGAGTCCAGGCAGGAAAGTCACATATTCTAGGTGCTAAACCTAAGTATATTTTACAATCTAAATTGTAGACTGGGCCTAGGCAAAAGATTAAATCAGTCAGATACTGAGCAAAAGTGTATGTCACAGTCACACCCCTGTAAAGGCCCAGAGATAAAATTTGCAATCTCTAATATGCCCCAGCTTTGGATTCAGAGGCAATAGTTCCTGTGAGTTGCACCCAAAAGGCAGGTAACAACCTTAACAGTAGACTGAGTCCGTGCATGAGAGTCCCAATCTCACCTGCAGACAGTGTCCCAGTAAAAAATAAAAACATCACAAAGTGCTGAACCTTGGTCCAGAGTCACCATCCTACTTGTACATAGAATCCCTATATGACAGTAACAATTTCAGCTTTTGACTGACTCTAGATGTGAGATTCAGAAGCTTAACAGTGGGCTGTGTTCATTTGGAAATTGACAATGCTTTGGCTGGGAGTGCATATGAGAGTAACAATCTCACTGGTATTTTGGGCCATTTTATGATGTTCTGTGTGCCACCTGAGGGCTTTAAAAAATAGGAATGAGTCACAATACTTGGCCTGGTGTGGTGGCTCACGCCTGTAATCTCAGCACTTTGGGAGGCTGAGGTTGGCATATCATGAGGTCAGGAGTTCAAGACCAGCCTGACCAACATGATGAAACCTCATCTCTACTAAATAAAAATACAAAAATTAGCCGGGCGTGGTAGCACATGCCTGTAATCCCAGCTACTCAGGAGGCTGAGGCAGGAGAATCATTTAAACCCAAGAGGTGGGGGTTGCAGTGAGTCAAGTTCGTGGCACTGGACTCCAGCCTGGGTGACAGAGTGAGACTCCATTTCAAAAAAATATGTCACAATACTGAGACCTGTATGCTTGTGTGGACACATGATCTTACACATTGCTTTAAGCCCAGAGAGGAGAGTCAGCATCTCTCCTATTGGCTGTGTCCAGGACTAATATTTATCACTGTCCCTGTGAGTGGGGTCCAGAAATAAGTCAGCATCACACCTGTGGCAGTCACAATGTCAACTGTAGGCTGCATCCACGAAAGATTTAGCATCTCAGCAGTGGGCACTGTCTGTATGTGAGGGTGACAATCTTAACTTTTGACTGGATGTGTATGTGAAAGTAACAACCTCAACTGTGTGCTGGGCCCTGTCTGAGCATACTCTGTACCACCTGAGAGAATTGTATCATATGTCAGGGTTTCATATTTCTCTGTGACCTCTGTACAGGTAGGAAACTCAGGACCTTACCCATTGCTCTAAGGCTAGGTACGAGTCAACGTATGTTATTGGCTTGGTCTAAGTATGAGAGTCAACACCATGCTTGTAAGCTGGATCCAGAAATTAGTCATCATCCAGCCTGAAGGCAGATCCACATATGACAGTCACAGTTTCAACTCTGAACTGCATCCATGTGTGAGATTTAGAATCTCACTAGTGGACTCTGTCCATGTATGAAGGTGACAATCCTAATTGTTGGCTACATGTGTCTTCAAGAGTCACAAGCTCACCTGTTTGCTGGGGCCTGTTATGTAACTCTCTATACACCCCGAGGGCTTTATAAAATACATGTGAGTGTCATAATCTTCTGTGACCTTTTATAATTAGTAGACCAAGGACCTTCGTTGTTGCCCTAAGCCTAGCTATTAGAGTCAAAACTTCTCCTATTGGCTTGGTCCATGTAAGAAAGCCATGATCATGACAGTTGCCTGGGCCTCAGTATAAGTCAAAACCCCACCTGTGAGCAGAACCAGGGAGGAAAGCCACATCACCTGAATGCTGGGCCAGGGAAATGTCAATATCCCTCCATGGGCAGGACCCACACAGGAAAGTCACATCGCCTTTGTGCTAGGCTCAATGATATGTCACAATGCCCCCTGTAGGCAGAACCCAGTCAAAAGAGTCACATCACCTAGGTGCTGGACCAGCAATATGTCACAGTCCTCCCTCTTCATGAGGCCTAGTCATGAGAGAAGAGTCATACCACCTGGGAAATATGCTGGTATTTCTGTTACTGGAGGCAGGGCACAGGCAGTAGAATCTCATCACCTAGGTGATGGGCTCAGAGATACCTTACAATACCCCTTCTGGGCAAGGCCCAGACAGGACAGTCACATCATCTAGGTGTTTGGGTTAGGTATAAGTCAGAACAACCCAACTGTTGGCAGGGTTCATGCAGGGAAGAAAAGTCAATTAAGTGCTGAGAAAAAATTATGTCAAAGTCACATATGCTGGAAGGCTCTGGGATGAGATTCACAGTCCCACACAGTTTCTGGATCAAGGCATAAGAGACAACATCTGTGATTTGTGTTAAGGTACACAGATCACAATATCAGTGATGGACAGAATTCATGCATGAAAGCTCCAACATCACCTGCCAAAACTGTCCAATTAGGGCAGTCACTGCCTCACAGTTGTGTTGAGTTTATACCCAAACTCACCATTGGTATAAAAGTCACCATTCTACCTGTGAAATTGATCCATGTATGAGAGTCACAATGTCAACTTTCAACTGATCTGGATGTGATATTCAGAACCTGAATAATGGGCTATGTCTATATGGGAAGATGACATTCCTGACTGTATGTTGTGTGTGCATAGAAGAGTCACAATGTTACCTCTGTGGTGGGTCTCTATAAGACACCCCTTGTGCCATGTAAGAGCTTCATATGATCTGCATGAGAGTGAAACCTGCTCTGAGAACTTACTGATGGTATAAACCCATGATCCTACATGTTGCCCTAAGTTCAGGCATGAGAGTCAATGTGTGTCCTATTTGCTGGGTCCAGGTATGAGAGTCATCAGTGTGCCTGTGAACTGGGTCCAGAAATGAGCCATCATCTCATTTTTGGATGGATCCAGATATGAGAGTCACAATTCCAACTGTGAGTTGTTTCTGTGAGTGAGATCCAGGACCTCATGAGTGGGCTCTGTTCACATTTAATCTTAATTGTGGTCTGTGTGCATACAAGAGTCACAATCAGAATTTTGAGCTGGGCTCTGTTTTAACACTCTCTGTTCCACCTTAGGGCATTATACAACATGCATGAATGTTGTAATTCTTTAAGTCCTCTGTAAAAGTATGAAGCCCAGGATCTTATCTGTTGCTGTTAAGCCTTGATGCAAGAGTCAACATCTCTCATATTTTCTGGGATTAGGCATGAGAGACATTGACATGCCTATGAACTGGGTCCAGAAATGGGTCACCTTCCACTCTGTCTCTAGATCAACATATAACAGTCCCAATTCTAACTGTGGACTGCTTGCACATGTGAGGTGCAGATCCTCACCAATGGACTTTGTCCATGTGTGAGAGTGACAATCCCAACTGTTGGATAGTGTGCCCATGAGAGGCAAAATTTTACCTCTGTAATGGACTCTGATAAGACCCAAGTATTTTATACAATATTCATGAGTGTCATACTCATCTGTAATCTTTATACAATTAGGAGACTCAGAGCCTTACTGATTGTTCTAAGCTTAGGCATGAGAGCCAAAATCTCTTCTTTTGGCTGGGCTCTCATATGACAGTCATCATTATTCCTGTGACCTGAACCTAGATATGTGTCACAATCCTACCTGTCAACAGAACCAGGCAGAAGAGTCGCATCACCTGAATACCGAGCCAGAGATATATTAGTATCCCCCTGTGAGTTTGGTGCTGGTAAAAATTCACATCACTATGGTGCTGGGACCAGTGATTTGTTACAATGTCCCCTGTGTGCAGAACAGGCTGAAGGATTACATTGCATGAGTGCTGGGCTCAGCAATGTGTCACAATCACCTTTGGGAATGGGGCCTGGGCAGGGGAGGATAATCACATCACCTGGAAATGAGACCAGAGGTATATCACAGTGCCACCTGTGAGAAGGGACTATGCAGGAGGGCCACATTACCAAGGTTATTGGCTTAGGTATATGTCACAATCTAAACTGTGGGCTTTCTTCAGGTGGTATATTCAAATCAGTCAAGTTCTGGTTGGGCAAAACTATATGTCACAGTGACACCTGTGGGAAGGTCTAGGAATGGAACTTACATTCCTGCACATATTCTGGCTCTGGGTATAAAAAGTATGCACCTCATAAACTTTTACATGCCTCATGTGTCCAAGTATGCAAGTCATAATTTCAACAGTAAATTGGATCCATGCATGAAAGCCTCAACCTCAGACAACACACAATAGGAGAGTTAGAAACCTAACATATTTGTGGAATCTTGGTCAGAGACTCATCAACTCACTTGAAGACTGGATCCACATATAAGCATAATAATGCCAACTTTTGACTGCATTTGGGCATGAAATTCAACAGTGGACTGTGTCCATGTGGGAGTGTGAAAATCTTTACTGTTGGCAGTGTATGCAATGAGAGTCAAACCCTCAACACTGTACTGGGCCTTGTTTTATTATTCTTTGCACCACCTGTGGCTTTTTATGATATGTTTGAGACTTGCAATCCACTCTGAAACCTTGTGCTTATATAAACCCATGATCTTACTTGTTACTCCAAGCCCAGAAATGAGATTCAACATGCCTTCTATTGACTGGTTCAGATATGAGTCATTACCATGCCTGTGAGCTAGGTCCAGCAATGAGTCACCCATTTTACCTATGGCCAGATTCACATATGACAGTCAAAATTCCAACTGTGGACTGTGTCTATGAGTGAGATTCAGGGCCTTAACAGTTTGTTATGTCCGGGTGTGAGATTGACAATTTTAACTGTTGGCTGTGTGCTGGGCCCTGTAATGACACTCTGTGTACCATTAAAGGGCATTATAGAATATGCACAAGCTTCCTAATACTTTGTGATCTTTCCAAATATAGGAGTCTGAAGTCATGATACATTGCCATAAACCCAGCTAGAAGAGTCAGAATTTCTTCTATTGGTTGTGTCCATGTATGATAGTCATTATTATGCCTGTGAACTGGACCCAGGTATATGTGACAATACCACCTGTAGGCAGGGACCAGAAAGGAGAGCCACATTACGTGAATGCTGGGCCAGAGATATGTCAGTATCCATTTTGAGAGAAGAGCCCTGGCAGGAAAGTCACATCACCTGGCTGCTGAGCTTAATGATATGTCACAATACTCTTTGTGGGCGGGGACAAGACAGGAGAGTCAAATTACCTGGGTCCTGGTTTCAGCAATATGTCACAAATTACCCTGTGGACAGAGCTCAGGAAAAAAGCGAAGAGTCATATGACCTAGGTGATAGGCACAGAGATATGTCACAATGCCTCTGAGAAAGGGGCTCAGGTAGAAGAGTTATGTCACCAGAAAATATGGCCCAGGTAGATTTCTCAATCCCAACTATAGACATTGCTTAGACAGGAGAGCCACATCACCTGAGTGCTTGGCCCATTGATTTGTCACAATCTTTTTGGCAGGGAAAGTCCAGGCAAAAAAGAATAGTCAAATCTACCAGGTGCTGGGCCCAGTAATACGTCACAATAACCCAGGTAAGCAGGTCCAAGGCAAAAGAGAAGAGTCATATCACCTAGGTGATAGACCCAGGGTTATGTCAAAATTTCAAATGGGGATGGGGCCCAGACAGGAGAGAGGAGAGTCACATCACCTAGGTGATGGACCCAGGGTTATGTCAAAATTTCAAATAGGGATGGGGCCCAGACAGAAGAGGACAGTCACATCACCTAGGTGATGGACCCAGTGATATGTCACAAAGCCCCTTGTGGGCTGAGCCCAGGCCAGAGAGGAGAGTCACATCACTTAGGTGATTTGTGCATAAACATTTCCAAATCTACTCTGAGAGTATAGCCCAGGCAGGAGAGTCACATCACCTATGTGCTTGGCCTAGGTATAGGTCATAATCCCATGTTTAGATGGGACCTTGGCAGAATAGTTAAATCAACCATTTGCTGGGCAAAGATATGTGTCAAAATCATGCCTGCAGAAAGGTCCAGGGATGAGATTCACAATACTGCATATGGCCTGGCTCCAAATATGAAAGTCAACACCTTTTGTGAGTTCTGTCCAAGTACATGAGTCACAATGTCAACAGTGGAATGCATCTGTGCATGAGATCCCCAAACTCATCTAAAAACGGTGTCCTAATAAAGAAGAAACAGCCTAACAGGGTGTTTAATGTTGATCCAAAATCCCCCATCTTACCTGTTGTCCAGATACAGGTATGAGAGTCACAGTTTCAACTTTCAACTGCCTTCAGGTGTGAGATTCAGAACCTCAACAATGGGCTGTGCCCATGTAGGTGGATGATAGTCCTTACAGTTAGCTGAGTGTGCAGACAAGAGTCACAATTTCATCTGTGTGCTGGACCCTGTTATGAAACTCTCTTTACCACCTGAGGACATTGTATTGTATGCTTGATTGTTGTAGGGCTCTGTGACTTTCATACAAGTAAGAAACCCAGGACATTCCCTGTTGCCCTAAGTCTAGTTACTAAAGCAAACATTTATTTTATTGATGGGGTCCAGGTATTAGAGTCATTATTGGGCCTGTGAGCTGGGTCCAGAAATGAGTCACCATCCCACCTGTGGCCAGATTTACATATAACAGTCACAATTCCAACTGTGGACTTCTTCTGCATGTGAGATTACAGATCTCACAAGTGGGCTCTGCCCATTTATAAGGGTGACAAATCAAATTTTCAGAAGAATGTGGCTATGAGAATCACAATGTCAACTGTGTTCTGGTTTGTATTATAAAACTCTCTGTACCACCCAAAAGCTTCCTAATATATGTGTGTGTCAGACTCTTCTGTAACTTTTCACAAGTAGGAGACTCAGGACCTTATCCTTCACCCTAAATCTATCTATGAGAGTCAAAATCTCTTTTATTGGGTGGTTCTGCATCTGAAAGACATCATGATGCCTGTGTGCTGAGCCTAGGTGGAGGTCATAATCCTATCTGTGAGTGAACAGAAGGCAACAGTCACATCACCTGGGTGATGGGACAGATATATGTCACAATCCCTTTTGTTGACAGGTACCAAAAAAGGAGGTACATCACCTGGGTGCTAGGCTCAGTGATATGTCACCATGCCCAGTGTATGCAGGGTACAAGCAGGAGAGTCATATTACCTTGCTGCTTGGCCCAGTGATATGTCCAATCCATAGGGAGGGCACAGGTAGCAAAAGAGAGTCACATTACCTTGGTGTTGGGATAGACCTATCAGTCTCTCGGTCATTCAGGGCAAGATATCTCTTTAGATATCCATGTAACAGAGCCCCAGCTCCTCTGTCCTCAGAAGCAAAAGCTGGTGGAGACCAAATAGGGCTTGAAACGTAAGTTACCTAAAAAAGCAGAATGTCCTGGGCTTTGGCCTCTCCCCTTCAAGCACAACCAGATACTTCTCAGTACACCAGCAATGGAAAAAGGCTCCTGACTCCACCCCCTCATTTTTCCTCCTCTGCACTCTGATGGGGCAGACCAAGGAGGAGGAGAACTGAACTCTGGCCCAGCCAGGGGAGAATCAAGTTTGAAGAGGGGGGCCATGGAGACGATTGCGTTCACGGGTCCCCTGGCCCGAGGTTGCAGGCCCAGGCTTCAGCCCACATGTCACATAGAGCAGGTTCTACGATGCTGCTGGAAGGCCTGGAAGAGCATCTGCAACTGCTGTTTCTTCCTTTTCGTAAGTGCTGAAAACGTGAACACTTTCCCAAGGTTTTCAGATATGCCCAGGCATGCCAAGCTGAAGATGGAGCTAATGGCATTCTTCAGTATGGTTTATCTCCTTGCCTGCCTGGGCAGCAACCAGCCCTAATCTTGCCAACCCAGCTGCCCCAGGCTGGAGGCCATCCTGTTGTGCCTCCTCCCTGCAGTTCCACTCCTCCTCTTTTTCTTCTTCCTCAACCACCGGCATACTTTTTGTCATCCTATTTGTCATCACAGTAGAGTGCCTGACACTATGGAGACCCGGGAACCCCACCTATCTCAGGTCCTGCAAAGGTCAGGTGAACAGGCAAGAAGTCCAGAAGGAAAGTCATCTGCCACCTCCAGAAAGAACAGAACAAAACCCCTACACTCCAAGAAGAAGTCAGCAGGCCAGTGGGAAGTGCCAGTCTAGCCCACAACAAACTAGGCATATGGGGTGCTCCGAGGTTCATGCTCGTGTCCTGCAGGCTGGAGCCCACACCAGGGTCCGCAGTCTGTTCTGGACTGGAACTAGCGCTTTAGCTGGTTACCCAGGCGTCCCCGATGGGGAAAGGGTGGAAAGGTTGAAAATCTTCAGCACAGAGGATCACCTCGCGTGGCAGCAACCAGCCCTGCCCGCGTGGCACCAGCAGCCCCAGATGAGAGGCGGTCCCATCAAGCCTCATCCATACAGCATCTCTCCTTTTTTTTTTTTTTTTTTTTTTTACCTCATGGCCCTAATCCCCTACTTTGGATCATCCTCCTTGTCACAGTGGGTCACCAGGCACTGTAGAGACTCGGGAAATGCACAGATATGGGGTCCTGCAGCATCCAGGTGAACATGCCGGGAGTCAGAGAGGAAAGTCCTCTGAAGCTTCCAGAAGGAATGGAACAGACCTGGCACTGAAGGAAGAAGCGGGGCTCCCAGTGGCGGATGCAGGCCCCACACGTGGCAGCAGTAAACGTGCAAGGCACTCCTTGGCCTGCGCCTGTTTCTTGAAAGCTGGAGCCGTGCAGAGGCACGGGGTCACCCTTCCACACATAAAATAAGCTGTTGGGCTGGCTGCTTCACCCAGCACCTGGGCCGTGCCATAGAGAATGTTGGATGCTGCTTTCCTGCTGGCTGCAGTGTCTGCCACTTTAGCGACCTCAATAACACTTCACCCACAGGGACTCCCTGGTGTCCAGCTTTCAAGCCTGGGGTTTCTCAGCACCCAGTAATTCCAAAAGAAATGCTCTACCATGGCATGACCAAGTGCCAGAAACAAAACAAAACAAAAAAATCTGAGAGAAGTCCATTCGTCACTTTGACTTTTCAAAGGTGACATTTGTCCCTCTTTGAAATCTTAAGAGTGCATGAACAGGCTATTCTAATAGACCTCTGATTCATACTGATTGAAAGGTGAATTCTGATTCCAAGGTACTTTTCATTCTCATATTATGTCTGCTTTCCCTGGGCCCCCTCTAAGTGGAAGCATGATGACTACTTGTCTTCTTAGCACTGAGGGGACATGGAGCCTTAGATGGAAGTGTGTCAAAAACAACATTCCATAAATGACTGTCACTTCCAATTTTCAAGAAATGTGGGAAACTATCCATGATGTATAAAACACTGTTGGCCAAAAATGCACATTTGGTAATGTAAAAATGAATGGTATAAACTATTCCACATATGTATGCCCATGATGGCAATTTGGACATCAGAAAATATGGCCAAATTCAGCAAGAGGAACCTGTAAGCTCATGGCTGTTAGGAAACTTAACTTCTGTGTACTAGAACCTATCAAAGTTATTTCTCCATGTCAATCTGTCCAAACAAACTGTGAGATGTTTATTTCTACAGAATTCCTATAGAATCCTAATGGGTATGACCCTTCTGACCCCATCCTCAAAGCACTGGTGCCAGTGGAATTGCACTTGCTTATGCTTCCCCCTATTTTGTTAAGAGTGGAAATATTTAGTGACAGGGTGGGTTGGGAAGGTACTGTAGTAATGCTAAGACCCCTGGCGGGGTAGGTCAGGTCTCCTGAAGCCCAAGCATTTTTACAATAAATAAATTAAAAGTTAGAAAAAAATAAAAAGAAAATGGAAATCATTCTTTTTCGTTACTCACCACAAAAAGAAACACACAGGGTCTAGACATGTCTGTTGGAGCCAGGCTTGTCCTAGGAAGATGGGAAGTGCTGAGCAGGAGCCCTGGGGATGGAGGGCAGGTGATATGGGGCTCCCAGGGAGATGCAGCCAGGGTCAGAGCCTGGCCCAATCAGGCTGGCAGGAGCCTTCTGAAGGCCAGGAAAGATAGCACAGGACACTGAAAACTTAAGCGACTCATCTGAATCTCAGCAGCCCTGCCACGGGGGGCCTGTTCAGCCCTGAGGATCTCAGTCACTGAAGGAAGGTGGCTGGTGGAAGGGGCTAGGGAGCTTCCTACTGCCAATGCGGGAGTCCACTGCCCTGCCAACTGGAGAGAGCCTCCTTGGTGCAGGGCCCAGTTCCATCAGTCTGTGGGTCTGTCCAGGGGGACAGGCTGACCTCTGTGGCCATGCCCATCTACCAGAGCCTTATCTCCTCAGTCTGGAGAAGTGTAGGACAGTGGAGACTGGATAGGACTTGAATGGGAGGCCCCCTAAAAATAGTGTGTCATGAGTTTTGGCCTCTCCTCTCCGAGTAGAACAAGATGACCGCCTCTGTCCTGTCTCCTCGCAGTGCCCAGCACTGTAGCAGGGCTATTGGCCGTCACCTCCCCCTGCTCTGCCTCCCCAGCCTTGCACACTTCTCAGGCAAGGCAGAGATCAAGCCTCTAGAATCTTGGCACAGCCACGGGAGGAGTGAGCCAGAAGAGAACCAGGGCAGTGGAGGTGCGGGCTGCGCTCTCACTGGTGCCACAGACCTAGGCTGTGTTCCCAGGCTGCCGTACAAGGGGTACTCGGTGTGGGTCCCAGCGCCCCTCAGTGGCCTGAGTGATTGGCTGCAGCTGCAGCTTCTTCCAGTTACTGAGCAACAGGGGCCTGTATCATTTCCAAAGGATTTCAGACAATCCCCGGTGACTCCTGGCAGAATGTGGTTATTTTGGCGATCTCCAGAAGGGCACAGGGCCTTGCCCCCAAGTAGCACCTAGCAATATCCGCGTCCACCCAGGCACTAAGCATTTGTGTTAGGCCTCTTTCTGGAAGCTCACCTTCTTCTGCTCACCCTATGTCTTCCCCACCCAGGTACTTCTGGCCATCCTGCTTGTCAGCACATTGGGAAAACTGGGTGCTGGAGACTCGGAAACCACCGTGCAGACCTCGAGTCCTTCCCAGGCCCAGCCAACAGGGTGGTGAATTGAAGAGAAACATCATCTTCTGCCTCCTGAAGGACCAGAACAGAACCTAGAAGTCATGCACCAGTGAGGCTGCAGGTGCAGCCCACAACAAGGCCGTAACGTGGGGCGCTCCCTGATACTGCCCTTTTTTTCTGGAGGCTGGGGCTTACCCGGCCGAGGTCGCCCTTTAGGACAAGGAATCAGAGCTTTGCTGGCTGCCTTACCTTGCTGGGGCAGAGCCAGAGGGAATCGCTGCTGAAGCTGTCCTGTGGGCTGCTGTGCCTGCCCCTTTAGTGACCCCACGGAAACACCTCCGCAACAAGTAATCCACAGTGTCCTGCTTGCCAGCCTAGGCTTCCTCATCACCTGCTGTTTCCGAAGAGAACAATCTACACTGGAATGACCAAGCTCTAGAAACAGGAGGATGCAAAGAATCTGTGGAAAGTCTGTTTGTCATCTGGATTCTTAGAAGATACACATTTTCCCTTCTTGTTATATTCAGTAGTGCATGAAGCAGATATTACAGTAGATGTGCAATTCACACTAAAGTTGATAGAAGGGTAAAGTCGTATTCTAAGGTACTTTGTGGTCTCAAATTTGTTCCCAACCCCATGATGCCCTTAAAAGCTGGACAGTTATCATTGAGAGTGGAGGTAGAAAGAAACTAGCTAGTCAGATACAGCACAGTCCTCGGCAGAACGTCCCTTCTAAAGAAAAGCAGCCCAAGAAATCACTTCTCTTTAACAAAGAGCAACCTGGAAGATGGGGCTGCAATCATAGATAAGGAAGCTAGAAGCTTATATGAGAGGGTATGACTGCAGCTGCACCAAAAGAAGGGACCACCTCAGGCCAGACACATTCAACATGGGGGGCTCCACCCAACTTTTTTGCACATGCACAGTAGGAAAGAGATAAGCAACTTGGAGTAGCTCAGGCTAAGAACCCGCCTGCATAATAAAAGGTTGGAGTGTGGGCTGCCAGAGATTCGTGTTCTATGGAGATGACACACCTGGTCCTAACCATTTTTTCATGCCCTATGTGGATAAGACACTCCCTTCCACTAGCTCATGTATAAAAACCATTGCATTTCACTCCTGAAAGTCAAGAGTTTTTGAGGATCCCTCTCTGCAGTGGAGAGTTGTTCTCTTTCTTTCACCTATTAAACCTCTCCTCCAACATCACCCTTGGTGTGTCTGCATTCTTGATTTCCTCAATCATGAGACCAGGCATCACCCCATATGATAAGGCCACTTGATCATGACTTGTCTCTTTGCTCCTTGGGACATGGAACCTTCAATGAAAGTGTGTCCAAAAGGACATTTCATAAAGTGCTCTCACTTCCAATCTTCAAGCAATGTGGGAAACTATCCATGTGTAAAAAACTTTTGGCTGAAATGCACAATTTCTAATACAAAATGAGTCCCATAAATTATGTGTGTGTGTTATGGCCATTGGGATATCATCACATATTGCCACATTTAGTAAGAGGGACCCGTGAACTTCTGGCTAAGAAACTTAAGTTCTACATACTGTCATCTATGAAAGATAGTTCTTCCTGCATTTCTCCAAACCAATCTTGAAATGTGTATCTTGTATAAAATTTCTATATAATCCCAGTGAGTTTCACCCTTCTGGCCCCACCCTCACTGCACTGGTACCAATGGAATTGCATTTGCTCATGCTTCCCCCTTGAGGTCATAAACATTTAGCGACAGAATGGACCCAGAAGGCACTAAAGCAAGAGCTGAAGCCTTCTGAGTAGGTGAGTAGACATGGCCTGCAGCCTGGACATCTTCACAATAAATAGGTTGTAGGTCAAGTTAGAAAAAAAATGGAAATTATTCTTTTTCTTTGAACACCACAAAGAGAAATGCACAGGATCTAGACGTGTCTGTGAAGCTAGATTTGTCCTGGGAAAGTGACAAGGGCTGAGCAGGAGCCCTGGTGATAGAGGGTGGGTGAGATGCAGTCCTTACGGAGAGATCACTAGGGTCAGGGCTTGGCACACTGACGCTGGCAGGGGCCTTCTGAAGAGCAAGGGGGATGGCCCAGGACACAAGCCTGAAGTGACCTGTCTGAGCCAAACATCTGTTTAGGTCCACCTGAATCTCAGCAGCCTTGTCAAGGCAGGTGAGATCAGCCCTGGGTATCAGTGACAGTGGAGGCCGGCAGCTGGTGGGTGGGGAACACGCGTGAACTAAAGGGAGTGGATAAAGAAAGAGACTTCTGTGTGCGAATCTTTCTTGGTGGATCAATAGGGAGGTGAAGTCTTTGGCATACCCTCAAACCCAGCTTGTGAGATTGCAATCCCAGTGAAGTTGGGACAAGTTGGCACTGCTCGACCAGGCCACCCAATACACCATGTCCCTTTTCCACCACAGCTGGCCCTGGATGGGGGTGTGGACTCCCATAGAGTCTAGAGGATGGGACCCTAACCAGTAGTGGTGCTGGTGTGTGGCATGAAGGGAGCTAGGGGAGGCCCTCCAGGTGGGAGGAGGAGCCAGCCTCTCTTGTGGGACCCTGGGCAAGTCACTGCCATCTTTGGGCCACCGTTTCCTCATCTGGAGAATGCAGGAAGTCTGTTGTGCAGGCCTTTCAGGGTCATGATAAGGTGCAACGGAGGAAGGAAATTTGAGAGTTCTTGTGCCTACCTCTTCCTGAGAGGGATGATGGTGAGAACAGTGGTGATAGCCACATGCAACTGGGTCCTCAGGAGGCCCTACGAGGAAGGTGTTCCCACCACATTGAAATGCCTAACCTTGTTTTTACTCTAACTGGCTACTTTGAATTTTATCCTGTTTGGCTCTTTAATCACCTAGCCTTGCTTCTCATGTAAATAAGACTCTCTCTAGCTGGGAAAGCTGGTCGAACTCCAATTGACCCCTTAATTTACAAGACACTAAGGGCTCCTTACCCAACCCCCTTCCGCAAGGAGTTGACCTGTGTTAAGCAGATCCTCAGCATTTCAAAGGAGCCCAATTAACTGATAAGGTACTGGCACCAACAGTGTATGAAGTTCCCAGGATTTTTCTCAAAGGGACAACAACATAAAACCTTGAGTTCTTGTCCGGCATAGCACCTATATCTAATTATAATGAAGGATTTAGAGCCCTGCACCTGGTACTGTTGCTCTTTTTGTAACCATTTGTCTTTTAAATTGTTTATCTCTTTGTAACCGTTTGTTTTTTTGATACTTGCATGTTTTTACTTCTATAGAATTATTGCATTTGAGTTCCCCTCACCTTCCTAAACCTAGGTATAAAAGTTAATCAAGCTCCTTCCTTGGGGCGGAGAAAATTTTGAGCGTTAGCCATCTCTTTGGCCGCCGGCTTAATAAAGGACTCTTAATTCATCTCAGAGTGTGGCGCTTTCTCTAACTCGTTGGGTATAACAACACTTCTCAGGTGAGGAAACAGTCTCAGGGAGGCCCAGGTGCATGCCCGAGGTTACACACGCAGTGAATGTTGGATCTGGAAGTAAATCTAGAATCCAGGCCTACTGGAGGTGGTAGAAGCATTGCACCAGCTGACTAAGGCAGTTATCAATGATCTGAGGTTGGTGGGGCTGGGTTGTAACTTGGTGAGGGAAGCACAGTCTCACTGCCCCTGTTTCTGACTCTGCTAATTAGGGACATTTTTAGAGAGTCCAGATGGGGCTTCAGCAGCAGGTGAGTGGACCTGTGGACAGAATGGGCACCAGGGAGTCAAGGACAGGGCTTCTCCCTCCCAGCTGGAGTTCTCCACATCAAGAGAGCACAGTGTCTTCCTCCTCTGGCCCTACCCTCCTGTGGACACAGTGCTTGGAATGCCTTCATTAGAGAGACCAGAGAAAGAGCCTGGGAGAGCTGGGCTCAGAGTAGATTTGGGGAAGAGTGAGGCTGGGGAAGACTGACTTTGTGACTTATTGAAATCTCACCATAGAGATAACTAGAAGGTGCTTGGTGTCTTTGTAGGCCAGCTGTGGAAAGAGAAGGGAAAGATTTTGGGTAAGGAAGCTGAGGGTCCTTGGAGGCTCCAAGTAGGAGATTGGGTAGGGGGGTCAAGGAGACATGGGTTGGTGACAGTTCAAAGGACGGGCTTTGTGTGGGAAGCTGAGAATTGGTGCTCATCACTGCTACCACCTTGATGGCACAGGGTGCTGTGCCTTCTGTGGGCATAATTCTCACTGATTTGCTGATGTTGGAAATTGTCCTATAGGATTATATCGATGTGTGTGAGACTGGGGCAGGAAGGGTGGGGGCCAGGATCCTGAAACTTGTGGGGACAGAGTCTTGGACTGAGCCCTGAGATTGCAGCACTCAGCAAACCTCCTTTCCTTAGAACCTGTGATGTCCCTGTGATGGGGGTGTCTGGCCTATCTTTTCTATGAGTAACGGAGACTCCATCAAAGACTACTCCTTGAGTAGTGAAGCTGCAGAACTGAGTCTCAGCCTCTGCCTTTCATGGTATCCATTGGAGAAGACAGAAACTGGGCCCCTCCTAAGACAGGCAGTTCCTAAGTGGTTGAGTACCTTCTTTGTTTCCAAGGCCTCAGTTTCCCTGTCTGTCATGACAGAGAATCAGGGTAAACGGTCACTGAGCCTCAAGTCCCTTCTGTAGAGCCCAAAACCTGATGCATGTCCAAATCCTGGTTTGTGCACATGCCCTGACCCTGGCGGCCCTGGAGGTGGTGCAGCATAGAAAGTATAGGGGATGAAGGCTAGTTGTGGGCCAGGGTGCCTTTCTGATAGACCTTGGCTGTCTACCTTTTAGGAAAATATAATCAACACTAATAAAGGAGGAAGGTGAGCAGGTGGGGCCCTAGCCTTGAGGGAAGGTGTGGATGTGAAAGTCAGAGACCACCCTGGGGAGGACACTCACTGGCTCCATCTTCTGCATCTTAGATTTACTGGGAAGGTTTGATACACAGAGAAGGAGGATACCCATGCCAATGGAGAGTTTGATTAGAGGACTAGAATCAGTGATAAATTCCTAGAGAAGGGACTGTTTATATCTAACTCTGAGAACAGGTTGGTTCTACCTGGAATTGGAGGGGAGGGTGGGGCCCCTTAAAAGAAAAGTCCCAGAGACTGGCCCCTTCTCCCTCCCTCCCCAGCAAGCTCCCTTTATTATCTTCCACCCAGGACCTGTCAGAATCCTGCCCTTCCTTTGGTCTCCAGATCTAAGTCCCCCAAGAAATGCAGGTGCTTCAGTGAGAAGAGATCATTATCTTCTTCCAACTGAGGAGGAATTTGGGGTTTGGTTCTAGTCCATGGTGTGACACAGTCAGAATAAAAAGTGAGGGGCTAGCAGATTAGCCAAGGGTAGGAGAGGACTCTATTGTGTAGCCAGCTTCAGAGAGCCTGTGGCCATGGCTCCCTGGTCAACTTTAGGACCTGTTGCATGGGGAGCCCTGGGTAGGCAGTGGGAAGCCTGAGGTGTGGCTCCTGGTAGCCTCACAGCTGCCACTATTTCCTGAAGCTCCTACTTGTCCTGTCAGCTGAGCCCCCATCCCAGTAGGCCAGCAACATTCTCAAGACCAAGAACAGGCCATGGTGAATCTCAGGGCCACTGAGTGCCTGGGCTGGCAGAAGCAGAGTGCCTCAGGGCTTATTGACATTTGGGCTGAGCATGGGCTTTGGGAGTCAGACAGCTGCACTGGGCTCTGAGCTGCACCGTGACCAGCTCTGTGTCTGGGGCAGGGGCCTCACTTTTCTGGAACTTGAGACATCATAGTCATAAATTTAACACACCCTTCTAAATGCTTTTTCTTTTGTATCTATATTTCTCTATAATCCTCATGTACTACTGATCAGGTTATTTAAATTAATAAACATGTTTACAGTGTATATTATTCTTCCTCATGATTTCTTTACTATACTGTATGGTTCCACTCATACGAGGTACTTATGGTTGTTCCATTCTCAGAAACACAAAGTAGAAGAGTAGTTTCCAGGGTAAAAAGGAAGGTAAAGGGCGATTCTTGTTTAACAGAAACAGAGTTTCAGTTTTGCAAAATGAATAAAAATCCCTATGAATGTGGATGATGGTTGCAGAACAATGTGAGTGTGATTAATTCCTTTGACCTGCACATTAAAAATTGTTAAAATAGTTAATTTTATGTATATTTTACCAAAAAGTATGAAAGGACTTTTAAAAATGAGCAGAGTATAGATATCTGCAACAGCATAAATGGATATCAAAAATATAATCCTGCATTTAAAAATTGATGTAAAACTATCCATACCATATAATACCATTTGTATTAAATCCAAAAATCAAAACTGAGGTTCCGGCTTCCACTAATGGTGAAGTAGCTAGTTTAACTAACACTCTCACAAAGAAAAATGATGAATACTGAATAAAATAGTATGTATCATTATAAAACTTCTATATATAATACATACATGAGATATGTGTGTATAAGAAGTGAATGAGGATGTCCCTTGTGCCATCCATAGAAGAGATAAGCATTGAAATTAGAATCCAGCCCAATCAACACGCTCTTTAAAAATCAACACCCTTCAATGGGACACAACAGAATCCAGAGTCTCTATAACTCTTCTATACAGTCTGTAGTGCACAATTTTCAAATTCATGAGATGGGTGAAGACACATGAAAATGTAATACATACACAAGATAAAAAGCAGGCAGTAGACATTTCCAAAATGTCTGAGACATAATCAGCAGACAAAAATTTGAAGGCAGAGCCTGGGTGCGGTGGCTCATGCCTGTAACCCCAGCATTTTGGGAGGCTGAGGCAGGTGGATCATGAGGTCAGGAGATTGAGACCATCCTGGCTAACATGGTGAAACCCCGTCTCTACTAAAAATACAAAAAATTAGCCAGGCATGGTGGAATGCATCCGTAGTCCCAGCTACTCAGGAGGCTGAGGCAGAAGAATCACTTGAACCCGGGAGCAGATGTTGCGGTTAGCCAAGATCGCACCACTGCACTCCAGTCTGGGTGAAAGAATGAGACTCCGTCTAAAAAAAAAAATAATTTGAAGGCAGCTATTATAAGTATGCTCATGGTGACAAAGGAAAGTATTCTTACAAATGAACAAATGTGGAAACTCAGCAAAGAAATGAAAAATACCCAAATATAAAAATAAGAAATAAAAATAATAATTTGAGCTTATGTATAGATCAGAAACAGAAGACACAGCAATAGAAATTATCCAATCTGAAGATACAATTTGAAAAGTTTTAAAAAGTTTAAGGAAAATGAACAGAGCCTTACAGACCTGTGGGATGACTGAGTTTGAGAAAAGGGGAGAGATAGAAAAACTTAAATGGGGTACAAAAGTAAATCTACAAAATTTAAAGAAAATAAACTGAGCCATAGAGACCTGTGAAATGACTGAGTCTGAGAAGGAGAAGAGTGAGAGAGAAGAATTAAATGGGGTATAAAAGTAAATCAACAACTAATATGAAAACTCTCAAAAATTGTTCAAAAAATAAATGTGTATTTATTACACATAATACTAATTACAAAGGTCCACAAACCCCTCTGGATAGGGCTTTTGGGAGGGCCTCATAGCAAATGGTCTTTTTCCTTTTGATTACTCATCAGTGCCTGAACCATAAGGCACAAGCAATATGCACCTCATCAGGAGAGCTCATGACAGCAGCAAAGGAAGCAGAAGCTCAGAAAAGAGAAGGCCACTGTTCTTGCTTGCATGACAGTAGCACTTGTTAGAGCAACTGAGTGACATGCATAATTCTTTCTAAAGTGAAAGTCTCTTTTGTTTCTGCAGTTTTACAAAAGACTATCCCTGGGCCTGTCCTGAGAGTGTGCAATAATAAACAATGTTCAGATGACTACCCAGGCATTTAGTAATGATAACCAGATCAGATGAAGTGATCACAGGGATATAGCCGGACTCTTGGAAATCAGGACTGAAGTGCTGACGGATTAAGGTGCTGTGTTTTCACTGCCTTGACAGGCAGCAAACTGCCTGCCAAACACAGGCTAAACCTGACTACACATCAGGTTGGAAAAGAGTCAATTGACCATTTATGTCTAGGTGATGAGTGTGCTTTAGTGTGGGCAGGGAAGGCAACTCTTGATAAAGGCCCCAAACTGCTTTTTAGACCAAAGCAAAAGCCTACCAGCAGTTGGTGCTTCTGACTGAGGTGGGTTTTAATGTATTATGAAACCAGTAGGCCAAAAGCAGTTACAGTTGAGCAGCTGTCCTCAGTTATGGGTGGTTAATCCAGTTTGTGTTGTGAATTGTTTGAGGGAAAAATTACCACCCTAGGGCTACTGGAGCAGTTAAAATCATGGCACCACTCACTGGACTAATGAGATTGACAGCAGTTATTCATTACATATAATCATGGAAAGAGGGAATTATGTAAGGTAAATAGACCCACACAGGGATTGCTCTTGGGAGCAGAGAGAACAAACAGGAGTTGTCCGGGGAAGGCTCTGTAGTATCAAGGGATGAGATGCTCCTGGTTCCCACAGGAGGTTGTTATTGGTTTGTCTGAATAATTCTGCGATCTTGGGGGAAACTGAAACACATTACCCTACCAACTGCTAAGACTACAATAACATTCTATAATAGTATAATGCAGTAATGTACTATATACTATAATACTAATTACAGTATATTCTCACTTTATTGATAGGTTCTTGGAAACTGACTTTAAGTGAAACAAAATACTACATACCATAGGAAGTTAACTCTTGTTTGTATCAATTAACCAATGGTAAAATTGGTTTTATTATATAGTACATTGTTTTACTTAAAGTGTCAGTTTCCAAGAATCTATCAATGACATTAAGTGAGCACTTACTGAACATGTATTTTAGTGATGTGTAATAGAAAGCAGCTATATAAAATATACTATATAAAGTATACTATTCATGTACAAAACTACATGTGCCACACATTACAGTCATGAACCACATAACAATGTTCTAGTAATGGACAGACCATATATATATAACCTTGTTTTGTCATGAGTAGGTATATGTAAACCTATCTTTAAAGGCCAAGGATGTTGAAAGGTTGAAGAAAGAGGCTGACAGTTTCTCAGAAGGAAACATTTAAGAGGGACTTACAAATAGAAGCTATGTCTCAGATGGCTGAAGATGGTGGATCCCCGCACTGTTACCTCCTAAACCCAGACACTTATCACAGGAAAGTAATGTGTAGGACAATTGAAATCACTATATAAATTTGCCTAAGGGTAGGATTAATGCTAAGTACCTTTTCACAATAACATCAAGGCTGTTTTGACTTAAGAGTAGGGCTTACAGAAACAGTAGGTTTCAATATATAATATAGGTACTTGAACCCCCCCAAAATTAGAGAAAGTACCCATGTTATAATTTTAATTTTTTATTTGGTAATTTAAAATCTTAAAGTCTTGTTATGATAAGTAATTTTAAGTTTCTCACTAAAAATTAGCATTGCTAGGCATTAAACTAATAGTTTGAGGAAAGTTTTTGCCCCAGCACCAGTGAGTGGAAAATAGAACTCCAGGCTTCACCCCTTTGGGTCCTGAGTGACTGAAGATGTGAACCAACTCATATATGGCCAAATGAGGACAGAGTGAAAAGTTTCTAGCTGCAGCTATTTTCAGGCAGGACTTCCTCCTTATGCTATATATGAGGCTAGGCATGGTGGAGCTCACCTGTAATCCCAGCACTTTGGTAGGCTGAGGGGGGAGGAGCTCTTGAAACCAGGAGTTCAAAACCAGCTTGGTCAATATAATGTTAGCACCATACCCTTCACCTTTTCTATAAAGAAATGAAAAAATTAGCCAGGAATAGTCGCGTGTGTCTGTGGCCCCAGCTACTTGGGAGGCAGAGGTGGGAGGGTCATTTAAGCCTAGGAGGTAGAGGCTGCAGTGAGCTGAGATCAGGCCACTGCATTCCAGCCTGGGTGACAGAGGGAGATCTGCTTTCTCTTTCTCTCCCTCACTCTGTGTGTGTGTGGAGGGAGGGATGTGTGTGGGTGAGTGTGTGTGTGTATTATTCAAGATGAAAACAACATAATGACAATTATTTCTATTTTTATTTTTTTGAGACAGAATCTCACTCTATCACTTAAGCTGGAGTAGAGTGGTGCAATCTCTACTCACTGCAACATCTGCCCCCCAGATTCAAGCAATTCTTCTGTCTCAGCCTCCTGAATAGCTGGGATTACAGGCGCCTGCCACCTCGCCTGTCTAATTTTTGTATTTTTAGTAGAGAAAGGATTTTGCCATGTTGGCCAGGCTTGTTCTGAACTCCTGTGCTCAAGTGATCCACCTACCTTGGCCTCCCAAAGTGCTGGGATTACAGGCGTGAGCCACAGCACTGGCCAATGACAATAATTTTTAAATTTTAGATTTTACAATCTTTCTGGCCTCTTGGCTTTTGAGGAAGACTGAGCTTTGCAAATAGGTGACCCTCTATTGCAGCAATGTGTAACAGAAGTAAAATGTGAGCCATGTGTATCAATTAAAATTTTGTAGTAGCAGCATAAAGAAAAAGAAAAATGAGTAAAATTGATTTTGATAACCCAATATATCCAAAATATTTTAACATATAATCAGAATTAAATTATTTAAGATATATATATATATAACTAAATCTTTAAAATACTTTCTTGTATTTTTCCCCATCATATATCAGTTCATACTGTATACAATACAGGTGCTCGGTAACCCCCTGTGGTCAGTGGCTGCCACATTGCAAGTGCATCTCTGAGAGCTCTGACTTTTCTGACCTTAGGGAGGTAAAGGGCCTGAATTCTCCTTTTCTGCCAGATGGGAGGGAATGCCCCTTCTCTGCCAATATCTCTCCTGTTTCAAGGGTAAGAGAGGTGGCACCCTGAGAGATGGATGGGGCGTACCAGAAACAAGTGTTCACAGGTAGATCACTGCTATTCACTGCTTCTTGGTGTGGACTCATCACTCCTCCAGAGATCAGGCAGCAGTCCAAACAAGATTGGGCTCCAGAAGGGAAAACTTCATGGTTTTAGATCAGTCCATAGCCTTGACTTCCAGAACTTAGATGTCAAAAGAATGGATTAAAGGCAAACTTTTTATCTTGCAATTTGGCCTTGGCAAATTAAAATAGAAAGAAATAAAAACATGTCACCATAAATACCAATTAAACACAAAGGAAGGGAATAAGAACAAAAAATAGGATAAAATAGCCACATCAAACAAATAGAACTATTAACAAAATGGAAATAGTCCATTCTTTCCAGAATTAAAATGAATATATACATGGAGTAAAATTTCCAATAAAAATACATACATTGGCTAAAGAGATTAAAAAAAAAACAAGATTTATTTTTTGCTATCTATAAGAAACTCACTTTAGATCTAAGCAAACAGATAGGCTAAAAATGGCAGTATGAAAAATACTTTGTAGGAAAATTGCAATCAAATGACAGCAAGAGGGGTCATAATTTTGCAAAATACACATTAAGTCAAAACTGATATAAGAGACAAAGAAAGATATGATATAATGACAAAAGAGTTGATTCACTGGGGAAGTTGTATTAATAATAAATATATGCACACTTCACATCATGGTTCCCAGACATGTAAAGCTAACATTGACACAAATGAAGAAAGAAACAGCTATGCAAAAATAGTAAGAGACATAATTACCCCACTATCAGTAATGAATAATAAAGCCAGACAGAATGTTAACATGAAAACAGAGGATTTGAATAACACTGCAAACTGTGTAAACCTAAAAGACATTTAGAAAACACTAGTTACAGTGAAAAGAAGTAAAAAAGAAAAAAGAAAAAAACACTCCACACAACAACATCAGAATACACAATCTTTTCAATAGGTCATGAAACATTCTCCTGGGTAGATGACCTACTAGGATGCAAAACAAGTTTTACTAAATTTTAAAATATTAAAATATGGGCCAGACATGGTAGCCCATACCTATAATTGCAGCATTATGGGAGGCTGAGGTTGGAGGATTGAGTGAGTTTAGGAGTTCAAGGCTAGCCTGGGCAACATAGGGAGACCCTGTCTCTACAAAATATAAAATAAAAATAATTAGCTGGGCATGCCTGTGCTTCCAGATACTAATGAGGCTGAGGTGGGAGGATTTATTGAGCCTGGGAGATCAAGGCTGTGGTTAGCCATCATTGAGCCACTGTGCTTCAGCCTGAGCAACAGAGCAAAACCCTGTCTCAAAAAAAAATTAAAGTATTACAAACTGTCAGTTTTGATTAAAAGGAAATAGTATTAGAAATTAAGAGCAGAAAAAATACTGGAATATCTACAAACATGTGGAAATTAACACACTCTTGAGCAGTTCTTCTTCAATGGTTGGAAGACAGTATTGTGAAGACGTCCACAGTACCCAAAGTGATCTACACATTCAATGCAATCTCCATCAAATATTAACTGCCTTTTCAATGTGCAGAAATACAAAAACATTTCTAAAACTCATATGGACTCTAAACGGACTATAAAAAGCCAAACAATCTTCAAAAAAAGAAATTATATTGGAGGCATCACACTCCTTGACTTCATAATGTGTTAGAAAACTATAGTAACCAAACCATTTGGTACTGGCATAAAGGCAGACAGACAGACCAATGGACCGGAATAAGGCACAGAAATAAACTCATATATATGACCAAATGAAGAGTTATTTGTATATCCATATTCATTGCAGCATTATTCACAAAGGCTGACAGGTGGAAGCAACCCAAATGTCCCTCAGTGAATAAACGGATAAAGACAATTTGGAATATACAAATAATGGAATATTATTCACCTTTGGAAAAGCAGGAGATCTGATTATTTTTACACTAAGGATAAATCTTGAGGACATTACGTAAGTAAAATAAACTAGTCACAAAAAGACAGACACTGTAATTCCAGCTAAATAAGAAATCTAAAGTAGTTAAACTCCTAGAAACGGAAAGTAGAATAGTATTAGTCAGAGCCTTAGGGGAGGAGATAAAGGGATAGTTGTTGTTTTATGATTATTGAGTTTTAGTTTTGCAGCATAAAAACATCCTAGAGATATGTTATATATCAAAGCAAATACATTTAATAATATTTAACTATGTACTTAAAATATTTAAGATGGTAAATTGTACATGTTTTTGACACATTAAAATTGAAAAAACTTCTAAACAGAAACATATTTATAAACATTTTCCAAAAATTACCTTCAAATCATAAAAATAACATAAAAACAATAAAGACACCAGGTGCAGTGGCTCATCTATGTAATCCAAACACATCAGGAGTCTGAGGAGGGAGAATATCTTGAGGCCAAAAGTTGGAGACCAGCCTGGGCAACATAATAAGCTCTCATCTACAGGTCACAAGCAGAAGAAAACTGGCAAACGAAAAAATATATCAAACTTAAAACAGCACACACTTGACCTTGTGTTCAAGGGACAGAAAACCTAATATTGTTAAGATGTCAATACTACTCACAGTGAAGCAGAAATTTGAAGTATTTTCTATCAAGACCCCAATGCTACATTTTTTGCAAAAATATTAAGTCCTAAAATTCATATAATATCTCAAGGCCAGGCTGGAAGGGATGCTGAGAATTTTTTTGCATAAATATTGTTTTAACTCCTAAAACTCATATGGAATATCAAGGGACAATGAGTAGCCAAAATAGCTTCAGAAAAGAACAAAGTTAGAGGTATCACACTTCCTGATTCCAAAACATATTACAAAACTATAGCAATACAAATAGAAAGACAAATAAATGATGGGACAGAATAGAGAACCCAGAAATAAACTTTCATGAATATCATAAAATAATTTTTAATCAAGTTTCCATGACCAAACAACAGGGAAAGAACAGACTCTTTAACAAATAGTGTTGTAAAACTGAATATCAAAATAGAAGAAAATAAAATTGGACTTTTTACTTGCACCATAGATAAAAATGTCTTAAATGAATTAAACACTTAAATGTAAGTAAGATAGCTATACAACTCTTAAAATAAAACATAGAATAAACAATTATGACATTTTTCTTGGTAATTTTTTAAACACGACATTAAAAGCGGAAGTAACAAGAATAAAAACAGAAAAATCGGACTATATCAAGTGACATAAGCTTTCTGGACATCAAAAAAACATTGAATGGAGTAAAAATGCTGAATGGATAAAAAATCCCAAATTATATATTTGATAGAAGATAATACCCAGAATCTATAAACAACTTCTACAACTCAACAACATAAGGTGAATAACCCTATTTAAAAATGGGCAAAATGCTCAACAGATGATTTTACAAAGCAGACATACAAATGGTCAAGAGGAATTTGAAAAGATGCTCAAAACCACAAATCTTTATAGAAATAAAAAGCAAAACCCCAATGAGATATTACCTCACACTCATTAGGATGGTCACTATCAAACAAGAAAAAATAACAAATGTTTTCAAGGATGTAGAGAAATTGGAACATTGTGCACTGGTGGTGAAAAAAATAATAATGCAGCCATTATGAAGAATAGTAGAGAACTTCCTAAGAATATTAAAAATGGAATTATCATATGATCTAGCAACCCCATTTCTGAATATCTATCTAAATATGCAAAGCAGGACCTGAAAGAATCATTTGCATCCTGCTGAATCAAATGAAAGTTTTATCTCTGTCAGATGAATCCACACATCACAAAGCAGTTTCACAGACAGCTTCTTTCTAGTTTATATCTTTTTTTTTTTTTTTTCTGGAGACGGAGTCTCACATTGTTGCCCAGGCTGGAGTGCAGTGGCATGATCTCCACTCACTGCAAGCTCCGCCTCCCGGGTTCACGCCATTCTCCGGCCTCAGCCTCGCAAGTAGCTGGGACTACAGGCGCCCGCCACCACGCCCGGCTAATTTTTTTGTATTTTTAGTAGAGATGAGGTTTCACCGTGTTAGCCAGGATGGTCTCAATCTCCCGACCTCGTGATCTGCCCTCCTCGGCCTCCCAAAGTGCTGGGATTACAGGCATGAGCCACCGCGCCTGGCCCACCTGCTTCATTCTTATTCCGCATCACTCAGTCGAAGCCACCATCACTTCCACCTGACCTGCGAAAAAGGCTCCTCGTTTCCATATTTGCCCTCTTTAGAATTAATTCTCCATAAAGCAACTGGAAAAAGCTTTTAAACATATGAATCTGATTGTGCCTCTTGCTGAAAACCCTCCAATGACTTCTCACCGCATGGGAAATGAAATCACAGTCAAGTTTACATATCTCACCGGAACTCTGCGACTTCATGTCCTCCCTTTGCATTCTGCACCCCATGCCCTCTGCCACTGGTCTCTGGTTCCTCAAACGCACCCTGTTCACTCCCATTTCAGGGCCATTGCTCAACAGAATTCCCTGCCTGGAATTTTCTTCCTCAGAATCTTTGCATGTCATTCCCTCTATTGCGAGGTTACTGGGATCACAATGTAAACGTTATGTCCTGACAGAGGCTACTGTGAGCTGAATCGTGTGCTTCCCAAAATTCATATGTTGACACCTTAACACTCAGCACCTAAGGATGTGACTATATTTGGAGATAGTGTCATCACAGAGGTAATTACGTTAAAATGAGGTCTTTGGGAGCAGAGGTTGGGGAATCAGGAGTTGGTCAAATTATACAAAATTTCAGTTAGACAGGAAGAATAAGTGCAAGAGATCTATTGCACTTGGTGACTACAGTTAATTTATTCTATTCTTTTTTTTTTTTTTTTTTTGAGACGGAGTCTCGCTGTCGCCCAGGCTGGAGTGCAGTGGCGCAATCTCGGCTCACTGCAGGCTCCGCCCCCTGGGGTTCACGCCATTCTCCTGCCTCAGCCTCCCGAGTAGCTGGGACTACAGGCGCCCGCCACCTCGCCCGGCTAATTTTTTGTATTTTTAGTAGAGACGGGGTTTCACCGTGTTAGCCAGGATGGTCTCGATCTCCTGACCTCGTGATCCGCCCGCCTCGGCCTCCCAAAGTGCTGGGATTACAGGCGTGAGCCACCGCGCCCGGCCAATTTATTCTATTCTTGCACATTGCTAAGAAAGTAGATTTTGAGTGTTCTCACAACAAAAAAAGATGGGTGTGTGAGGTAACGCATATGCCAACTAGCTTGGGTTAACCATTTCACAATGTGTGCATATTTCAAAACAGTACCATAAATGTAGACAATCATTATCAGTTACAATAAAAAAGTTTATAAAATGAGGACCTTAGGGTGGGCCCTAATTCAATTTAACTGATGTATCCATGAAAGAGGAGATAAGGATACAGATGTGCACACAGAGAAACAGCCATGTGAGGACACAAGGAGAAGGCAGCCACTTACAACCCCAGGAGAGAGGCCTTGGAAGAAACCCACCTTGCCCACACCTTGATCTTGGACTTCACCCTCCTTCATCAATTGGAAGCTGCTGATCCTGAATACTTTCCAAATGCTGGATGGTACAGAGGTGAGGGGACAGCACAGACCTCAGGGTGAAATGTTGGGGATAGAAAACATTGCTGTTTTCTATCCCCAACAGACACCTGTGCCAGTCTTTATTGGTGTTTTGTATTCCCCTTTCCTGTGGATAGTGTAATTTTAAAATTTTTGTTTACATAGAAGATAACATAAAAGTAAACAATAAAATTTAAAAAAAGAGGAAAACTCAAATAATAGTGTTTGGGGAGGGTGACAGTGAAGGTGGGAGGGTCACATAACAATGGAGGTGGAGTCTTTTGACTCCATCAATGTCCTGTTGTGTTTGTGTATCAGAACCTATAGTAGCAATTGTCAGGTTACGTGTTTTTGTCCTTGCCTGCTCCTTAAGTGCCAGAGGGGATTATTCTAAATTGGGTGAGGAACAGGTAGAGAAGTGTAAGTGAGACAAACTTGCCTGCCATTTGCCACAGTGGCAGGGCAGAATTCATCATGAGTGCCTCTACCCTCTGATGTCCAAAAAGTTTAACTCTGTAGGTAATTTTTATTGGCTGCCAATTTAGAAGCATCTGCCTTCATGCTCCTGTCTAGAATGGTAACATCTCTCTGCCAGGAGCTGATAAAATCCCCAATATCCCATAGTCCTGTTTTCCAGTTAAGATTCACGGGGACTATGTGGGCAGATTTACATAGTTCACTTCTTCCAGCAGCCAAGGAATACTTGATATTGTTTTCATTTGAACCCTCTGAGAGAGGGAGTCAGCCTCCACATAGAGGTGCCCCTTAAAGTTTTTGAAACATAGTCTTCCTGACACCACTACTTACACTGATTTGAAAGTCATTGATGAGCTTGCTTTGAAGCTCCTGTAAAACTTAATCCTGACACATCAAGGGCTTGGGACTTCCCAGCTTGATATTCCAATTCTGAAGTGAGTAAATTTGAGTTCTCCAAGACATCAGAATGCCACATAGAATATAACATATTTTAAAGGAAAATTGGACTGTCACAGGAACTTCTTAGCTGTAATAGAAAAATTAGGTTCTTTGGTGAAAACTTTATGCTCCTTGATATGGTTTGGTTGTGTTTCCACCCAAATCTCATCTTGAGTTTTAGCTCCTGTAATTCCCAAGTTTTGTGGGAGGGGTCAGTAGGAGATAATTGAATCATGGGGTCACATTTCCCTATAGTGTTCTGGTGGTAATAAATAAGTCTCACGAGATCTGATGGTTTTATAAGGAGAAACCATTTTTTACTTTACTTTACTCTCATTCTCTCTTCTTTTGTCTGCCACCATGTGAGACATGCATTTCATCTTCTGCCATAATTGTAAGGCCTCTCCAGCACGTAAAACTGTAGGTCCTTTAAAACTCTTTCTTTTGCAAATTGCCCAGTCTCAGGTATGTCTTTATTAGCAGGATTAAAATGAACTAATAGATCCCACTCCACTGTTTAAAGCAAAACTCCTGGCTTTATGGGGTCTTCAATTTACTGAATGTTTTCTAGATGCTTGCCCCTAATTCCCTGATGAGTCAAGAAATCTGCCACCTTAAGGTGCTTACTGGGTGGCTGTGGATGTCTAACCTCAGTGCCAGCCACACAGAACCTGAAGCAGGGGTGGTTGCTCCTCTTAATGGTAAGAGCTCAGGGTTTCGGATCATTGGCCATGTTCTAACTGTTTAATCTTCCACATTGAAACTAAAGGCTATTTGGTAAAGGACATCCTTTATTTGGCTTCAAATCAGAAAGAATTTTAGCTGCTGATTTGTCAGGTAATTCATTTAGGAGTTCGTGGAAAGTGTCTCTTCTCTGAAAATACTAACCACAATTAAGCCAGAAACCAAGCCTGAATCCATGCGTAATGCAGAGGTCACCACTGCATGCCAGACCTGTGCTTCTTACTGAAAGTTGACCTGTTTGTCTCATGGTTTAGAAGGTGACAGACCATTCCTGGCATGATAATTGCATTGGTCTTTGGCTCACTTCCTGAGGTATTGATCATGTCTCACCTTTAGCATAATAGTCAGCTGACTCCAGCCACACCGTGTGTCCCTTGAAGCTCATTCATGTAACCTTTAGGGTTTTGAGGCCACTTGCATTTTAATCAAATTATTATATCTGTCAACATGGCAAACTGTTTGATTTTACTTCCTTTTTTTCTCTGGGTCCACACATGTTGGCTAGGTAATTTGTTGATTGAATGTAACTTTTCCCTTAGCACCCAAAAATCTTTTTCTTGACTGACTCCAAGCTGAAGAGAATATCACTGAGGTCTATAGGCATCCATTTTCAAATGAGATTTCCCACCGAGCATTCCTGGACAAGATGTATCTTTCATTTAGTTAACTGCAACCCCAGGCAAATCTGGTTTTTACATTTTCTGAATGACCGTCCAGCCCAAAGAGGGGTTGTGGTGCTCAACTTAGTTATAGTGAATTTTTATATAGAAGTTCTTGTGTCTATATCACCTCACTCTACCAGAAAAAAATGAAATGACTAGAAAACAGTATGGGTGAGTAGACTAGAAAAAAATGACTACTTAAAGTTATAGGTACTGGAATAGGACACAAAAATTATGTGGATGTAGAGGGAGGACAAAAACCCAAAACCTAAAAATGAACAAATTAGATGCCAGAAACTACAGAAACAGAGGGTCTTTAATAACTTTTTGTCTTTCTGAACTATCCCTAGTGAGGCCCAGAGAAGAGTTGGCGAATCCTGTTGGGCTAGGAGGAGGAATAGGAGTAGTATTAGTTAGACCAAATGGTAGAACAGGACCTGTGGGTTCAGCTTCTCCTGGGAATTCCATCTCTCTGTGATGTAGACCTGGAATCCCAGTGAACATCCTGCATCCTCAGTGGCCAGCTGTCTGAGGCCACAGTTGTTTCTGATGATCGAGGACAAGGAGACTTACCACCCCATGGCTGAGGTAAGCTGGATTCTATAGAGCATTGATTTCATTTTCTCATTCCTCTGTGAGGTGTGGTTCTTTATTTTGTTTTTCATCTTAAGATGAAATTACATTTGTCAATATTTGTGTAAAAAGATATATAAGTCTGGCAACTAGATCCTTAGATGCAGCCCTCAGTGGAAATTTTTGCCTGTTTCTCTTCTCACTTTTATTCAATTATTGGCACAGAGAGATGCCCTGATGTCCTGTCTCTCAGGAGTAATTTGAACATTGTACTTCTAGAGAAGCTGGTGGGACAGGCAAGGCTTCGAGTGAGGATCCAAGCTTCTGTCCAAATCTACCAGTCTATCTGTGTGTGGTAGGTGGATTCAGGAAAGACCCTAGAGCTTTGGAAAAGATCATTAATAGAAAACAAAATCCCTGTAAATTAGAGTACTAGGGCACATATTCATCAGTCACTTACAGAGTCATATGCTCAGGGCTGAGCCTGTGTGGGAGAGCACAGAACAGTCCACGCCTGGGAAAGCCTCTGACCATGTGTGAATGGTGAGGTTCTGCCTCAAGGAGAAGTCCTGTATCTGACAGAACATGATGCTTCTGGGCGTGTGAGATTCAGTGCCCTTCCTCATCAGAGCACCACTGAATGAATAATTGTTTTAGATCAAGCATATGGAAGCCAACTTTATTTTGAATTTCTTAAAGACAGAAACAGAAAACATTTTTACACACTTTCAAATTGAGTAAGAGTGTCAGAAACTTCAGTAAAAAAGTCACAGGAGGAATCTCTGGGGTCTTATTCATCCCCAGGATACAACCTGTAAGAATTCACCTTTAAAAACTTGATTTTTATACCATATAGATTTATCTTTCATTTGACTTTTATTGTATTGCAGGTTATAATTAGCACATTAGTTTTTACCTTTATGATAGAAACATCAGATTCCTAAACTCAAAGCATTAATGGTGCCAACCCAACTGCAGTCTGTACTGCCAATTAACTTTTTGCTATGGCCTGAATTTGTGTCTACTTGTAAAAACTCGTTTGTAAAAATTTAATCCCTAATATGCTAGTTTTAAAACATGGAGGCTTTTGGGAAGTGACTCACTCAGGAGGGCTTCATCTTCATAAATGTAATTAATACCCTGTAATAGAGGTTGAAGGGAGCACACTTTTCCTGGCTGCCACGTGAGGCACAGCAAGAAATACCATTTATGAGAAACAGGACCCTCACCAGACACTGAATTTGCTGGTATTTTGATGTTGAACTTTCCAGCCTCCAGAACAGTGATCAAACATTTCTGTTGTTTATGGATTACTGAGTCTAGTGTATTTTGTTTTAGCAGCCTGAACAAAGGCACTTTCTTATGCACTGTGGTTTATTTTTGAATTTGTGCTTCCACTGAGCTATCCATATATTCATAAATCAACATGTCTCATAGGGTGGCATAGCCACTCTACTTTTTCAGAGTTTTCTCAGCTGTTCTTATTTGTGTTTTTATCTATATGAGTTTTGCAATAAAAAGCCTGCTTCCAATACCAGTTGGTATCTTTAGTGGGACAAAATTAAATATATAAATTACTTCTAAAAATTGATGATTGAGTAATATTGAGATTTTCTACCTTAGAACATGATGTGGTTTTCCATTTGTTTATGCTGATTTTCTTATATTTCAAGGACTTTTTATGGTCTTTCTCATATGCTTTACAAATTTTTGTTAGATTTATGTATAGCTAGTTTATTTTATTTTGTCCTGTTAAAAAGTAAACTGTAGCACAATGCAAATTTTAAAAGTTTTCTTGGCAGAGAATGGTGGTTTATATCTGTGATTCCAGCACTTTGAGAGGCCAAGTTGAGATTACTTGAACCCAGGAGTTTGAAGTCAGCCTGGGAAACATAGTAAGACCCAGTCTCTACATAGAAATAAGAAGAAATTAGCCAAGTGTGGTGGTGCATGCCTGTAGTTGCAGCTACTCATGGGGCTAAGGTGGGAGGATGGCTTTTGCTCAGGATGTAAACCTGTACAGAGCTTTGATTCTGCGTACACATTCCACATGAGCAACAAAGCAAGAACCTGTTTCAAAAAATTTTTCTTGAGTAAGAAGCAACTTATAAATTGTGGAACACCAGAGCAAAAGAGGTTTAGCATTTCAATGGCAAAATGTCAGAGGTAAGATTGCATTGAAAAAAATGAAGTAGCAAATAATAAAATTCTTTGATTTGTTGCAGTTATAAAATTGTATTTTTTGGTTTACTTTATAGATGTATATTACTGTAAGTTTCTTGGGTACGTCTGATAACTTAAGCTTAAGTTCTGTTTTTTTTTTAATACAGGCATTCACAAAAAAATTAGCTCACATTATGTTTTGCTTGTTTGCAAGTCAACAAGAAGAGGTCACTGAGGATGTCTAACTGATTCTGTCCACTCAGGAATGTTTTGGTCTACCCTTTAATTCACTTTAAAAATCATTTTGTAATTTTTATCTCCCATCCAATATGTAAGTTGTCAATTACTTTTATATGTATGCAAACATCCTTTATGTATAATTTCTAGGCATATTACTAGTGAACATTGATTGTTACACAGACGTACCTAGTCTTATTGCACTTTATTGTTCTTTATAGATATTGGATTTCTTACAAATTGAAGGTGTTTTGCAACCTTACATTGAGCGACTCTATTAACACTATTTTTCCAGCATCATGTGATTTTTTTGTGTGTATATCTGTGTCAGCCTTTTTTAGCAATATAGTACATTTTTTGTCAAGGTTTGTACCTTGTTATTAGAAACATAGGCTATTTCAGTCTTATTCTACATTGTAGTGTAAACATGATTTTTATATGCACTGGGAAAGAAGAAAAATTGTGTGACTCACATTATTGTGATATTTATTTTATAGTACCTGTCTAGAGCAAAAGCCATATATCTCCAAGGTATATCTGTATATTTTCATTGAATTGGCTCCATTTACTGGAATGATAAATCACTGTTCTTTGACTAAAACAAGAGTTGTGGGGTGTGAAGGGTCAGGGTGAAAATAAAGCAGAAGTGAAGGTAAAAAGTCCTCTAACTCACACATGGAGTAAATAAAAATTCAGTGTGGATAAAATACAAAATCATCTAAAATTGAATATTCTCAAAAACATTAATGTTTATATCATTATGTATATGAAAATTATGAAGCAGAGAACAAAACAAAATACATTTAGGTGATGAAAGATTTCATAATCTCACTGTAAAATGCAAGATGAAAAATATAAAATGTTACAATATGTAAAATAAATGACAATATTTATATTACCTTTAATGTCTTACAATACAGTATGACCAACTGAATTGTATAAAGTTTAAATTTAGAAAATTTAAAATGAGACAAATATGAGTCAGGTGAAGGATAAATAATTATGATCAATTACATTTAACATATCTTGACTTCAATTTTATGTAAAAATATTATTAGTAAACACCTTGTGTGGTGATTTCACCATAATTTTATTAAACTGTAAAAATATGTTGACATTTTCCCATGAAGAGTACTATTAAATGTTTGTGGATATTCGTGTTCCATGGATTCAGTGTGGGAGAGTGAGAGGCTACAACCTTTTTTGAATTAAAAGAGAAGAACATAATTTTATATTTATTTGGCTACAATTTAAAATATGCAAAGGCATATGAATGATTGCATCTTAATATTTGTCTGATTATATAGAAATGCCTGACTGTCATGAAACATCCAAGACATCAAATGTCTAACAGGAAATGTATAATTTGTGTATAATCTTAGCCCTCTACAAAATGCAAGGTTCACTATTTTGAGTATATTGTTCATGTTCCTTTCTTATGACTGCTCAGGTTCTGTCATTTATTAACACTGTGCATCTAAAATTGTCACTGCTGGTCATCTGGAAGAATCTGAGAAGTAGCAAGTTCTTGCTCACATTCCCCTGTGAATAGGGTGAGGGTGCACCTAGCCTAAGCCTCATCTGATCTACTGACAGGCTCAGTTATCTCCTGCCCAGGCAAGGGATGGGCTTCTCTATCCAGAGCTGAATCCTCAGGGCCAGGCAGTGTGGCTGAAACAAGCCAGTTCTTAAGAGAGAAGACATAACCTGCCTGGGTGGCCATGGCATAGAAGGTCTGCACCTGGGCACACAGAGGCCCCCAGATCCAGGCAAGCTGAGTGAGCTTCTCCCAGGTCAGTGGAGAATGGACCTGCTGCACCAACACATGGGATGGGTTTTGATAAATGGCCTTTGACTCACCTCGGAAGTTCACTAAGCTTTCCAAAGTGATGACTATTGAACTCCAGGGGCCTGAGACTTGTGCCACTTGCTGCACCCAGTGCAAGCCATGAAAGGACCTCTATGGTGGGCATCACAGGTCTCCTGGATTTCACTGCTTTGCAAAGCAGTGGAGGACTTTTAGTTTCTTTTTCAACATCAAGCTGCACTCTTCTCTTGGACAGTTCCCTGCAGAGGAAGCATGGGAGTGAGAGACTCTCCAGAACAGTGCCCACAGACCCTCATTTCCACAACCTTCCATGCATCTTCAGGTGAACCTCATTTGTCTCTTCTTCTCCTTCCTGACCATCTTAGCACTTTAATGAAGTGAAGCTTAACCCCTTCTGAGTCCCCAGATATCCTCTGAGTGCCAGGATCTCCAAAATTATCTCAGTCACTAAGAAGCCTTCTTGCTGCTCAACCCCAAACAAGTCTTCTGCTTGTTTGCCCTTTAGGGGGGAAAAAAGCAGGATTCTACTTGCTCTGTCTTGGCAGCTGTCTTTGGAGCTGATTCTCCTTTACTTGGAGTTTCCCTCATGCAAGCTCTACTCTGGTTCTATTGATAAAATAATAGTTTGAGTAAGTGCCTCCAATCAAACACCCTAGAAGGCTTAGTTTATCCTGGACACACAGAAACTGAAGTTGCAACCAAACCTGTCTCTCCTCTGTTCTCCAGAATCCAGAATCTGTAAGGCCCTGGCTGCCAAAGAGCTCCCAGTTTTCTTGCCAGGGGAGACTGTGTTGCAGCTCTGTCTCTTTTTACCTTGAAAGAGTCAAATTTTACCTGATCTAGCAGTGCTGTTTCTGACTTTGAGCTTAGTTTCCTCAGAATTCTTTCCATTTGGATTAGGCTTTGATCCTAGTGCAACATGGAGTTTAGGTGACTCACCTCTCCCAGGTACAGTGTCCCATAGTCTGTCTCTGAAAAATATTTGTGAATCAGTCTTTCAAGTGAAGCTGTTCTGCCAGTGTCATGAGTGAATACATTTCTCAAAGTCTCCTCAGAGATCTAAGCCATTTCCCATTCCCAATTTCAAAATAAAACCCTATCAAAGACACATAGCTCAGTATCTCTGATTCCAACCCTCCCTGGAGACTTCATAGGAACAGCCCAAGGCCTTACCTGCCTTTGCATGTGCTTCTCACTGGAATGGGAGGAGGGGGTCTTGCCTTTTTTCTTTCAATGGTTTCTTCTCATCTGAGCCCTTTTCTGTAAAGGAGATCTGTTTGAAAGAAGGCTGGTCAGTGGGGCATTGGATGTACGAGCAGTGGTGAATCAGAGTTTTCATTTCCTTTTCCCATGTTCAAATTCAAGTGAAAGGTGCTCTCTCTCTCACGTCCAGATTCACAGTGTGAGTTACTCTGCTGGACCTGCCTTTTTATATGTCCCTCAGCTGGGTGTGGCTTACTCTTCTTGGCTGTTTTCTTTTTCTGGCTCTCATTAGCGCCTCAAAAAGAAAAGTTTCTTGCTGTAGTTTTATTAGAGACCTAGACACAGTTATTGGGAGACATTTTCTGGGTCTTGCCATAGTGTCAAAAATAAAAACAAACAAACAAACAAACAAAAAAACAGAGCCAGGGGCACAGGAATCAGAAGATAAGGGAATCATTTTATAATAATTTCCCAATTCCTACCTGGAATTATTTATGATACCGCTTATTATTCAAGATGCAGAATTAAACATACCTGTAGAAAGTAAAAAAGGTTCCCTTCAACGTTTCCTTTTTTGTTAAAGAATAATTCATAAGTGTTAGAAATAATAGTTTCTTTTAAAGACTAACTTCCTTCAAGACTCCTTGCTTTGTGCTAATAACTCTTTGTTATGCCCCATCCTATGTAGCTGTTAGATATAAGGGTATGAGTACATCCTATGTACTTGTACTTTAACCAAGATATTTGTTTTAGACTTCATAGCGCACAGCCTATGCCCCTTCCCTATTTTGAAATATTATTACTTTTCTAAGTTTTTTTGCAAGCAACTTCCTGTTTTCCTTTGTTCTCCCTTGCCTTTACCTATTTAGGAGAGTTTTAAGTTATTAGCTAGTCAGGTTTAGCTTAGATTGTGAAGTCCAGCTCCAGCCAATGGAGACAGGACACAGTCGCAGGGACAAGCTGCATAAAGGATAAAAATTGCTTTTCTCCTTTGTTCGAGTGTGCTCTCACCATTGTTCTATCCACAAGGAGTACTCTTTCTGCAAAAAGTAAAATTGCCTTGATGAGAAAAATTTTTGTGTGAATGCTGATTTTTCCTTGCGGCACTGAGGAACAAGCATTCTGTTTCTGAATAAACATTTTATGTATAACAACACCTATATTGAAATGTGTTATACATTTTGCAAAGAAAGAGCATTATACATAGTGTTAAAATAATATACATAGACATTATAATTTCTCAAATGCTTAGAAATGTCAGATTAAAATTATGGTTGATTGTATTAGATACATACATATATGTTAAAAATGTGGAGAAAAAGTAAATACCAAATAAAATGGCCCATTCTACCTTAACATGGGGGAAGATAATTAGATCAAACATGATAGAATCAATGTGATTAGATTAGAGCTGATGGTAATTTAGTCAGCTCATGATTTTTTTTTTTTTTTTTTTTTTTTGGAGATGGAGTCTCACTCTGTTGCCCAGGCTGGAGAGCAGTGGCATGATCTGGGCTCACTGCAAGCTCCATCTCCCGGGTTCATGCCATTCTACCACCTCAGCCTCCCGAGTAGCTGGGACTACAGGTGCCTGCCACCAAGACCAGCTAATTTTTTGTATTTTTAGTAGAGATGGGGTTTCACCATGTTAACCAGGATGGTCTCCATCTCCTGACCTCGTGATCTGCCTGTCTCAGCCTCCCAAAGTGCTGGGATTACAGGCTTGAGCCACTGTGCCTGGCCTCATGATTCTTGAAGTAGCAAAAAGTCTAGGTAGAGAGAGAAGCTTCTCCTGTTTCTCACCTTTCCTGAGTCATCCTGGGAGCTGTATTCTGTTCTATAGAATTTATTCAGTCTCCTTAGTGAAAATGGACTTGGTCCCAAACAGGTTACCCAACTGACCACAAGAAAAACAGCCTAGATCCTGAGCATTCAGCTCCTGTCTTCACACTACAGACACCACACGAGTCCCATCAAAGCCTGGTTATTTCCCAACATCTACCGTTAAGACATATTCCAGAGCAGCCTCTCAAAATTGCCTAAACGAGATGGGACAAGTATGTTGGAGCTCCAGGCTCAGGACAGCTGTCTCATCCCTTCCTACTGAGAAGTCTGTATCTGCTGGTTAGGGCTCCCAAACTATAGAAGGCTTAGTGTATGTCCCAGCAAGTGTCCCCCAAAAGGACCTTCTTGTTTTTCCCTCTTCTAAGAAAAGCATGCAGGAATGAGACCTTCTGTGTTAGGGAATACTTGCCCTCTGCTCTCCAGTTATTTGGTTGACTGATGAACTGATGCCTGAGGAGGGGAAAGATTCAGGAAGAGCCTGTGCTGAGTGAGTCTGTGTTTTCCCAGGTGTGCTGTCTGTGCAAATAGTGGACCCCCAAAAAATATCAGATGGTAGACAGACACTGCCTAACAAAATTGTCTGAATTTAAATAGGATTTAAATGAAACTTATAATATCACTATATATTGATACCATATTATCATATAAAATTTATTTGATATATAAACCATTTTGATATATTATGGTATAATATCATAAAGCAGTCATTCACACAAGAGGAGATAATATTCTTAGGTACTATTAAGTTTATATGTTAAGGTAGTTACAAAATTTAACTCAATTTTCTTATAAAATTACCTAACAAAATTTTATATGTTATCATAATAATACATATGAATTATATCACAAAATATGATGTCACAATGCTTATGAATTATGATGTCAGAATATATTGTGATGTCACAATGTAAACAAATATGATTTCATAATATATTGTGATGTCACAATACATGAATTATGATGTCATGACATATGGTGATGTTGCACATATATTGTGATGTCATGATATACTGTGACATAATGGATGTGAATCATGATATCATAATATATTGTGATGTCATAATATATACAAATTATGCTATCATAATATATCAGATGTCATAATATCATATTTATTTATTATATTTATGATGTTAAAATAACACAAAATTTTTTCAGGTAATTTTATAAGAAAATTCAGTGAAATTTTGTAACAACATTAACATATAAAGAAGCTTACAGTCATGGTGAAAGATGAAATAGGAGCAGGCATAAACGCTAGAAGTGGGAACAGGAAAGATGAGGGAGAGATATGCCTCACTTTTAAGCCGCTAGAACTTGTGAGTACTTCTTATGACAAGGGCAGCACAGAGCCCTGAGGAATCCATCCCCATGAATCAACCACTTCCCACCAGGCCCACCTGTAACATTAGGAATTAAAATTCAATATGAGATTTAGAGGGGACATCTAAACTATATCATATGACCATTAGAAAAACAGATGAAACAGATTCACGCTTTCTACTGTCCAGATACTTTCATTCCAGAGCCAATGGCTAAATAATTGAATTCAACATTCTGTGGTCGGAAGAGAGAAGGGAGGTGTACAGGGGACTTTGGCTACATTTGTTCCACTTCCCTATGCTGTTGTGAGTTCTGATGTCATCTCCTGAAGGGCTATTCATGGACAGAAGAATTATTGCTATTGTGATTATTTCCATTTCTTTAAGCTTAGTAAAAATACATTTTTGAGTTTCTCATATAATATTCCTAAGAAACCCTAAAAGTTTTGGTTAAATTTCTTGTTATTGTGTGTTATAAAAAGTGACAGGGAAATGGCTAAATAGATTGAAATTACACAAACTCTAGGAGTCAAGTTTCTCTTGGGCAGGATTAGAAAAGACAGAACTGGAAATATTCCACCAGCATAGGCATCAGATGCATGGGGCCCACTTTCTGTTGCATCCCTGTTCAGATCCACCCTCTTCCAAGGCCTCATCCAGGTCTGGCCTCACCCTAGAATCTCCTCTCACAAAACTAATTAAATGAGACCAGAAATTTGAGAGGTGGCTCCTGCTGCCTCTCCTGAGCTGGTGCCCACAATTTCCTGAAAATAAAAAGCAGATAAATGTGAGCAAATAATTATCTATTTGTGGGCCACAATTTCTTTTTCATTGAAGGCAGTGCTTCTACAGATATCCCACCAAGTAACCTCTTTTTTTTTTTATTTCTGCAGATCCAGTAGTTGCTCTACAATGCACAAGAAAGTAAATATAAATACCAAAAATCCCTCTGAACAGCTCACCCTTTCTTTCTCTATCCCTTTCATGTGTCTATATAGTTTTTTCCTACACATTTTCTTTTTAAGGTAAATAATTTTAAAAATGAAAGAATAAATGGAAATGCTGGGCCCTTCATTTAAATCCTGGAAATTACAGAACACTTGGCACCCAACTCCCAGGGAGCTATGAGGATTCACTCATGTCACATGATGTTTCCAGCACAGTGCTCTATAACAGACTTCTAAGCACATAGTACATGCTAAATATACATTGTATTAACTCATGTATACATGTTTTCCAAATGCAGAATTACTCAAACATTGATATCTTCTCTAGCCTCTGCAAACTTTACAGAGCCAGCTGAGAATAACACGTTTCTGAATGGTGATTGGTGGTTTCCACCTTGGGCCAAAAGTATTTATGTTGTGGTAAGAGTATTGGGTGTCAGGAACTCTGTGTGCTGTGCCTACTTTCTCTAGCTAGTGCCACCACAATGGATGTACTAGAAGAAACATCAGCATTAAGAGGAGACTTTTTAAAGAAGTCAATTCATGGACCCCTTCCAAACCTGCACAATCACATTACTAAGAGAGAGGCCTGGAATCGGAAATGATTTACATGTACATTGAAACTTGAGAGGCAATTCTTAGCTAAGTGTCTCTCAGTCTAGGCTTCCAACCATAATGACATGACTACTTTAAAGAAATACCATCACCTGTGCCCTCCCCATGGATTTTGTCTGTTGATCTTGGTGGGCAATACATATGATTTTAACTAGGAAGTCAAATTGTCCCTGTTTGATGATTAGATACTATTATATCTAGAAAAATCTAAAGACCACCAAAAAACTTTTAGATTTCATAAAAGAATTTAATAACGTTTCAGGATATAAAAATCAATGTACAAAAATTAGTAGCATTTTTATACACTAATAATGAACAAGCTGAGAACCAAATTAAAAAGTCAATTCCTTTTACAATAGCTGGAAAAAAGGTGAAATAACTAGAAATACAATTTATCATATAGGCTAAAGATATCCACAAGGAAAACTACAAAACGTTGATGAAATAAACTGTACATGACACAAACAAATGAGGAAAACATCCTATGCTCATGGATTGTAAGAATTATTATCATTAAAATGACCATACTTCCCCAAATAATCTACATATTAAACGCAGTTCCTACCAAAATGCCAATGTTATTTAGCATAGAATTAGAAAAAAATTAAATTCGTATAGAATCATATACTAGAAGGCTTTAATAACCAAAACGGCATGGTACTGATATAAATAGATGCATAGATCAAAGGAACAGAATAGAGAACCTAGAAATAAAGCCACAAACCTACACAAAACTGATCTTTTACAAAGTCAGCAAAAATATACACTGGGAAAATGACATCCTATTCAACAAATTGCGCTGGAAAAATTATATTGCCATATGCAGAAGTACAAAATGGGACCTGTCACTCTCACCATATACAAAAACCAACTCAATATGGATTAAAAGACTAAAATGAAGACCTAAAATGATAAAAATTCTAGAAGAAACCCTATGATAAACTCTTCTGGACATTGCCCTGGACAAAGAATTCATGACTAAGATTTCAAAACCAGATGCAACAATAAGAAAAATAGACAAATGGAACTTAATTAAACTAAAAAGCTCCTGAAAAGGAGCTTTTAATTAACATGTGAGCAGACAACTTATGGGATAAGAAAACTGTTTGTGAACTATGCACGTGACAAAGAACTAATGTGCAAAATATACAAGGAAATCAAACAACTCAACAAGAATAAAACAAGTACCCTCATTAAAAAGCAGGCAAAGTATGGGAACAGATTTTTCAAAAAGAAGACAATGATAGCCAACAAGCATGTAAAAAATGTTCAACGTTGCCAATGATCAAAGAAATGCCAATTAAAAACCACAATGAAATACCATTTTACACCATTCATAATGGTTAACTATTAAAAAGCAAAAAAATGAAAGATATTGGCAAGGATACAGAGAAAAGGGAACACTTATACATTGTTTGTGCGAATGTAAATTTCTACAACCTCGATGGAAAACAGTATGGGGATTTCTTAAAAAACTAAAAATAGAACTTCCATTTGATTCAGCACTCCCTCTACTGGGTATCTATCCAAAGGAAAATAATTTATTAATTAAAGAAGATACCCATACTCATATGTTTATTGCAGCACTATTCACAATAGCAAGGATATGGAGTCAATTTAAATTTATCAATCAATGATTGAATAAAGAAAATGTGCTATACATTTATACATTTATGGAATACTATTCAGCCATAAAGAATAAAAACATTTTTTTTGCAGCAACATGAATGGAATCGGAGGCCGTGATTGTAAGTGAAATAAATCAAAAACAGAAAATCAAGTACTGCACTTTCTTACTTCTAAGTGGGAGCTCAATAATGCATACACTTGGATATAGAGGCTGGAAAAATAGACGCTGAAGACTGAGAAAGATGGGAGGTTGGTAGAGGGGTTAGGAATGAGAAAATACCTAATTGGGACGATGAGCACCGTTCAGATGATTGTTACACCAAAAGTTCATACTTCATCACTATGCAACATGTCCATGTGATGAAACTGCATTTGTACCCTCTAACGTATTAATAAAGAGAAAAACAAACTTTCATCAAGAGGGCAGACTGAATAGCCCTCATAATTTTCATAAATATTTAAGCAGAAAAATAATTTTAATAAAAATAAATAAAAATAATATTGTATTTTAAGAATGGTGTGAAAAGATAATTTGATGAATTAGAGTAGTTAGTACTTAGCACATACAATATGTTAGGCAAGATTCTAAGCCATTAGATATTTGTAGACAGAATATCTGACAGTGTAAAATAAATAACACAAAGATTCATGGGCAATGACAAATTGACATTTTTTCAATTATATTAGATGATATTAAAACCATTATAAAATTTACTGTTTTGTATCATAATAAAGAATCATAAATGTTAAATAACTTCATTAAAAAGTTTAACTAATTAGGCATACAGATACATGAGCAGCACGTTTACCAGTAAACAGAGGGTATACATTATTTTCAAAGACCAAAATGATTTTATTTATTTATTTATTTTGGTTAGGGAGCAGCTTTATTTGCTGGGGATATAGTGGGGTTCTCTCTCTGGGAAGTGGGGTCTTCCACTGGACACCCCCGGCAGTGGTCCAGGAGGCGCCATGCAATTCAGTGCTGGGCTCAGCTGAGGTCCGGGCCTTGGAGAAGGCGAACTGTGCAGGGAAGCAGTAGCTGTGGTATCCTCACCGCCCACTCCGCCCGGCTGCACTGGGTCTCCTGGTGCTCCTCAGACTCCCGCCAAGCCTGCGTCTCTGTAAGGCAGTCATCCATCCGGCCCAGAACCTTATCCTCGGAGCCCAGTTTGACGCAGGCCAGGCATTTCCGCTTCCTCACCTTGGGCTGGACTTTGCACTGGGGTTTCATCCATTCCTTCTTCTGGCGCTTGTCTGCCCGAGCTTAAATTCCAGCCTCACAAATGTTCCAGCTAGGAAGGGCGTGTCCACGGCGCCATCCACACTGCTCTCCCAGAAGGCACGGGCGGGTGGATTCCTCCAGGGCCACCTGCAGGCCCCAGCGCTGGGCCCTTTGAGCTCCGCCCAGCTTAAGGCCCCAGCACCTACCCACCCGGCCAGCGGCATCCGCAGCCGTCGCTTGCTTCCACCGTCACCCCGGCCCTGCGAAGCGGGTGTGCGCCCCTCAGCTCTCCGAGCCCGCCGGGAGCCGCCTCCTCCCGTGCCCTGCCCCTGGGGGAACCATGCCCGCAGAACGCTGGGCAGAGGCGAAGGAACCGGGAAATGTTCCTTCCTCCAAATTGACCTTGGGGTCTGCCTGGTCCTCTCCATTCCCTCCCACCCTGCCCACACTGTTCACTGGGCCCTTCAGTTTCAGCAAAGTTCCCTGCCCCGTGCCTGTGCCGAGAAGCAGTCCTGTTGCCCACTCTCACCTTTAACCTCTTTTCTGGCCCATTCTGTCTCCCCACTCAGTCTCGGACACGACCCGTCTCCTCCCTACTGTCCCCAGAGCCTCTCTCTGTTTCTCTCGCTCAGCCTCCTCCCTGTTTGCTTCTCCCTCCCCATCTGGAATTTCCTGACTCCCATGGGGTGCCCCCCATTCTGGGGCCCAGACAAAACAGATACAATTATTTTAAATGGAAACGTGAATTCCATTGAATTCATGACAGCAGTAATTCATCTGGTCATATTTTAAAGAATTATGATAATAGCAACTATCAATTTAAAGTGTTAACCAGGGTTAAAAATAAAACCCTGTTATAGCTAACAAACTAGTAAAGTTGCAGGATACAATATTAACATGAAAATCAGTTGCATTTTGATACAGTAACAGCAAAATATTCAGAAAAAGGAATAAACAAAACAATTCCACTTACAGTATTATCAAATAGAATGAAATAATTCATTAAATAGAATGAGTTTAACCAAGAATGTTAAAGATCTGCATACTGAAAACTATAAAATGTTGGTAAAAGAAAACGAAGAATACAAAATAGGAACTATATCCTGTGTTCATGGATTCTAAAAATTAATATTGTTAAAATATCTATACTACACATAGTTATCTACACAGTTAAATAAATTTCTTTTTTTATTATTATACTTTCAGTTCTAGGGTTAAATTTCTATCAAAATTTTAATGCTATTAAAGTAAATGTAGAACAAACAATTGTAAAATTAGTATGGAGCCACAAAAGAATCCAAATAGCCAAATACTGAGAAGAACAAACAGGCTGAAAGCCTAAAATTTCCTGATTTCAAACTATATTACGAAGCTATAGTCATCAAAATAGCATGGTACCTACATAAAAACCAATGGAACAAAATGGAGGAGCGAGAAATAGACTCACGCATATACAGTCAACTGTTATCACAGAATTAGAAATAGAAAATGACATCAAGAAATGGTGTACAAAAAACTAGATATGCACACAGAAAAAGTGAGCTCTTATCCCAAAAAATTAAAATAAATTAAGGATTTATACGTAAGAACTGAAATCATGAATTTTCTATAAAGAATAAGGATAAAGCTCCTTGTCATTGGTCATGGCAATGATGTTTTGGATTCGACACAAAGAACACAAGAAACTAAAGCAAAAATAAAAAAGTGGAACTATATCAAAGTAAAAAGTTTCTGCACAATAAATAAAACAATCAAAATATAGAGATAGTATGTTGGATGGGAAAGAATATTTGTAATCCATATGTGGGATAATATGATACTATCCAAATTATATGTCACACTAATCAATATAAAAAAACCCACAGCAGAAAAAAACAAAAACCAATTTTATTATCGATTGGGCAAAATATCTAAATAGCTATTTTTCCAAAGACTTAAAAATGGACAGCAGATATATAAAAGCATTCTCAACATCACTAATTATCAGAGTAATTAAACTCAAAATCACAATGAGATATCACCTTATCGTGGTGTTAGGATAGCTATTATAAAAAAGTCAAAAGATAAAAAGTGTTAGAGTGCAAAGAAAAGAAAATATTTGTACACTGTTGCTGAGCATGTCCATTGGTGCAGCCATTGTTAAAAAAATTATAGAGATTCCTTAAAAATTTTAAATTAGAAGCACCATTAATCCCAATTTGGAGTATGTAATCAAAGGACATAAAAATAGTATCGCCAAGGGTATCTGTACTCTTCTGATACAAATAAATGGATAAACTGTGTAAGAGAGGTAATTTCAGCTGTAATAATGAAAATTTCATTTACAACAATATTGATAAACCTTGAAGACATTATGCTAAGTGAGATAAGTGAAATACAAGAAACACAAATACTGCATGATTTCGTTTGTGGAATCAGAGAGAGAGAGAAAGAAAGAGAAAGAAGAAAGAAAGAAAGAAAAAGAAAGAAAGAGAGAGTAGAATGGTAGTTACCATGGGCTAGGAAGTGGGGAAAAGTGGGAAGATACACACATCTTAAAGCACTCTATTTTACACCCTAAATGCATACACTTTTCAATGTGTAAATCATAGCTCAATAAATGTGGAAAAATTTTAAGATTAATCAGCAGGTCCTATCTAGCCACATGTAAACTTTATTTAAAACTCTCTTGGCCACTGTTTCTGACTCAAGCCAGGAAGGGCCCGAGTGCTTCTGGCCCCTTGACTTCTCCTACGCTCCTCCTGCTGTTACTATAGCTGAGGAAGATGTAATAGTTCCCAGGAGTTTTCCGGTTTCCAGACCTTGCAGATCGGGGAGGGCCATCAGCTGCCCCCTTGCTTGTTGCCCACAGCCCCGTTTGGCTCCAGGCAAATGTGTCAGGGCATCCTGGTGGGAGCCACAGCAGCCATCTTGGCGAAGCTGCCTTTCCATGCCTGCATTCCCGTGGCCTCTTGGCTCCCCAACTGTCCATTATGGCCCCCGTGCAGCCCTCCTCACATTACCAGTGAAGGGAATGTAACTGCAGAAGATACTAAGGAGGAAAATGAGAAAAAAAAATGTCCCGTGTATTAGAGTAATTGTCATTAGATCACCTGTGTTGCATACAGGGTCACTCTTTATCATTACTGCTGTAAAACCTGTGGCAATTGGAAGAGAAAATGATCCTGAGCATACTCTTTGAATCCCTGAAGTTGGTGTCAGTAAGTTTCATGCAGAAATTTATTTTGACCATGACTTACAAAGTTATGTCCTTGTAGATCAAGGCAGTCAAAAGAGAACAGTTGTTAATGGAAAATGGATTGTTCAACTGGAAATTAATGTGACCCTTATGTACTTGAGCATAGTCATGAACTGAAAATTGGAGAGACTGTGTTACCCTTTTACACTCATCCTAGCACTGATACCTGGGCTGGCTGTGAACCACGACAAGTTAGAGCTCACCCTTGCCTTGATAAGAAAGATGAATTGTTAATTGGACCAACTCTAAGCAAGGAGAAAAAATAGTTGGAAATAAGAAAATAATTAAAGAAAATACAATTAAAATATGTTTACAGAAACAGACTATGAAGATAAATAGACATTGAAGAATCTAAAATATAAAAATAGAGGTGGAAAACATAGTGAGCAGATTGGAAGTGAAGGAACCTTCCGAAGAGATAATTCTCCTACATCTGTTCATTCTGAAATTACCAACAGCAACAAAAGTAAGATGTTGCAGAAGATGGGTTGGATAAAAGGTGAGAGCCTGGGGAACGATGGCTGGGAATGAAAACTCTGATTCAGCTTCAGCTTCAGCGAACACCTGTAGGCTTGGGGACAGGCAATCCATCCTCATTTGAAGATGTTCACCTTCTCCAAAACAAAAACAAACATACTGGGACAAAGCATGAGATAGGTTTGCTGAAAACTTCCCAGAAACTAAACGTTAAAAAAATGACCCAGGGACCATGACTTGGGTAAAAGGGACTGTAGAGTGTAGGTTAATCACAGAGGAAAACTCAAGCTTTCTTAAAAATAGAGTTTGGAAAAGTTTGGAAACTCTTATCGATTTTATTTTATTTTATTTTATTTTCTGCAGAGCTTTTATTCCCCAAAGACTCTGTGGCACACAGGTACTGTGTCACAGTTTACCCTTTCCTGATTCAGAAATGTATAATAAAGTTTGGTTTGCAGCTTTTAAAAACCATTTTTTAAACTAATAAATAGTGACTGAATCAAGTTATGCAGTTAGTGGACTAAAGTTTACAGGGCACAGATGAGCCTATCAAACTTCATTATTTTATTTTGTCATCCATATAAGCAAAAAGCCATATAAGCAAAACTCAGGTAACCACTAATAACTTAAATGTACGTTTGTCTTTTTCTCCATATATTCACAGTAAGATGCACAGCAAGAGAAACATCAAAAGTTTATAAAAATAAATCTGACTATATGCATCATTGTTTATGCCCTTTAGAACCTAGGTAAAAGAACCTATTATACTTGATATAGCATAAATAATGTTATTGAAGATCTAATAAACTGGTGACATATTGTAGAAAATTAGTGTTTTACTGACTTCTTTGAAGAATTTGTTTATTGGTACTACATATTCAGCATTTATATTTGACTTGTTTCATAGCTAACAAGATATTTAGATATGAACAACTGAGTAGAGTATTGAAATAGTGCGCTGGCATTTGTAGTTTTCATAAATATTATTGCAGGCAATGGAATTGCACCAGAGAAATCTGATTTCTAGTGCAAAAGGAATACTTAGCGAGGACCTCAAGTTTAAGATATTTATTGAAAATGTCCTCAATTGCAATACAAACATCATAAAAAAATTTAAAACGCTCTTTTCAATAAATTATGAATTAAACAAAAAATTTAAATGATAGCTTTTATGGAGGCAGGGAAATGCTAATGAGGTAGAATGGCAATTGAAGCCGAAAGATCTTAATTCAGGTAAACAATTTTGCCCATATTAGTTTTATGTTAAAGGAAACAATGATTCTGACTATATACTATTTACTGCAGTAAAGTATTTCAGAAATTTGTGTATAATACATGATTAATTTTCTAATGGTAAAAAAAAGAACCACATCCTTCAAATTATTACAGTACTGTCTATTGAAGAGAGTGGTATTTCAAACGAAGAAACTTGGCATTTCTCATGAGGTGGTCATCTATGCCACAGAAAATCTATGTAAAATATTTTATTCATGTATGCAAATGTTGATATTTCTGCTTTTCAGGAAAATAACATGCTCTAAAAACTTAATGCAGATAACTAAAATTACCAATAAGTTGCAAGAATTCACAAAATGCCTAATATAGTTGAAAGAAAAATATGGAAACTTCTCAGGACCAGAAGAAAATAAAGGTAATGATCCAAAGAGACATCAACCTAAGAGGTACTGACCCTTCAGATGGATCTGATCACAAGGATATCAGTTCTATGTGGGTTGTTCAGCTTCTGACAAAGCAAATGGAATAAACATAGAAAAATTGCCTGTTGGCATCTGGAGTGTGCTGTCTTCCACATGTGAGAACTTAATTATAAATTATGTTGCAGAAAAGGATATACACTACTAGTGTGAAGCATTAGATCAATTATATGGCTCATAAAACTCAGATATGAAGTTTATATTAAAATGTTTGCCAATATCGGCCGGGCGCGGTGGCTCACGCCTGTAATCCCAGCACTTTGGGAGGCCAAGGCGAGCTGATCACAAAGTCAGGAGATCGAGACCATCCTGGCTAACACGGTGAAACCCCGTCTCTACTAAAAATACAGAAAATTAGCCGAGCGCGGTGGCGGGCGCCTGTAGTCCCAGCTACTCGGGAAGCTGAGGCAGGAGAATGGCGTGAACCCGGCAGGCGGAGCTTGCAGTGAGCCCAGATAGTGCCACTGCAGTCCAGCCTGGGCGAAAGAGCGAGAGTCCGTCTCGGAAAAAAAAAAAAAAATGTTTGCAATATCATGAAAAAACAAGAAACCAAAATAATGTGGAAAAAAACCTACGAGCTTGTCAAGTCGTATTTGGAAAAGAGGCAAATGGAAAGTGAAGTATTGAAAATGTAGTAAAACAATTTAATTTCTGGCATACAAATTACATTATTAAAATAGACTGAGCTAATGAGAGAACTACGAAACTGAAATGCTGGGTACAATTAATGTAGTTATATACTCTATAGAGGCAAATTAATACAAAATACAAATATATTTATACATGAACACTAGATGAGAAGAAATAAAAAAACATTTAATTGTTTTACTAGACTATAAACAGGAAGGCAATATTCAATGAATTGGTGGCTCATACGTTTCAGAAATTAGAGACACGACATGAATCTTATCAAAGTTTAGAGTGTAATGAGTCAAAAAATAAATTAAGAAATACTTAAAAGAAATAATGGTTTTGGTTATTGTGAATACTGCTTCAATAAACATGGGAGTGCAATTATCTTTTGGACATACTGATTTTATTTCCGTTTGATATATACCAAGTGGTGAGATTGCTGGATCTTATACATGGTAGTTCTATTTATAAATTCTTGAAAAACCTCCATGATGTTTTCCCTAATGGTTGTACCAATTTACATTCTCACCAATAGTGTATAAGTGCCCACTTACAGATGAATGAAGGAAATGTTACACACACACACACACACACACACACACACAGGAATAATGTTCAGTAATAAAACAGAATGAAATTCTGTCATTTATATCAACGTGGATGAACCCAGAGGACATTACGTTAAGTGAAATAAGCCAGTCAGAGAAAGAAAAAGAGCACATGATGTCACCCATATGTGAAATCTAAAAGAGTTGATCTCATAGAAGGAGAGAGTAGAATGGTGGTTACCAGATGCTAGGGAGAGTGAAGGGATGAAGGAATGGTGAGGGGTTTGTCAAAGTTACAAAGTTACAGTTAGATAGGGAGAATAAAGTCTGATGTTCTGTTACACAGGGACTACAGCTAATAATAAAGTACTGTTTATTCTAACAGCTAGAAGAGAGGATTTTGAATTTTATTAGCACAAATAAATAATAAATGTTTAAAGTGCTAGTTATGCAAATTACCCTGATTGGGTCATTATACAGAATATACATACATTGAAACATCACACTGTACTCCATAAATATGTACAATGATTATGTGTCAATTATAAATAAAATACATCTTGAAAAAAGAAGAATGATCAAAGTGCATGACACTGAAAAGAAGAAAAACTCTTAAAAGCAGTGAGATAGAAGACAGATAACTTGTGAAGCTGATGGTAAACTCTTACCTTTGTATCAAGTCAGAAAACAGAAAAATTAATATCAATAAAATATTAAAATAAAAGCTTCTGGGCAGCGTACAATCTATTAACAGAGTGATAAGACAACCTATAAAATAATAGAAAATATGTGCATCTGACAAGGAGTTAATATCCAAAATATATAAGAGACTCAACAGCAATAAAAATAAAAAGAACCCAACTAAAGAGTGAGCATAAGACATGAATAGACATTTTTCCAAAGAAGACACAAGGAAATGCTCAGCATCACTTATTATCTGAAAAATGCAATCCAAAACCACATAAGATAGTACCTCATTCCATTTAGAATGGCCATTGTCAAGAAGACAAAAGATAACAAGTTTAGATGAGGATGTGGAGAAAAAGGAACACTTATACACAGTTGGCATGAATGTAAATTTAGTACATTTTTAGATGTATTTTTTATTAGAAACTTCATGAAAAACTATGCAGGTTTCTCAAAACAAAAACAGAAACAAAACAAAACAAAAATGAAAAACCTAAAAATGAAACTACGATCTAATCCAGCAATTCCACTATTGAGTATATATTAAAAGGAAATAAAATCAGTATATTGAAGAGATACTGCACTCCCATGTTTATCATGGCTCTATTGACAGTAGCCCAGATATGGAATCGATCTTAGTGTCCATCAAGGGATAAATAGATAAAGCCAATGTGGTGTACATACACAATGGAATAGGATTTAACCACAGAAATAATGAAATCTTGCGCTGCGGGCTGACGCCGCTCTCTGGCGTAGACGACCCCTGCGCCCAGACTTCCGGTCTGGCCGAGTACCCGACAGGGGGTATCCTGCTGCAGACCCTGCTTCAGGATCACCCACCCTCCGCCTCCCAATAGCTCGGGTTTTTTTTTGCGGTCGTGGCGGCTGCTGCTCCTACTGCCGCAACTTGGAATCCAAAACGCTTCGTGGTGCTCTCAGGACAGAACCATGAACCCAGCGCAGCTGCGGTGCGTGACACCGCCAGGCACCGCCTGCGGAGGCTGACGTGTCCTCCTTGGCCTGAGCCCACCCGCAGCGCAGCGCCGAGTTGCTCCTGCTAGCGGCTGCCGGGGAGGGACTGGAGCGGCGGGACACCTTCGGGGAGCGTGCAAAGGTGGAACCGCAGCCGCCGCCACCTCTCTCTCCCCTGGGGATGTGCAAAATTACCATGAAATTATGACTTGTCATCCTGCGAGTTACCAGTTGGAAAATTGGAGTCTAGAAAATGTTGCCCCCATTTTAGCCCACCGGTTCCCCAATGGCTATATTTGGGTGATAAAGTGTTCCCGAACGCATTTGCACAAATTCAGCTGCCGTGATAGTTTTCTGAAAAGTAACATATTTGGTTGCCCAGAACACAATACTACATATATTAATTTTATAACATTATATATACTATTATATATGCACTATTGAACAACTACAATGAATCAAGCACTGCTATAAGAACTTTGTATTCATTATCTCTCAAGAATTCTCTTTGAGGTAGATTTCAGTATCTTCAAGAGGCTAATTTATAAACAATACATATATTTGAATAAGAAACTAAAACATGAAAGGCTTTTAAAATTACAATAAGGAATAAGGAATAAGGAAAGAGCATTATAGAAGTCTATAGAGTATGCATCTTTACAGAAAGTTTTAAAATTTAGAAAGTTGAATAATGTATTATTTAGAGACACCTACATATGTAGTATAATTAATAATAAAAGTCAAAGGAATTATACTTTCTCAAAACTGAGGATGAATGATTATTTTCTGTGGTAGAGAGGCAAAGAGTTATATTTGGGAAAGACTGTGTAGACAATACAGACAGCTTCAAATGTAGGAGTAAAGTTTTATTAAGTAATTGATAGGTACAGGGGGCTGAATTTATTTTTCTACAAACACACACACACACACACACACACACACACGATTTGGCCCTGTATATTCATGAATACCACATCTGTGAATTCAAACCAACCTTGAATAAAATGTAGTTAAGCATACAATGTTTACTTTTGTACTGAACATGTGCAGACATTATTGTCATTATTCCCTCAGCAATACAAAACTATTTAAATAGCATTTATGTTTCATTAAATATAATAAGTAATGTAGAGATGAATCAAGTAATATGCAAGAGATTGTGCATAGGTTATATTAAAATAATCTTTCTTTTTATATAAGAGACTTAAGCATCTAGGATTCTGGTATCCCAAGATGGCCCTGGAACCAATCCCCTATGGATACCTGTTTATCCATAAGGACAACCATATAAGGGACAACTGTGTGTGTGTATTTATATGTATAATTTTACACATACAAATATATAATATACTAGTGCTTAATATTATAATTTTTATTATAAGTGCTTGATATAAACAAGCATTAAGTTTATATGGCATACAGTACAATGTTTCACTTAGTCATTTTCCATCTGTACAACAAACCCCCCATGACACAAGTTTACCTACGTAACAAATCTACACTTTTACACCTGAACTTAAAATTATAATTTAAAAAATGTTATTTTTCAAGATCCTATTGATGACATTAAGTGGACACTTACTGAAAATGTATTTTATTGATGTTTAATATATAGATTTATGCAGTCTCATTTTACTTTTTTGTTGTTGTTGCTTATGCTTTTTATGTCATATCCAAGAAAGTATTGTCAAGATCAAAGTAATAATTCTCTCACCGTGTAAGACATATTTGGAATATTTTATTCAAAAAATTTTATAGTTATAGTTTTTACATTGAAATATTTAAGATAGTTTTTATATACGGTGCAAGAGAAGCATCCTACATTGTTATTTTTCATTTGGTTGATTGTCAGTTTTCCAACATCATTTGCTGAAAAGACTATTCTTTCTCCATTGTGTGGTCATATCAACCCATGCGCAGGTCATCTGATTATATTCACAAGGGTTTATTTTGGGGTTTTCTGTTCTGTTTCATTACCTCTTTCTCTTTATACTAGTACCTTACTGTTTTTATTTCTGTAACTCTGATATGTTTTGAAATCAGAAAATATGATGCCTTTAACTTTATACTTCTTTTCTAAAGCTATGGTGGCTATTCATGGTGGCTTGAGATTTCATATACATTTTAGATATTTTTTATGTTTCAGCAAAAACATACCATTGTGATTTTCCTAAGGATTACATTGAACTTGTATGTCATTGTGGGCAGTATTAACATTTTAACAATATGAAGCCGTCTGACTCTTGAACAAGAGTGGGTTCAAGGGTGTATTGCTTAAGTTCTGCATATTTTGGGATATGACAGTTTTCCTTCTGCTTGTAGTTACTAGTTTCATTTTGTTGTGGCCAGAAGGAATATAGTCTCAGTCTTTTTAGATTTAATAAGACTTGTTTTGTGTCCTAATGTATTGTCTTTCCTTAAGTGTGTGTTATGTGATTGGGAATATTGCTTATTCTGCTATGGTTGACTGAAAAGCTCTATATATGTCTACTAGGTCTAACTGGTCTTTAATGTTGTTCAGGTTTTCTTTTGTATTGATCTTTTATCTGTTTTTTCTATTTACTACTAAAAGTGGAGTATTAAAGCCTCCCACAATTATTGTGTCGATGTATACTTCTTGCTTTGTTTCTGTCAATATTTACATATTTGGGAACCCTTATATTATGTGCCTATTTATATTTATACATGCTGGAGATTCCTGGCAAATAGGTGCTTTTATCATTACATAATATTATCCCTTGTCTCTTCTGACAGTTTTAATCTAAGGAGTATTTGGGTTAAAATAAGTATGGTGACCCTGTCCTATTTTGGTACTATTCATGTGGATTGTCCTTTTTCATCCTATTTCTTTCAGCCTATTTAGTTCTTTAGACCTAAAGTGAGTCTCTTAAAAACACCATATTTTTGGATATTGTTTATTGTGAATCCATTTATGCATTTTATGCCTTTTGTATAGAAAGTTTAATTGACTTATCTTTAAAGTAATTACTGAATAAAATAGAATTTCCATTTCCATTCAATTATTTTCTGTTTCTTTTAGTTACGTTTTTTTCTCCTTTCCCCTCTTACTGCCTTTTTTGGTCATTGTTGATTTTGTAAGGACATATTTTGATTTATTTTTTATTTTCTTTTGTGTACCTTTCATAGTTTTTTTTTTTTTTGTGATCACCAGGAGGAATAGAGAGTATATAAAACACTTTAAAATTATATCCATATATTTTATCTCATAACAACTTAACTTTGTGCACAAAAAGATACCTCTTTACATCTTTTCTTTACCTTATCAAGTTAATACAACAAAATTTTATCTTATTATTTTTACAACATAGATTTTTATATTGTGTATTTAACAAGCATATGCAAATTTTTAATGTTTTTACAATTTTATAGCAGAATTATGTGTATTTTATGCACCATCATTATGATAATAGAAAATTCTCTATTTTTTTGTATACTTACCTTTAACAGAGAGTTCTATATTTTTATATGGCTTTATAATTAGCTGTCTAGCATTGTTTTATTTTTCAACATGAAAGTCTCCTTTTAGCATTTCTTGTATGGATGTTCTAGTGATGATGAACATCATGTATGTTTTTTAAATTTTAGTAACAGGTGGACTTACTATGGCTATTGTACTAGTCTTTTTATAACACTGTTATAAAAACTATATGAATCTGAATAATTTATAAAGAAAATAAGTTTAATTGACTGACAGTTATACAGGCTTAACAGGAAGCATGACTAGGAGGGCTCAGGAAACTTACAATTATGGCAGAAGGCAAAGGGAAAACAAGCATGTCTTCACAATGGTGGAGCAGGAGAGAGAGAGAGAGAAAGGGTAAGTGCCACACATTTCAATCATCAGCTCTAAGTAGTCACCCACTATCATGAGAACAGCATGGGGAAATCAACCCCCATGGTTTATCAGTTTCCTCCCTTGACACCTGGGGATTACAACGTGACTTGAAATTTGGGTGGAAGCATGGAGCTAAAGCGTATCAGTTATATTGTTACTTGTGTTTCTTGTTTATAGCTATTTTTTCCTAGTTTTCTCTCTTTCTGCTTTTCTTGTGTCTCATTGATTCTTTTCTTTTGTGGCAATATGCTGTGGTTCCTTTCTCATTTTCTTTGCTGTATCTCTACAGGTATTTTTCGTGGTTATCAGGATGATTAAATAAAACATCTTGAAGTTACAATATATTTTCAGCTGGTAACAAATTAACTTTCATTGCATACAAAATTTTCTCTCTTTGCATCTCTCTTCAAACTTAAATTACATTATATATTTCTGTTTTTATATTTTATATAACATATCCATTAACAAAGGTTTATGATTGTTTTTATGCTCTAGTCTTTCAGATTCTATAAAAGAAATAGAATGCTTTATGCACCATTATTATGATGCTACAGAATTATATATTTGTATATGTACATACCATTCTTAGAAAGCTATATCTTTATATAATTTTGTTGTTGCTTTTTTTTAAGGCAGGGTCTCACTGTCACACAGGCTGGAGTGCAGCTGTTTGACCACAGCTCACTGAAACCTAGAACTCCTAGGCTCAAGTGACCCTCCCACTTTAGCTTTTTGAGTAGCTGGAACCACAGGCCTGCAACACCATGCCCAGTTAATTTTTAAAATTTTTATAGAGATGGAGTCTCAACATGTTGCCCAGGCTTGTCTTGAACTACTGGGCTCATGCAATTCTCCCAGAGTGCTGGGATTACAGGTGTGAACCACCACACCTGGGCTGATTTTGTGTTTCTGTCTGGCATCAAGACAAACTCTAGGATATGAATGGGGTTGTATATTGTATCTGAGTTCAAGTATAAATGGTGAAAAGAAAAGTTAGAAGCAGGTGCCACAGGAAAATATAGAAGGGGACGGAATAGGTGGGGTGAGTAAGTTTCCCTGAAGAACGTGATATGTGTTGGGTCCTGGTAGATGGAAAGTGAGCAGGGAAGAACATTCTAGAAAGAGAGAAGAGCCCAGAGGCCCAAAGCAGAGACAAATGGGGGGTCAGTGGCGAATTTGGTACCTTTTTTGGTAGTAATAAGATTTTTGCACCTCTATGGTTGCCTGGTCTTCAATTCTACTTGCAGAATCTGTGCATGTCATTTAAACTTTTTGAGCTCTGGTGTCTCATTTCAGCCTCTTGTTGTTTTGGAGGCAGATCTCAGGTCCAGGAGGCCCAACTTGATGAGCTCTTGGACCAAATAAGGCATCAAAGGCATGAGGAAATACTAAAGTTTCATCTAAGAAAGGCCAGAGATTTTCTGAAGAACATGAAATCCAGGTTGGCTGACGAGACCCTGAAAGACAGAAGAGGCTGGCCTGAAATTTATAATTATGGTCACAGGCAGCCCACTCAGGAGCCTAGTAGGTTAGTCAGCAAGCTGAGGACTAAAGTTTTGCCTCTAACATAAGGGAGTGTTGTGGTCATTTGCAGCTTTACTCTGAGCCCATACAGAAGCTTCAAGAGAGAATGTTGAAAAGTTTATGGAGGAAGGTTCTAGGACAATGTACTTTAAAGTGTGACATAAAGTGTGTGTTGAAAAAGGTAAAATTGATGAGTCTTTTTATACATAGAAGATAAATTGTTATTATCTTAAGCAAGACTCTTATAATTATGCAGTGTTTTATGTAAGCCTCGGTAATTACAAGAAAAAAATTACAATAGATATAAAAAAGAAAAAGGATCAAAGCATATAACAACAGTAAAAGCAAAAAAAAAAATTAGCAAAAGCACAAAGGAAGACAGCATAAAATCTACTAAATGATCAGACAGCAATTAACAAATTGGCAGTAATAAGTACTTGCCTATCAATAATTTTTTAAATATAAAAGTCTAATTATCTAATAAAAACACGCTGTTATGGTATAAATGTCCCCTCCAAAATTTATGTTAAAATTTAACTCCCTTTGTTACAAAATTAGGAAGATAGACATTTAAGAATTTACTGGCTGGGTGCAGTGGCTCACGCCTGTAATCCCAGCACTTTGGGAGGCTGAGGCAGTTGGATCAGGAGGTCAGGAGATCGAGACCATCCTGGCTAACACAGTGAAACCCTGTCTCTACTAAAAATATAAAAAATTAGCGGGCGTGGTGTTGGGTGCCTGTAGTCCCAGCTACTCAGGAGGCTGAGGCAGGAGAATGGCATGAACCCGGGAGGCGGAGCTTGCAGTGAGCCGAGATGTCGCCACTGCACTCCAGCGTAGGCGACAGTGTGAGACTCCGTCTCAAAAAACAAAACCAAAACAAAAACAAAAGTTTGTAGGGACATGGATGAAATTGGAAACCATTATTCTCAGTAAACTATCGCAAGAACAAAAAACCAAACACCGCATATTCTCACTCATAGGTGGGAATTGAACAATGAGATCACATGGACACAGGAAGGGGAATATCACACTCTGGGGACTGTGGTGGGGTGGGGGGAGGGGGGAGGGATAGCATTGGGAGATATACCTAATGCTAGATGACGAGTTAGTGGGTGCAGCGCACCAGCATGGCACATGTATACATATGTAACTAACCTGCACAATGTGCACATGTACCCTAAAACTTAAAGTATAATAAAAAAAAAAAAAAAAAAACTAAAACAAAAAAACAAAAGCCGGGCGCGATGGCTCACGCCTGTAATCCCAGCACTTTGGGAAGTCGAGGCGAGTGGATCACGAGGTCAGGAGATCGAGGCTAGCTTGACCAACATGGTGAAACTCTGTCTCTACTAAAAATAGAAAAGTTAGCTGGCGTGGCGGTAAGCGCCTGTAATCCCAGGTACTAGGGAGGCTGAGGCAGGAGAATCGCTTGATCCTGGCAGGCGGAGGTTGCAGTGAGCCAAGATTGCACCACTCCACTCCAGCCTGGGCGACAGAAAGAATTTGCTAGGCCATGAGGGCTCTACTCTCATGAATGAATTAATGTCGTTATTTCCAGAATGAATTAGTTGTCGTGAGAGTGGTTCCATTATAAAAGTAAGCTCTCTGGTGTACACCTTCTGTCCTCGTTATGCCTTTGACCATTTTGTGACGTGGAAATATGATTCTCATCAGATGGCAATGGCATGTTCTTGGACTTTCAGCCTCTAAAGAAATGAGCTAAGTAAACTTCTATTCTTTATAGTTTACCCACTCTAGGATATTCTGTTTTTGAAGCAGAAAATGAACTGAAACATTCACAAATGTCTAAAGAGATTAACAAATTTACCAGTATATTTTACATAAGAAATTTTTTAGATTTAAGGGCATGCATAAGTTGCTGGTTAAATAATAAAAAAATACTATGCCAATAATAACTAAAAGAGTATATTAGTGGCTATATTTATATAAGACAAAATAGACTTCTAGAAAAAAATCTGTCAGGAGATATAGAGAAGTTGACTATATAATGATAACAAGCTGATCTGTCAAAAGGCTATAACTATATATGAACCCAACATTGGAGCACATAAATATATAAACATATGTATATATGTATATAATATAATAATAGTATGTCTATATAATATTTATATAAGAATGTATTTTATATATGACTGTAGAAAAAAACATAATTATTATCGTAATAGAAGATGCTATTACTCTACTTAAAACGTTTTAAGTAGTAAGAAAACAATGTACTTGCAAAGCACTATAGAACAAGTGCACCTAACAGTGATAAACAGAATATTTCATTCAACAGTATTTGAATACACATTCTTCTTGAGCACACATGGAATATTATCCAGGATATATCGTATGTTGGGCCAACAACAACAAGAAAATCTCTAAAAATTTAAAAAGATTAAAATTAATGAACTTTTTAAATTACAGTTTTTTAAAACTAGAGATCAATAAGAGAAAAAAATTTAAAAACTCACAAATATGTGGATATTAAACAACATATTTCTGAAAAACACATGGTCAAAGGGGAAAAGAAAAAAGAAATCACAAAGTATCTTGAGAAAAGTAGAAATAAAAACACAACATACAACAACTTCTGGGATGCAAAAAAGCAGTTCTAAGACAAAAGGTAACACTGATATATTTCTATAATAAGAAGAAAGAAAGATCTCAAATAAGCAGCATGACTTTGATTTGCAAAAACCTTGAAAAAAACTAATTACTCTCAATGTTAACACAATACACAAAATAATAAAAAAAGAACAGAGATTCAATAAAAACTTGAAAGACAACAAAAAACATAAAAGCAGATAATAATTTACATATGAAAGTTATCTAAATTAAATAATTTAAAAAATGAGAAAATTTTCTTTTTTATTTTCAAATTGAAAGATTAAATCTCTTATTTTTATTTTGTGTTTATGCTTACAATAAACTGGTTGCAAAATTTTATCCTGAACTCTTAGACATTCTATTTCCAGTAGGGTTTGTATTTAGGCACATGGGTTTGTGAAAGAGGGTTTGTGGAGAAGAAAAAAGCAGACTAAGAGAAAGTGATACAAAAAAACCCATGAGTAGGGAACAGTGCATAGTTGGTGAAAGGACTGGTTAGTGCTATAGACACTGGCACACACAGGGTAACTCTGATTTCTAAATGTGTGTATGCAGGCAGATGAGATGGACAGAGGGTCGAGAAGCCTAGGCTACTGGAGAAAATAGGTCACGGTGCAGATGCAAGATCTGGGCATAGAAGTAAGCCATGAGTCCACTGGGCACTTATGTAGCATATTAGTGGAAAACTCTAGAAGGAGAGGTTCTGTCAGCACAGTTTCTCAGGGTGATGCCTTGTCATGGGAGGGGTGTATCTACATCATTGCCTAGTGTGTATGTGTGTGAGTGTGCAGGAATCACTTTATAGCAGCAGGGTGAGGAGAGGAGTCTTCCTTCAGAACTCCATCCCTTTTAATCCTCAGTTCCCTCTGACCCCTAGATGGGACCTATTGTCACAAGACAATTCACACTGTGACAGCATGTGTGTAAAAGAATAGAGTCTTTATTCCCCAAAAGACCCACAGTATACCTCCAGCCGAGGCTGCTGTGATGTCTTTGTTCTAACACCAAATACATGGAGTTTGTTGAACACCAACCAATTCATCAACACCAACTGGGAGTTTAACATCTTAATTCTGACACCACCCAGAGTTGGCATAGACTCCACAAGTTCAGGACTCAGTCCCACAGCACCATCCCCACTGCACATGCCTGTCACAACGAACATGGGCACGTCTATGCTTCTGAGCATCTATCTATAAATCATAAGCTCCCATAACCCTTTTCATGAAGTTTAATAATTAATAAAACTACTCACAGAACTTGGCAAAACATTTCACCTATGCTTGCCAGGTTATTATAATAAATACAGTTCAGAAAAAGCCAAATGCAAAAAATGGATACAGCAAAGAAAAGCATAAAAGAAAGACAGGGTGGGTAGTGAGTCCTGGTAAATAGTGACATTTAAGAAAACTCTCTAATTCTTTGTGTTCTGTGAGAAAACTTACTGCAGAGAAACACCTTTACCATTGTTACCTAGATGGTACATCCTGTTTTAGATATCACAGATTCATAGATTCTCCACATTCCCATTTGCTCCTCATAAACAATTAAATACTTTTGTCTTCAGAGTTCAGAAGAAAATACTTGTTAGGCACAGGTTGCTTGTTTCTTTTTTCCCCCGGGACCCTGGCCTCTGCTCCGTCTTCAGTCTGAGTAAACATATAACCATACAACCCCTTTTATGCCCCTCCCAAGAACAGGCTGATTTCAGGGTGAAACCATCTCTAATCTTGAAGGATTTTGTCACTCTCCATGGGGCCCTTCCTCTCCCACCCTTCTTTCTAATATACCTTGCTCCTCCATTTCAAAGACAGCTCTTTTCTGCCTAGTATTTTAGATGTTTGCAGATATTATGCTTGATGCTTCCACCATTGCAATACTTCTTTAGGTTAAAGTCTCTGAATTTATTTTATTTGAAAATATCTAGAAACAGCCCCAGGACAATAACAATTACACCCTCACAGAGAACATCTCAGTCGTCCTCCTATCTCACATGACACTGTATCTGCCTGTGGATCTCCACAGTTGAGAAGGTGATATACATTTTGGCCCAGCTCACAGGCACTATGATAAATCTTATACATGAGCCAAGCCAAAAGGAGAGATTTTGACTCTCATAGCTAGGCTTCAAGCAATGGGTAAAGTCCTGGATCTTCTACTTTTATGAAGGTCAAAGGATTATAAAACCCATGTGTGTTGAATATACCCCTTGAGTGGTACAGAGAGTGTCATAACAGGACCCAGTTCACAGGTGAGATATAGAGATCTGTATGGCCACAGAACCAAAAGTAGAAATTGTCACATGCCCACATGTACATAACCCACAACTGAGGTTCTAAGCTCACACCCATGGGCAGGGGGAAGTTGGAGTTGTGACTCTCACAGGTGGATCCAGTCCACAGGCGAAATGGTGACTCTCTCACCAAGATTCAGCACAGCATTGAGGCTGTGACTCCCTTACCAGGACATAGCTTGGAGAAGGGATTGGGGCTCTCATGTGAGGATGCAGTCCACTGTTGAGATTGTGACTCAAGTACTTGGACCCAACGCAACAGGAGTTCTACCTGGAGTGGAGAAATGTTTGGATTTGGAGGTCTCATTACTGGGCCTTCCCACAGGTATAATTGTGACATACAACTAGAACCTTAGTGATTTCACAGTGCTTCTGGGCTCAGCACAGATATATCTTGTGACTTATACCTGGAATAAACACCTAGGTGATGTGACTATTTTGCCTAGACACTTCCTTCAAAGGAATTGTGATGTATCTCTCTACTTTGCACCTAGGTGATATAAATCTTTTCCCCTACTTAGACCCTGCTCACAGGTAAGGTTATAACATATCACTAAGCCTGGTACTTAATGATGTGACTCTCTGATCCTGTTTGTGCCCTGCCCTCAAGAAGCATTGTGACATCACTGGGCTAAGCAACAAGGTAATCTTGCTTATGTGTGTCTTCTGTCTAGGCCATGTGCACAGGGGGCATTGAGAAATATCTCTGGACCAATCACCTAAAAGATGTGACTCTCCTCACTTGCCTGGACTCTGCTCAGAATAGAGATTTCGACACATCAGTGGGTTCAACACCTAGGTGATGCGGCTCTTCCTTCTTTTCTGGGCTCTTCCATCAGAGAAGATTGTGACATTTTCTGAGCCCAGCACTCAAGTGAGGTGACTTGTCTCCCTGGACTCTCCCCACAGACAGCATTGTGAAATATCTTTGGGATCATCACCTAGGTAATGTGAATCGCCTCTGCTTCATGGGCTTTGCACTCAAAAGGGCTTGTGATTTTCATGGGAAGCACCACCCAAGTGATTTGATTCTTTTGGATGGGGGGCTGGGATCTGCCAACAGGAATAATTTTTACATATTGCTTGGCTAAACCCCTAGTTAATAGGACTCTTATCTCCTACTTGGGCCCTCCCTGCAGTGTGTTTTGTGTCATATCTTTGGGCTGAGCACGGAGGAGTTGAGACACTCCTTCCTTGGCACTCCCCAAAGGGAATATTATTACATATCTTTGGGCCAGTCACATAGGTGATGTGACTCTCCTCTATTGCCTGGAAACTTTTTACAGTTGGGATTGTAACATATTGCTGGGTCCAGCACCAGGTGATGTTATTCTTATCCCAGGGCCCAGCCCACAGAAGAAATTGTGGCATATCTCTGGGCCCATCACCTAGGTGATGTGGTTCTGCTCTTCTGCCTGGACACTTTCCCCAAGAGTAATTGGGACATATTGTTGGGCCCAGCTCCCAGGTGATGTAACTATCCTGCCTTGGCTCTGTGCACAGGGGGGATTGTGACATATTTCTTGGCCAAGCAGCTGGGTGATATGACTCTCCTGAATGGGCCCTGCTCCCAGAGAGGATTGTGACCCATCACTGGGCCAATCATGTGGGTGATGTGTTTCTGCTCTGTTGCCTGGGCTCTGGCCAAAGTAAGAATTGTGACATATAGCTGACCCAGCACCCAGGTGATTAAACTTTTGTGACTGGTCCCTGCTCACAGGTAAAATTGTGACATATATATAGTCACAGGTTAAAAGTGAAATGATGACTGTCATACGTGGGATCCAGCTAAGAGAAGAGATTTTGACCCTCATAGCTAGGGTTAGGGCAACAGTCATGGTCCTTGGTCTCTTACTTTAACAAAGGTCATAGTGTATTATGACACCAAAGCACATTGTATAAAGCCCTCAGGTGGTACAGAGTGTGTCATAACAGGACCCACACAAAGGTGAGGCTGTGACTCTCATATGTACATCCAGCTGACAGAATTGTCATCCTCACACATGGCCAGTACTCAGTGGTGAGGTCCTAAATCTCATGTGCAAACGCAATACAGATTTGGAATTGTGACTGTCATACATAGATGCAGCCACAGGTGAGATAGTGACTCATTTTTGAACCCATCTCACAGGCACAGCAATAAAGCTTATACCTGGGCCCAGTCAACAAGAGAAATTCACAATCCTGGACATTTTCCAGCTAAAGGTATTAGAGTCAACCCGTCTTGTGGGTTGAGTCCAAGTATGCAAGTTAATCACAACAGTGGAGTAAATCAGTACACAAAAGCCCAAATCTCACCTGAAGACTATGTTTTAATAGGGAAATTACAGTCCCCAGGTGTTCTAAATCCTGGTCTTGGAGTTATCATCCCATCTGTGGATTGGATTGATTTATGAGGTTCACATTTCCAACTTTATGGCCTCTTGACATGTGATTCAGAACCTCAACAGTGGGCTTTGTTCATGTCGGAGGGTGACAATCCTTACTTGTGGCTGGGTGTGCATACAACTGCCACATTTTCACCTATGTGATGAACTACATTATGGCATTTTTTGTAGCACTTGATGGCTTTATACAATGTGCACGAAGGTCAAAACACTCCATGACCACCCTACAAGTTGAAGACCCAGGACCTTCATTTTTGCCATAAGACTAACTACAAGAGTCAAAATGTTTTCAGGTATGAGTCATCATCCCACCTGTAAGCTGTGCCTATGTATATTTCACAATTCCAATTGTGGAGAGAGACAAGGCACCAGAGTCACATCACCTGGATGCTGGCCACAGATATGTCACAATTCCCACTTTAGCCAGGATCTAGGCAGCAGAGGAGCCCCAACACCTAGGTGATTGGCCCAGTGAGAGGTCAAAATCCCCCCTTGGAGCAAGAGCAATTCAGGAGGGTCATATGACCTAGGTACTGGAAATAGCAATGTGTCAAAATGCCCTCTGTGGGCAGGGCCAAGGCAGGACAGTTACATAACCTGGGAGCTGGGCCTGGTGATACGTCGCAATGCCTCTTGGGGGCAGGTTCAGGCAGGAAGGCAGAGTTACATCACCTAGGTGATAGGCCCAGAGAGATTTCACAATACCTTCTCTAATTAGAACCCAGGCAGAGAAGTTACATCATTTGCATTAAGGGCCCAGTGATATGCCTGTCACAATCTCAACTAAAGGCAGGGCCTGGGCAGGAAAGAAGAGTCACTTCACTTTGAGGATTGCCCCAGAGATATACCATAATTTCCCCTGAGGGCAGGGCTCATGCTGAAGAGTCATATAAATAAAGTGCATGGTCCAGGTGTATGTGACAATCTCAACTGTACACTGGGCCCAGGCAAGAAAGTAAAATCAACCAGGTGCTGGGAAAGGGTATATATCACAATCACACCAGAAGAAAGTTTTCAGGATAAGATTCAAAATCCCACTAATGTCCCAGCTTCACTTATGACAGTCAACATATCTTGTGAGATGTGTTCAAGTACTCGAGTCACAACCTCAACAGTGGACTTGATCAGTGCATGAGAATCTGAACTCCTCTTGCAGACAGTGTCCCAGTAGGGGAGTAACAGCCTCACAGGCGTTCTGAATCTTGGTGTGAGAGTCACCATCCTACCTGTGGACTGCATCCATGTGTGAGAGTCACAGTTCTAACTTTTGACTGCCTCTGAATGTGAGATTCAGAATGTTGTAAGTAGGCTGGGTTTTTGTGGGAGGGTGAGAATTCACATATGTCAGCCAGGTGTGCATATGAGAGTCACAATCTCACCTGTTTGCTGGTTCCTGTTATGACAGTCTGTGCCACCTGATGGTTTTACATGGTATATGTGCACAATCTGCTTTGAGATTTTTGTGCCTTCCTAGGTATGTGTTACAACCTCAAATGTATAATTATGCCCACTGTCCTAAGACCAGGCATGACCGTCAACATCTCTCTTGTTTATTGGGTCCAGTTATGAAAACCATTTATGCCCCTGTGACCTGGGTACAGAAATGGGTCAACATCCCTCCTGTGGTTCAATCCACATGTGACAGGCACAATTCCAACAGTGGACTGTATATTTCGGTGAGGCTCAGGAACTCATTATTCTGCTCTGTCCATGTGTATGGGTGACAATTGTAACAGTCAGCTGGGTGTTCATACAATAGTCACAATCTCAGTGTTGTGCTGGGTACTATTAAGACATTCACTGTACCATCTGAGGGTTTTACACAATATGCGTGTGTGTGGTAATCACCTGTTATTATTATTTTTTTAAAGTAGAAAACTCAGGACTTTATTTTTTGGCTTAAGCCTAGCTGTGAGAGTCAACAGCTCTCTTATTGGCTGGGTGCAGGTATAAGAGTCATCACTGGGCCTGTAAGCTGGGTATAGATATGACTCACCATCTGATCTTTGGCCAGATTCACATTTGCCCATCAATATTCTAACTGTGTATTTTGTCCTCATATGAAAGTTAGGACCTCACCAGTAAGTTTGGTCAATTTGTGAGGGAAACAATGCTAATTGTCATCTGGGTGTGCCTATTGAATCACTATTTTACCTCTGTGCGGGGCCCTGATATGACACACTCTATATTATCCAAGGGCTTTATAAAATATGCATGAGTGTTGTAATGTTATGTGACCTTTCTACATGTAGAAGACCTGGATCCTTACTTGTTTCCCTCAGCCTAGCTATAAGAATCAAAATCTCTTCTATTGGCTGGGTCCACATATAAGAGAGTCTTCATTATACCTGTGGGCTGAACCTAATTATATGTGACAATCCCACCTGTGGGCAAAGACTAGGAGGGAGACTCACATCAACTAGGTGTTGGGCCGGTGATATGTCAATATTTTTCCTGTGGGTGGGGTCCTGGCAATAAAAATTGTATCTTCTGGGTGCTAGGCAAAACAATATGTCACAATCCACCCTGTAAACATGTTCCAGGAAGAAAACAGTCATGTCACCTAGGTGATGGTCCCAATGACATGTCATCATTCTTCCTGTAAACAAACTCAAGATAGAAAGAGTCACATAATGTAGGCGATGGGCCCAGTGATATCTCACAATGACTCCTGTGGTCTGGCCCAGGCAGAAAGGGAGAGTTACATTACCTAGGTTATTGGCCCAGAGATATGTTACTATTTCCCCGGATGGCAGAGTCCAGGCAGGAAAGTTGCATTATCTACGTGCTAAACCTAAGTATATTTTACAATCTAAATTGTAGGCTGGGCCTGAGCAAAGGTGTATGTCACAGTCACAGCTGTGTAAATGTCCAGAGATAAAATTTGCAATCTCTCGTATGCTCCAGCTTTGGATTCAGAGGCAATAGTTCCTGTGAGTTGCACCCAAAAGGCAGGTAACAACCTCAGCAGTAGACTAAGCCCATGCATGAGAGTCCCATCCCTGCCTGCACATAGTGTCCCAGTAAAAAATAAAAACATCACAAGGTGCTGAAACTTGGTCCAGAGTCGCCATCCTACCTGTGCATAGAATCCACATATGGCAGAAACAATGCAAACTTCTGACTGCCTCTAGATGTGAGATTCAGAACTTTAACAGTGGGCTGTGTTCATTTGGAACGTGACAATACTGTTGGCTGGGAGTGCATATAAGAGTAACAATCTCACCGGTATTTTGAGCCCTTTTATGATGCTCTCTGTACCACCCGAGGGAATTATAAAATAAGCCTAAGAGTCGCAACACTCTCTGAAACCTGCATGCTTGGGTGGACACACGATCTTACACATTGTTTTAAGCCCAGACAGGAGAGTCAACATCTCTCTTATTGGCTGTGTCCAGGAGTGAGATTCATCAATGTGCCTGTGAGTGGGCTCCAGAAATAAATCACCATCATACCTGTGGCCATCACAATGTCAATTGTGGACTGCATGCATGGAAGTTTTAGGACCTCAGCTGTGGGCACTGTCTGTGTATGAGGGTGACAATATTAAGTTTTGACTGGATGTGTATATGAAAGTAACAACCTCAACTATGTGCTGGGCCCTGTTTTTGCATATTCTTTACCACCTGAGGGAATTACACCATATGCTAGAATTTCATAGTCCTCTGTGACCTCTGTACAGGTAGGAAACTCAAAACCTTACCCATTGTCCTAAGGCTAGGTACGAGTTAATATATATCTTATTGGCTTGGTCTAAGTATGAGAATCAACACCATGCTTGTAAGCTGGATCCAGATATTAGTCATCATCCAGCCTGAGGGCAGATCCACATATGACAGTCACAGTTTCAACTCTGAACTTCATCCATGTGTGAGATTTAGAATCTCACTAGTGGACTCTGTCCATGTATGAAGGTGACAATCCTAATTGTTGGCTACATGTGTCTTTGAGAGTCACAGGCTCACCTGTTTGCTGGGCTGTGTAATGTGACTCTCTCTATACACCCCAAGGGCTTTATAAAATACATGTGAGTGTCATAATCTTCTGTGACCTTTTTACAATTAGTAGACCATGGACCTTAGTTGTTGCCCTAAGCCTAGCTGTTAGAGTCAAAATTTCTCCTATTGGCTTGGTCCATGTAAGAAAGTCATCATCATGACAGTTGCGTGGTCCAAGGTAAAGGTCACAACTTCACCTGTGAGCAGAACCAAGAAGGAAAGTCACATCACCTGAATGCTGGGCCATGGAAATGTCAATATCCCTCTATGGGCAGGACCCACACATAGAGGAGAAAGTCACATCACTTTTGTGCTAGGCTCAGTGATATGTCACAATGCCCACTGTATGCAGAACCCAGTCAAAAGAGTCACATCACCTAGGTGCTGGGCTGAGCAATGTGTCACAATCCCACCCATTCTCAGGGCCCAGTTATGAAAGGACAGTCATCCACCTAGGTAATATTCCCCTATTTCTGTTACTGGAGGCAGGACACAGGCAGGAAAGCAGAGTCTCATCGTCTAGGTGAAGGGCTCAGAGATACACTACAATATCCCTTGTGGCCAAGGCTCAGGGAGGACAGTCACATCATTTAGCTGTTTGGGTTAGGTATATGTCACAATCCCAACTATTGACAGGGCTTAGGCAGGGAGGTAAAGACAATCAGATTCTGAGAAAAAATTACATGTCAAAGTCACATGTGCAGGAAGGTCCTGGGATGAGATTCACAGCACCTCACATTTTCTGGCTCAAGGTATAAGAGACAACACCTGTGATTTGTGTTAAGGTACACAAATCACAATATCAGTGATAGACAGTATTCATACATGTAAGCTCCAACCTCAACTGCAATCACTGTCTAATTAGGGCAGTCACTGCCTCACAGGTATGCTGATGTTTAGTATAAAAGTCACCATTCCACCTGTGAACTGGTTCTATATATGAGAGTCACAATGTCAACTTTCAACTGATCTGGATGTGATATTCAGAATTTCCACAATGGACTGTGTCTATACGGGAAGATGACATACCTCAGTGTATGTTCTGGGTGCATAGAGCAATCACAATGTCACCTGCGTGCTGGGTGTTTATAAGATACCTTCTGTGCCACTTAAGAGCTTCGTATGGTCTGCATGAGAATGAAACCTGCTCTGAGACCTTAATGATGGTATAAACCCATGATCCTACATGTTGCCCTAAGTTCAGGTATGAGAGTCATCAATGTGCCTGTGATCTGGGTCCAGAAATGAGAAACCATCTCATTTGTGGATGGATCCAGATATGACAGTCACAATTCCAACTGTGAATTGTTTCTGTGAGTGAGAACCAGGACCTCATGAGTGGGTTCTGTTCACCTTTAATCCTAACTTGGGCTGTGTGCATACAAAAGTCCCAATAAGGATTTTGAGCTGGGCTCTCTTTTAATACTCTCTGTACCACCTTAGGGCATTATACAATATGCATGAGTGTTGTAATTCTTTGAGACGTCTGTAAAAGTAGGAAGCCAAGGATCTTATCTCTTGCAGTAGGCCTAGATACAAGAGTCAACATGTCTTCTATTTCCTGGGACCAGGCATGAGAGACATTGACATGCCTATGAGCTGGGTCCAGAAATGAGTCACCTTCCAACATCTGTTATATGTGCCAGATACACATATGACAGTCCCAATTCTAACTCTGGACTGTTTGCACATGTGAGATTTACAACCTCACCAGTGGGCTTTGTCCATGTGTGAGACTGACAATCCCAATTTTTGGATAGTGTGCCTATGAGAGGCAAAATTTTACTTCTGTAATGGACTCTGATAAGTCCCAAGTATTTTACAAAATAGTCATAAGTGTTATAATCATCTGTAATTTTTATAAAATTAGGAGACTGAGAACCTTACTGATTATTCTAACCTTAGCTATGAGAGTGAAAATCTCCCTACTGGCTGGGCCATCATATGACAGTCATCATTATTCCTGTGTCCTGAACCTAGTTATATGTCACAATTCTACCTGTGGGCAGAACCAGGCAGAAGAGTCACATCACCTGAATACTGAGCCAGATATATATTAGTATCCCTCCTGTGAGTTGAGTGCTGGTAAAAATTTCATGTCACTATGGTGCTGGGAGCAGTGATGTGTCACAATGTCTTCTGTGGGCAGAACCCATGCTGAAGAATTACATTGTGTGAGGGCTGAACTCAGCAAAATGTTACAATCCCCTTTGGGAATGGGGCCCAGGGAGGAGAGGACAATTACATCACCTGGAAATGAGACCAGAGATGTATCACCTGGAAATGAGACCAGAGATATATCACAATGCCATCTGTGAGAAGGGACTAGGCAGGAGGGCCACATTATCAAGGTTATTGACTTAGGTCTATGTCACAATCAAACTATCAAACTGTGGGCTTTCTTCGGGCAGTATATTCAAATCAGTCAAGTTCTGGCTGGGCAAAAATATATGTCACAGTCACACCTGTGGGAAGGTCTGAGAATGGAATTTACATTCCTGCACATGTTCTGGGTCCAGGTATTGAAAAGTATGCACCTAATAAACTTTTACACACCTCGTGTGTCCAAGTATGCAAGTCATAATTTCAACAGTAATTTGGATCCATGCATGAAAGCCTCAACCTCAGACAACTAACATATTTGCTCAATTTTGGTCACAGACTCATCATCTCACCTGAAGGCTGAATACACATATAAGGGTAATAATAACCACTTTTGACTGCCTTTGCTGGTGAAATTCACAACTTCAACAGTGGGCTGTGTCTATGTGGGAGTGTGAAAATCTTTACTGTTGGCAGTGTATGCAATGAGAGTAAAGCCTCAACACTGTGCTGGGCAACACAGGGAGACCCTGTCTCTACAAAATGTAAAATAAAAAAATTTAGCTGGGCATGCCTGTGTTCTAGCTACTCAAGAGGCTGAGGTGGGAGGATTTCTTGAGCCTGGGAGATCAGGCTGTGGTTAGCCATGATTGAGCCACTGTGCTTCAGCCTGAGCAACAGAGCAAAACCCTGTCTCAAAAAAAAAAGATTATAATATTACAAACTATCATTTTTTATTAAAAGGGAATAAAATTAGAAATCAAGAGCAGAAAAAATACTGAAATATCTACAAATATGTGGAAATTAAACAACACACTCTTGAGCATGCTTTTCTTCAAGGGTTGGAAAACAATATTGTGAAGATGTCCACACTACCCAAAGTGATCTACAGATTCAATGTGATCTCCATCAAGTATTAACTGTCATTTCATTTTGCAGAAACACAAAAACATTTCTAAAACTCATATGGACTCTAAAGGGTTTATAAAAAGCCAAACAGTATGTATATAAAATTTGTTTTTTTTTTTTTTGAGATGAAGTCTCACTCTGTTACCCAGGCTGGAGTGCAGTGGCATGATCTTGGCTCACTGCAACCTCTGCCTCCTGGGTTCAAGAGATTCTCCTGCCTCAGCCTCCCAAGTAGCTGAGAACACAAGTGCCAATCACCATGCCCAACTAATTTTTGTATGTTAGTAGAGACAGGATTTCACCATGTTGGCTAGGCTGATCTCGAACTCCTGACCTCTTGATCTGCCAGTCTTGGTCTCCCAAAGTGCTGGGATTACAGGTGTGAGCCCCTGCGCCTGGCCGCGAACATATTTAATATTATTTAACTATGCGCTCAAAATAGTTAAGATGGTAATTTTTATGTGTTTTTGACTACCTTAAAAATGAGAAACCTTCTAAAGAGATACATATTTATAAACATTTCCAAAAATTACCTTCAATTCATAAAAATGACAGAAAAACAATAAGGAGGCCAGGTGCAGTGGCTCATCCATGTAATCCAAACACATCAGGAGACTGAGGAGGGAGAATAGCTTGAGGCCAAAAGTTGGAGACCAGCCTGGGCAATATAATAACCCCTCAACTACAAATCACAAGCAGAAGGAAACTGGTAAATCAAAAAATGTATGAAACTTAAAGCATCCTACTCTTGACCTCATGTTCAAGGCTCAGAAATTTTAATATTGTTAAGATGTCAATACTACTCACAGTGAAGCACGAATTCAAAGTATTTCCTATTAAGATCCAAATGTTATATTTTTTGCACACATATTATTTTAAGTCCTAAAACTCATATAAAATTTCAAGGCCTGCCTGGCAGGAATGCTGACTTTTTTTGCAAAAATATTAATTTCTATAATTCATATGGAATATCAAGGGATTATGAGTAGCCAAAATAGCTTCAGAGAAGAACAAAGTTAGAGTTATCAAACTTCCTGACTCCAAAACATATTATAGAACTATAGAAATAAAAATAGAGAGACAAATAGATGATGGTACAGAATAGAGAACCGAGATATAAACCTTCATGAATATCATCAAGTAATCTTCAATCAAGTTGCCATGACTGAACAACGGGGAAAGAAGAGACTTTTTAACAAATAGCATTACAAAACTGAATATCAAAATTAAAGAAAATAAAATTGGACTTTTCACTTGCACCATTTACAAAAATGTCTTAAGTTAATTAAACACTTAAATGTTAGATAGCTATAAAACTCTTAAAATAAAATATAGGGTGACAAATCATGACATGTGTCTTGGTAATTTCTTTTGAATATGATATTAAAAGCAGAAGAAACAAGAATAAATACAGAAAAATGGGACTACATCAAGTGCAAAAAGCTTTTGGATATCAAAGAAAACATTTAGAGGAGTAAAAATGTCACCGAAGAAATGAGAAAAAAATTGCAAATAATATATTTGATAGAGGTTAGTATCTAGAATGTATAAACAATTTCTAAAACTCAACAACAAAAAGCAAATGATCCTATTTAAAAATGGGCAAAACACTCAAAAGATGTTTTTACAAAGCAGATATGCAAATAGCCAAGAGGAATTTGAAAAGATGCTCAAAATACAAATCTTTAGTGAAATACAAGGCAAAACCCAAATGAGATATTACCTCACACTCATTAAGATGGCCACTATCAAACAAGAAAAAAAAATCAAATGTTTTCAGGGATGTAGAGAAATTGGAACACTGTGCACTGGTGGTGGGAAAAATAATAAGGCAACCATTTTGAAAAATAGTAAAGAGTTTCCTCAGAATATTAAAAATGAAATTATCATACAATCTGGCAATCCCATTTCTGGGATATCTATCTAAATGTGCAAAGCAGGACCTGAAAGAAATATTTGCACAACCATGTTTATAATAGAATTATTCCCAAAATCCAAAAGGTAGAAGCTAGTTAAATGACCCTTGACAGATAAATAAGTAAAGAAAATATGATATATACATATGATGAAATATAATTTAAAAGGAAATCCTATCACACGCTACAGTAACAATAAACCATTAGGACATTATGTTAAGTGAAATATGTCAGGGAACAAAGTGACAGTGAGTGTATGATTCCACTTATGAGAAATCTTAAGTAGTCCAACTCATAGAAAGAGAAAATAGCATGTATTTGTCAAGGGCTCAGGAGAAGGTTAAAATGGGCAGTTGTTTTTTAATGGGTATTGAGTTTTAGTTTTGCAATGGAAAACTCTAGAAGCCTGTTGCATTACAATGTGGATATATGTAATACTACTAAATTATGCAATTAAACACATATAAAATTGTAAATTTTGTTATGTGTTTTTATTACAATTAAAATATTGTAAAGTGATACATAAAAGAGATACAGAGTTATAAAGTTTTCAGAAAAAATACCTTCAAATTACAAAAGTGTTTTCCTTACAAAACATAATATAGACTTGCCAATAAATACGAGGGTAAATTAAGACTATTTACGTGACTACTCTCCTGAAAAAGACCAAATGGAATTATTTTACAAAGGCAATGTTGACTTATCCAATAATCAATCAATACATTACACAAAGTAATAGGATAAAGGAAAGTAACAGCAAGATCCCTTCAACAGACACAGAGAGCATTTGACCAATCCAATATTTATCCACAATTAATCTCCCTGGAAAGGAGGAGTATAAGCAAACTTCCTAGATCTGCTAAAGGGCATCAATGTCTGTCAAAGGCCTGGAGTGGACAGAACACAACTGACAAAATGCTCAGAACCTTAGGGACATGCCCAGCGCCACTTGTTTAACTTAAAAACAAGGCTGAAGTGAGAGCTGGTTGGTGACTAGGCTGGAGAAATGTACGGAGGAGTGAAGACTCTCTGAGGGCCTTTGGATATTTCTGAAGGTTTTTTTTGGAGTTGATGAGCTGATGTCCCATCAGTATTGAGGATATTAATAAAAACACCAAGAATATTAATAATACCAATAACAATTCATGCCAATGGCCCAGCATATGCCAGGACTTACATTCATTTCATGAGCATGACTCTGTTGAATCATCAGGACAAATCTATGAGGTGGGTGCCCTTATTCCCACTGCACCAGAGACTGACCTCATCCAGGCCAAATGCAGCAATTCTCCATCTCACACACACATGGTGTGATGCAAAGCCCCACCAACCTCATCACCACACTTGCGTTCCTACAGCATCACACCTCTTCCAATTTGGGAATTTCCATGCTCCGGGTCTGGATGTCAGTGCTAAAATGATCCGGCAAGAGGTGTGTCAGTACTTCTAAGGATGCCCAGGCTCCACCAAATTTCCTGACTGATGCTCTTAGGAAAATACTATATCACTTGAATGTTCTCTGAAAGCCTGTTCTCCTGTTCCTTCCTATCTCAGTAAAGGGCCCCACCATATCTCTGGAAATTCTCCTGACTTGACTTACATGTAGCAATAGTCTTGAAGACTCTTTTCTGTTGCATGCAACAAACCAACATTTCCTATAGCCTTGGGGTCAAATGTATCCCCAGAATAGAATGTATCCACCTACTTCATTGTGATTTCACCCAGTCTAAGCCACTGTCATTTTCATCTGCTGCTTGTTTCCATATTTGCCCTCTTTAGAATTAATTCTTCATAAAGTGACTGGAAAAAGCTTTTAAACATATGAATCTGATTGTGCCTCTTGCTTAAAACCCTCCAATAACTTCTCACCTCATGGGGAATGAAATCACAGTCAAGTTTACATATCTCACAGGAACTCTGAAACTTCACCTCCTCCCCTTGCTTTCCTTACACCCTTCCCTCTGCCACTGGTCTCTGGTTTTTCAAACTCACCCTCTTCGCTCCCATTTCAGGATAATTGCTCAATAGAATCCTCTGCCTGGAATTTTCTTCCTCAGACTCTTTGCATGTCATTCCCTCTACTGCTAGGTTACTGGGATCTCAATGTAGATGTTATGTCCAGACAGAGGCTGCTGTGAGCTGAATCGTCTGCTTCCCAAAATTCCTATGTTGACACCTTAACCCCCAGCACCTAAGAATGTGACTATATTTGGAGATAGCATCATCACAGAGGTAATTACCTTAAAATGAGGTCTTTGGGAGCAGAGGTTAAGGAGTAGGGAGATGGTCGAATTATACAAAATTTCAGTTAGACAGGAGGAATAAGTGCAAGAGATCTATTGCACTTGGTGACTACAGTTAATGTAATCTGTTCTTGAACATTGCTAGGACAGTAGATTTTGAGTATTCTCACAACAAAAAAAGATGGGTTTGTGAGGTAATGCATATGCCAGTTATCTTGGGTTAACCATTCCATAATGTGTGCATATTTCACAACAGTACCATAAGTGTAGGCAATTTTTATCAGTTACAAAAAAAAATTTTAAATGAGGACCTTAGGGAGAACCCTAATCCAATGTAACTGTTGTCTCCACAAAGGAGGAGATAAAGATACAAACGTGCACACACAGAGAAATGGCCACATGAGGACATAAGGAGAAGGCGGCCACTTACAACCCCAGGAGAGAGGCCTCAGAGAAAAACCACCTTGCCCACATCTTGATCTTGGACTTCATTCTCCTTCATCAAATGGAGGCTTCTGATCCTGAATACTTTCCAAAAACTAGAAAGTACAGTGGTGAGGAGGCAGCACAGAACTCAGGGTGAAAAGTTTAGAGAGAATAACACCTCCCCATTGCCCTGTCCTATCCCCAAAACACACCTGTGCCAGCCTTTATTGGTTTTTTGCATTCCCCTGTCCTGGGGATAGTGTAACTTGTTGATTTGTGTTTACATAGATGATAACGTAAAACAAAGGTAAACAATAAAATAAAAACAAACAGCACAACTCAAATAATAGTGTTTGGGCGGGGTGACAGTGAGGGAAAAAGGCCACATAACAATGGAGATGGAGCTTTTTGAACTAAATCAATGTCTTGTTTTGTTTCTACATCAGAATCTATAGTAGCAATTGTCAGGTTAGGTGTTTTTGTCCTTATCTGCCCCATAAGTGCCAGAGGGGATTACTCTAAACTGGGTGAGAAACAAGTCAAGGAGTGTGAGACAAACTTCCCTGCCATTTGCCACAGTGGCAGGGCAGAATTCATCATGAGTGCCTCTACCCTCTGATGTCCAAAAAGTTTAACTCTGTAGGTGATGTTTATTGGCTGCCAATTTAGAAGCATCTGCCTTCATGCTCCCGTCTAGAATGGTAACATATCTCTGCCAGTAGCTGATAAAATCCCCAACATCCCATAGTCCTGTTTTCCAGTTAAGACTCACTGGAACTATGTGGGCAGATTTACATAGTTCAATTCTTCTAGCAGCCAAGGAATACTTGATATTGTTTTCATCTGAAGCCTCTGAGAGAGGGAGTCAGCCTCCACCTTAGAACTTTTGACACATAGTCTTCCTAACACTACTATTTACACTGATTTGAAAGTCATTGATGAGCTTGCTTTGAAGCTCCTGTCAAACTTAATCCTGACACATCAAGGGCTTGGGACTTCCCAGCTTGACATTCCAATTTTGAAGTGAGTAAATTTGAGTTCTCCAAGACATCAGAATCCCACTTAGAATGTAACATATTCTAAAAGAAAATTGGACTGTCACAGGAATATCTTAGCTGTAACAGAAAAATTAGGTTCTTTGGTGAAAATTTTATGCCCTCTGATACAGTTTGGCTGTTTTCCACCCAAATTGCATGTTGAGTTTTAGCTCCCATAATTCCCAAGTGTTGTGGGAGGGACCTGGTAGGAAATAATTGAATCATGGGGGTGGTTTTCCCCATACTTTTCTGGTGGTAGTGAATAAGTCTCACAAGATCTGATGGTTTTATAAGGAAAAACCATTTTTGCTTTGCTTTACTCTCATTCTCTTTTCTCACGTTTGCCACCATGTGAGACATGCCTTTTACCTTCTGCCATAATTGTGAGATCTCCCCAGCACGTAGAACCGTGGGTTCATTAAACCTCTTTCTTTTGTAAATTGCCCAGTCTCAGGGATGTCTTTATCAGCAGTATGAAAATGAACCAATTCATCCCACTTCACTGTTTGAAGAAAAACTGCTGGCTCTATGGGGTCTTCAATTTACTGAATGATTCCTAGATGCCTGGCCCTAATTCACTCAAGAGTCAAGAAAGGTGCCACCTTATGGTGCTCACTGGGCGGTTGTGGATGTCTAACCTCAGTGCTAGTCACACAGAACCTGAAGCCAGGCTGGCTGCTCCTGTAAATGGTAAGAGCTCAGGGTTTTGGATCACTGGCCATGTTTTAACTGTTTAATCTTCCACATTGAAACTAAAGGCTATTTGGTAAAGGATATCTTTTTGTTGGGTTCACACCAGAATTTTATCTGCTGATCTGTCAGGTCCTTCATTTAGGAGTCCATAATAAGGATCTGTTCTCTGAAAATAGTTACCACAATTAAGCCCAAAACCAAGCCTGAATCCACGTGTAATGCAGAGGTCATCACTGCATGCCAGATTTGTGCTTCTTGGTGAAAGGTGACCTATTTGTCCGATGGTTTAGAAGGCCCCAGACCATTCCTGGCATGATAACTGCATCAGCCTTTGACCCACTTCTTGAGGTATCAATCATGTCTCACTTTAGCATAATAATCAGGTGACTCCAGCCACACCATGTGTCAGTTGAAGCTCATTCGTGTAACCTTTAGGGTTTTGAGACCACTTGCATTTTAATCACATTGTGGCTTTTATCACTATATTTATCAACATAGCAAACTGTTTGATTTTACTTATTTTTTTCCTCTGGGTCCACACATATATAATTTGTAAATTGAACGTGACTTTCCCCTAAACAACCCAAAATCCCTTCTTTACTGACTCTAAGATTAAGAGAACTTCCCTGAAGTCTATAGGCATCCATTTTCAAACTCTGAGATTTCTCACTGATCATTCCTGGGCAAGATGGGTCTTTCTTTTCCTTAGCTGCAACCCCAGGCAAATCTGGTTTCTACATTCTCTGAATTACAGTCCAGCCCAAAAAGGGTTGTGTTCTATATAAAAGTGAACTTTTATATAGAAGTTCTTGTGTCCATATCATCTCGCTATACTAGAAAAAAATGACTAGAAGACAGTACGGGTGACTAGACTAGAAAAAATGACTACATAAAGTTATAGGTACAAGCATAGGAGACAAAAATTCTGTGGATGTAGAGGGAGGACAAAAACTGAAAACCTAAAAATGAACAAATTATACCCCAGAAACTACAGAAATAGAGAGGCATTAATAACTTTTTGTCTTTCTGAACTATCCCTAGTGAGGCCCAGAGAAGAGTTGGGGAATCCTGTTGGGCCAGGTAGTGGAGTAGTATTAGTTAGACCAAATGGTACAACAGGACCTGTGGTATTAGCTTCTCTCTGTGATATAGGCATGGAATCCCAGGGAATATCCTGCATTCTCAGTGTCCAGCTGTCTGATGCCACAGTTGTTTATGATGATCGAGGACAACTACGTTTTTCTGAGGAGACTTACCACCTCATGGCTGAGGTAAGCTGGATTCTATAGAACATTGATTCTATTTTCTCCTTCCTATGTGAGCTGGGGTTACTTCTTTAGTTTTTCCTCTAAAGATGAAATTATATTTGTCAATAATTGTGTAAAATAGAGACATAAGTCTGGGAAGTAGACACTTAGATACAACCCTCAGCAGAAATTTTAGCCTGTTTCTCTTCTCATTTTTATTCATTTGACACAGAGAGATGCCCTGACATGTGGTCTCTCAAGAGTAATTAGAACATTGTACTTCTAGAAAAGCTGATGGGACAGGGCAGGGCTTTGAGTGAGGATCCAAGCTTCTGTCCAAATCTCCCAGTCTCTCTGTATGTGGTAGGTGGAGTCAGGAAATATCCTAGAGTTCTGTTAGATATTATTAAGAGAAAACAAAATTTCTGTAAATTAGAGTACTAGGGAACATGTTCATCAGTCATCTTCAGAGTCAGATGTTCAGGGTTGAGCCTGTGTGGGAGAGCACAGAGCAATGTATGCCTAGCAAAGCCTCTGATCATGTGTGAATGGTGAGGCTCTGGTTCAGGGAGAAGTCCTGTATCTGACAGAACATGATGGTTCTGTGCATGTGAGACTCAGTGCCCTTCCTCAGCAGAGCAACACTGAGTAAATAAGTGTTTTAGGATCAAGCATATGAAGGCCAATTTTATTTTGAATTTATCAAAGACAGAAACAGGAAAAATTTTTATACACTTTCAAATTGAGTAAGAGCATCAGAAACTTCAGTAAAAAAGGCACAGGAGGAATCTCTGGTTTCTTATTCATCCCCAGAAACCACAAAAATCCTGATACAACCTTTAATAATTTACCTTGTAAAAACTTGATTTTTTCATTGTATAGATTTATCTTTCATTTGACCTTTATTTTACTGCAGGTTATAATTAGCACGTTATTTTTTACCTTTATGATAGAAACATCAGATTCCTAAACCCAAAGCATTAATGATGTCTACCCAACTGTAGTTTGTATTGCCAGTTGACTTTTTTGCTATCCTCTGAGTTTGTGTCTCCTTGTAAAAACTCATTTGTAAAAACTTAATCATTAATATGATAGTTTTAAAACATGGAGCCTTGTGGGAAGTGACTCACTCAGGAGGGCTTCATCCTCATAAATGTAATTAATACCCTGTAATAGAGGTTGAAGGGAGCACTTTTGTCCTTGCCACCATGTGAGGCACAGCAAGAAGGCACCATTTATGAGAAACAGGATCCTCACCAGACCCTGAATTTGCTGGTGCTTTGATCTTGAACTTTACAGCCTCCAGAACTGTGACCAATATATTTCTGTTATTTATACATTAGCCAGTCTAATGTATTTTATTTAACAGCCTGAACAGAGACACTTTCTCATACACTGTGGTTTATTTTAAATTTGTACTTCCACTGAGCTATCCATATATTCATAAATCAGCATGTCTCATAGGGTGGCATAGCCACTCTACTTTTTCAGAGTTTTCTCAGCTGTTCTCACTTATGTTTCCATCTATAGGAGTCTTGCAATAAAGTGGCTGCTTCCAATACCAGATGGTATCTCTACTGGGACAAAATTAAATTTCTGAATTACTTTGAAGAAAAATGATGATTGAGTGATATTGAGCATTTCTACCTTAGAACATGATTTGGTTTTCCATTTGTTTATGCTGATTTTCTTATATTTCAAGGACTTTTTATGGTCTTTCTCATATGCTTAACAAATGTTTGTTAGATTTATGTATAGCTAGTTTATTTTATTTAGTCCTGTTAAAAAGTAAACTGTAGCACAATACAAATTTTAAAAGTTTTCTTGGCTGGGAATGGTGGCTCATATCTGTGATTCCAGCACTTTGAGAGGCCAGGTTGAGGGGATTACTTGAGCCCAGAAGTTTGAGGCCAGCCTGGGAAATATAGTGAGACCCTGTCTCTACAAAATACAAGAAGAAATTAGCCAAGTGTGGTGGTGCATGCCTGTAGTTGCAGCTACTCATGGGGCTAAGGTGGGAGGATGGCTTGAGCTCAGGATGTAAGGCTGCAGAGAGCTTTGATTCTGTGTACACACTCCAGCATGGACAATAGAGCAAGAACCCGTTTTAAAAATATTTTCTTGAGAAAGAAGCAACTTATGAATTGTGGAACACCAGAGCAAGAGAGGCTTTCCACTTCAACGGCAAAGTGTCAGAGGTATGATTGTATTGAACAAATGCAGGAACAAAATATTAAAATTATGTGATTTGTTGCAGTTATAAAATTGTATTTTTTGGTTTACCTTATAGACATATATTACTATAAGATTCTTGGTACTTTTGATAATTTAAGCTTAAGTTCTTTTTTTTTTTAATGCAGGCATTCACAAAAAATAGCTCACGTTATGTTTTGCTTATTTGCAAGTCAACAAGATGAGGTCCCTGAGGATGTCTAACTGATTCTGTCCACTCGGGAATGTTTCGGACTTGGTCTTCCTTTTAATTTACTTTATAAATCATTTTGTAATTTTTATCTCCTACTCATTCTGTAACAGGTCAGTTACTTTTATAAATATGTAAATATCCTTTATGTATGATTTCTAAATCACTAGTGAACACTGTTACACAGGCATACCTAGTCTTATGGCATTTTATTGTTCTTTATAGATATTGGATTTCTTACAAGTTGAAGGCTTTTTGCAACCCTATATTGAGTGACTCTGTTAACACTATTTTTCCAACATCATGTGACCTTTGTGTGTGTTTACATCTGTGTCAGCTTTTTTTTGCAATAAAGTATATTTTTATTAAGGTTTGTACATTGTTATTACAAACATAGGCTATTTCAGTCTTATTCTACAGTATAGTGTAAACATCACTTTCATATGCACTGGGAAAGAAGAAAAATTGCATGACTCACATTGTTGTGATATTTGTTTTATTATACTTGTTTAGAGCAAAAGCCATATATCTCCAAGGTATATCTGTATATTTTCATTGAATTGGCTCCATTTACTGGAATGATAAATCACTATTCTTTGATTAAAACAAGAGTTGTGGAGTGTGAGGGGTCAGGGTGAAAATAAATCAGAAGTGAAGGTAATAAAATGTCCTCCAACTCACACATGGAGTAAATAAAAATTCAGTGTGGATGAAATACAAAATTATCTAAAATTGAATATTCTCAAAAACATTAATCTTTATATCATCTTGTATACGAAAATTATGAGGCAGAGAACAACAAAAAAATACATTTTATGATGAAAGATTTCATAATCTCACTGTAAAATGCAAGAAGAAAAATATAAAATGTAACCACAGGTAAAATAAATGACAATATTTATATTACATTTAATATCCTATAATACAGTATGATCAACTGAAATGCATAAAATAGAATAAAGTTTAAATTTCAAAAATTTAAAATGAGGGAAATATGAGTCAAGAGAAGAATAAATAATTATGATCAATTACATTTAACATATCTTGACTTCAATTTTATGTAAAAATATTCATAGTAAACACCTTGTGTGGTGATTTCACCATAATTTTATTAAACTGTAAAAATATATTGACATTTTTCCCATGAAGAGTATTTTAAGTGTTTGTGGATATTAGTGTTCTTGGGTTCAGTGTGGGCGAGTGAGAGGTTACAAACTTTTCTGAATTAAAAAAGAAGCACATAATTTTATATTTATTTTGTTATAATTGAAAATATGAAAAGGTATATGAATAATTACATCCTCATATTTGTCTGATTATATAGAAATGCATGACTGTCATGAGACATCCAATAGACATCAAATGTCTAACAAGAGATATATAATTTGTTTATAATCTTAGCCGTCTACAAATTGCAGAGTTCACTGTTTTGAGTACATTGTTCAAGCTCCTTTCCTAGGACTGCTTCAGGGTCTTTCATTTATTAATACTGTGCATCTAAAATTGTCACTGCTGGTACTTTGGAAGAATCTGAGAAGTAGCAGTTTCTTGCTCTCATTCCAAGAGTGTATTCTCTGCTGAATAGGGTGAATAGGATCATTGTCCATGTTTTAACTGTTTAATCTTCCACATTGAAACATTGGGTTCAATGTGCACCCAGCTCAAGCCTCATCTAATCCACTGACAGGCTCAGTTATTTCCTGCCCAGGCAAGGGGTGGTCTTCTCTATCCAGAGCTGAATTCTCAGGGCCAGGCAGTGTGGCTGAAACAAGCCACTTCTTAGCAGGGAAGACACAACCTGCCTGGGTGGTCATGGCATAGAAGGTCTGCTCCTGGGCACAAAGAGGCCCCAGAGCCAGGCAAGCTGAGTGAGTTTCTCCCAGGTCAGTGGAAAATGGACCTGCTGAACCAACACCTGGGGATAGATTTTGATAAGTGGACTTTGACACACATTGCAAGGTCACAAAGCTTTCCGAAGTGATGACTATTGAACTCCTCGGGCCCAATAACTGTGCCACTTGCTACACCTAGTGTAAACTATGAAAGGCCCTCCGTGGTGGGCATCACAGGTCTCCTGTGATTTTCCCTCACCTAGCAGTGCTGTTTCTGGCTTTGAGCTTAATTATCTCAGAATTCTTCTCTTCATTTAGATTGGGCTCTGATCCTCGTGCAACATGGAGTTTAGGTGACTTGCTTCTCCCAGGCACAGAGTCCCATAGTCTATCTCTGACAAATATTTCTGGATCAGTCTTTCAAGTGAAGCTCTTCTGCCAATGTCATGAGTGAACACATTTCTCAAAGCCTCCTCAGGGACCTAAGCCATTTCCCGTTCCTAATTTTGAAATAAAACCCCACTAAAGACACATAGCTCAGTATTCCTGATTCCAACCCTCCTTGGAGACTTCATAGGAACAGCGCAAGGCCTTACCCTGCCTTTCCATGTGTTTCTCACTGGAGTGGCAGGACGGGGGTCTTGCCTTTTTCTTTGAGTGGTTTCTTCTCATCTTAGCCCTTTTCTGTAAAGGAGATCTGTTTGAAAGAAGGCTGGTCAGTGGGACAGTGGATGGAGGAGTAGTGGGGGATCAGAGTCTTCATTTCTTTTTCTCTCATTCAAACTCAAATGAAAGCTGCTCTCTCTCACACGTCCTGATTCACAGTGTGAGTTATTCTCCTAGACCTGCCTTTTATATGTCCCTCAGCTGGGCGTGGCTTACTCTTATTGGCTGAACAGTTTTATTTTTCCTTCCTCATTAGGGCCTCAATAAGATAAGTTTAATGCTGTAATTTTATTAGGGACCTAAACACAGTTAATGGGAGACACTTTCTGGGTCTTGCCATAGTGTCAAAAACAAAAACTAAAAAAGTCAGGGGCACAGAAATCAGATGATAGGGGAATCATTTTTTCTAATTTCTGTCCCAATTCCTACCTGGAAGTATTTTGATACTGCTTATTTTTCAAGATGCAGAATTAAACATATCTATATTGAACTGTTTTATACATTTTGCAAAGGAAGAGCATTATACGTAGTGTTAAAATCATGTACATAGATATAATTTTTCAAATGCTTGGAAATGTCAAATTAAAATTATGGTTGATTGTATTAGATAAATACATATTTGATAAAATAAAAAGTGGAGAAAAAGTAAATACCAAATAAAATGGCTATTTCTACGTTAACAAGGGGGAAGATAATTAGATCAAATTGAATTGAATTGAATTGAATTGGTTAGATTAGAGCTGACAGTAATTTAATCAGCCTGTGATTCCTGAGGCAGCAAAAAGTCTAGGTGGAGAGAGAAACTTTCCCCCTTTGTCACCCTTCCTCAAAGCTCTACTTTGTTTTTTAGAATTTATTCAGCCTCTCTAGTAAAACTGGACTTGGTCCCAAACAGGTAACACAACTGACCAGAAGAAAAACAGCCTAGATCCTGAGCATTCAGCCTGTGTCTTCACACAACAAACACCACCTGAGTCCCATCAAAGCCTGTGTTGTTTCCCAACATCCACCATTGAGACATATTCCAGAGCAGCCTCTCAAAATCACCTAAACAAGATGGAACAAGGTATGATGGAGCTTCCAGGCTCAGGACAGCTGCCTCATTCCTTCCTACTAAGAAATCTGTATCTGCTGGTTAGAGCTATCAAACTGTAGAAGACTTAGTTCATGTCCCAGCAAGTGTCCCCTAAAATGACCTTCTTGTTTTTCCCTCTTCTGAGAAAAGCATGCAGGAATAAGAACTTCTATGGTAGAGAGTACTTGCTCTTCCGCTCTCAGATGGCTTGGTTGACTGATGAACTGATGCCCTGAGGAGGGGAAAGATCCAGGGAAGAGCCTGTGCTGGGTGACTCTGTGTTTTCCCAGCTGTGCTGTTTGTGTGCAAATAGTGGAACCCCCAAGAAATCAGGTGATAGACAGACAGACACTGCCTAATAAAATTGTCTGAATTTAAATAGGATTTAAATGGAACTTATAATATCATTATATATTGATACTATAATATTATATATAATTTATTTGATATATAAACAAATTTTGAATATATGTTATAATATCTTAAGCAGTCATTTACACAAGAGCAGATAATATTCTTAGATTCTATTAAGTTTATAAGTTAATGTTGTTATAAAATTTAACACAATTTTCTTATAAATTACCTAACAAAATTTTAATGTTATTATAATATCATAGTAATACATATGAATTGTGATACCTTAATATATTGTGATGTCATAATACATATGAATTGATATCAAAATATATTGTGCTGTCATAATACATACAAATTATGATATCATAAAATATTGTGATGTCATGATACATACAAATTATGGTGTCATGTACATTGTGATGTCATGATACATACAAATTATGGTATTATAATATATTGTGATGTCATAACACATATGTGATATCATATTTATTTATTTTTATGATATAATAACGTAAAATTTTGTCAGTTAATTTTATAAGAAAATTGAGTTAAATTGTGTAACAACATTAACATATAAAGAAGCTTAGAGTCACGGTGAAAGATGAAAGAGGAGCAGGCATCTCACATGGTAGGAATGGGAACAGGAAAGATGGGGGAGGGATAGGTCTCACTTTTAAACCAACCAATCTCGTGAGTACTCACCATGACAAACACAGCACAACGCCATGAGGAATCCATCCCCATGCTTCAACCACCTCCCATCAGGCCCACTTGTAACATTAGGGATTAAAGTTTAATATGAGATTGGAGGGGACATCTCAACTATATCATATGACCATTAGAAAAACAGATGAAACACTCATGGTTTCTACTGTCCAGATACTTTCATTCCAGAGCAAATGGCTAAATGATTGAATTCAACATTCTGTGGTCAGAAGAGAGAAGGGAGGGGTACAGGGGACTTTGGTTACATTTGTTCCACTTCCCTTATGTTGTTGTTGTGAGATCTGATGTCACCACCTGAAGTGCAATTCACAGACAGAAGAATTATTGTTATTGTTGTGATTATTCCTATTTCTTTTACCTCAGTAAAAATAATTTTTTAGCTTCCCATTTAATTGTCCTAAAACACCCTAAGTGTTTTTTTTTTAATTCCTTGTTATTGTGTGTTATAAAAATTGACAGGGAAATGGCTAAAATAGATTAAATTATACAAACTCTAGAAGTCAAGTTTTTACAGGGCAGGCTTAAGAAAGACAGAACTAGAAATACTGCACCAGCATAGACATCAGCCACATGGGACCCACTTTCTGTCCCAGCCCTACCCAGATCCACCCTCTTCTAAGGCCTCATCTGAATTGGGCTTCACTCTAGAATCTCCTCTCACAGAACTAATTAAAGGAGATCAGAAAATTGAGTGGTGGTTCCTGCTGCCTCTCCTGAGCTACAGCCCACAATTTCCTGAAAATAAAAAGCAGATGGCCAGGCGCGGTAGCTCATGCCTGTAATCCCAGCCCTTTGGGAGGCCGAGGCGGGTGGATCACAAGGTCAGGAGATCAAGACCATCCTGGCTAACACAGTGAAACCCCGTCTCTACTAAAAACACAAAAAGTTAGCCGGTCACGGTGGCGGGCACCTGTAGTCCCAGCTACTCAGGAAGCTGAGGCAGGAGAATGGCATGAACCCGGAAGGCGGAGTTTGCAGTGAGCCGAGATTGCGCCACTGCACTCCAGCCTGGGTGATAGAGCGAGACTCCATCTCAAAAAAAAAAAAAAAAAAAAAAAAAAAAGCAGATAAATGGGAGCAAATAATTATACATTTCTGGGTCACAATTTTTTTTCACTGAAGCCAGTGCTTCTAGAGAAATCCCACCTAGCAACCTGCAGTTTATTTCTGCAGATCCAGTAGTTGCTCTACAAGGCACAAGAAAGTCAACATAAATACCAAAAAAATCCTTCTGAGCAGTTCACCCTTTCTTTCTGTATCCCTCTGAGCTACACAGCTTTTATTCTACACATTTTCTTTATAGGTAAATTATTTTAAAACTAAAAGAAAACATAGAAATGCTGGGCCATTCAATCCGGGGAATTACAGAATGTTTAGTACCCAACTTCTAGGAAGCTATAAGGATGAACTCACCATGTGATGTTTCCAGCACAGCTGTGTAACATACTTCTGAATACATAGTACATGCTCAATAAACATTGTATTAACTCATGTATACATGTTTTTCAAATGCAGGCCTACTCTAATGTTCTCTAGCATCTGTAAACTTTAAAGAGCCAGCAGAGAATAACATGCTTGTTAATAGTGATTGGTGATTTCCACTTTGGGCCAAAAGTATTTATGTTGTGGTAACAGTGTTGGGTGTCAGGAACTCTGTGTCCTGTGACTACTTTCTCTAGCTGAGTGCTACTACAATGGATGTACTGGGAGAAGCATCAGCATTAAGAGAAAACTTTTTAAAGAAGCCAATTCCTGGACCCCTTCCAAACCTGCAGAATTACATTACTAAGAGAGTAATGTAATCAGAGAGGAATCAGAAATGATTTATATGTACATTGAAACTTAAGAGGCAAGGCTTAGCTAAGTGTCTCTCAGCCTAGGCGTCCAACCATAATCACATGACTACTTTAAAAAAATACCATCACCTGTGCTCTCCCCACAGATTCTGTCAGTTAATCTTCATTGGAACAACCATATGGTTTTTGTTAAAATAAAATAAATAAGAGTTTCCAAACTCTATTTTTTTAAAGCTTGAGTTTTCTTCTATGATTAACCTCACTCTACAGTCCCTTTTACCCAAGGTGTGGTCCCTAGGTCTTCTCTTTAAGGTTTCATTTCTGGGAAGTTTTCAGCAAACCTATCTCATGCTTTGTCACAGTTTGTTTGCTTTTGTTTTGGAAAATGTGAACATCTTCAATTGAGTATGGATTGCATGTCCCCACGCCTAATGTGTTCACTGAGGCTGAAGTTGAAGCTGAATTGGAGTTTTCATTCCCCGCCATCCTTTCCCAGACCCTCTCTTTTTTTCTAATCCATCTTCTCCAACATCTTCTGACCTTTGTTGCTGTCAGTAGTTTCAGAAGAAACAGATGCAGGAGCATCATCTTTTTGAAAGTTGTTTAACTTCCAATCTGCTCCATATGTTTTCCAGCTCTATCTTTATATTTTAGATTCTTCCATGTCTATTCATCTTCATAGTCTGTATTCTGAAACCATATTTTACTCGTATTTTCTTTAATTATTTTCTTATTCCCAACTCTTTTTTTCTCCTTACTCAGTGTTGGACCAGTAAACAATTCATCTTTCTTATCAAGGCAAAGGTGAGCTCTACCATGCCGTGGCTCGCAGCCATCACAAGTATCGCTGCCAGGGTGAATGTGAAAGGGTAACACAGTCTCTCCAATTTTCACTTCATGTCTATGCTCAAGGACATAAGGGTCACATTTAGTTTGCAGCTGAACCATCTGTTTTCCATGAACAATTGTTCCATTTTGACTGCCTTTATCTACAAGGACATAACTTCGTTAAGTCATGGTCAAAATAAATTTCTGCATGAAATTTACTGACTCCAACTTCAGGATTCAAACAGTATGCTCCAAATCATTTTCTCAGGTGATAGACAGACAGACACTGAATTGTTGACCTATCCAATAATCAATCAATGCATTACACAAAATAATAGGATAAAGGAAAGTAACAGAAAGATCCTTTCAACAGACACAGTGAGCATTTGACCAATTCAATATTCCTTCACAATTAGTCTCCCTGGAAAGGAGGAGTATAAGGAAACTTCCTAGATCTGCTGAAGGGCATCAATGAAAAACTTACAGCTAACCCCATAATAATAAAATACTGGTTGTTGTGTCATGACATTTGAGAACAAGAGGAAAAGGTTAACATCCAAAGAAATTACATAAGAAAAATAAACACAGTCCTCCATGTGGGAAAATAAGAGGTTAGAAATGTCTATCATTGTAGATAACATAACTTGAATATAAAAATTTACAAGAAATTCATTAAAACCCACTAAAACCAATAAATGAGTTCAGCATGGTCACAATATATAAAATCAATATACAAAGTTCAATTGTATTTTATATACTACCATGACCAACCTGAAAATAAAATTAAGAAAACAATTCCATTTGTATATGTATGAAAAAGAAAGAGTAGATTTAGGAGTAGATTAGGAGTAGATTTAGGAGTAGATTAGGAGTAGATTTAGGAGTAGATTTAGGGGTAGATTAGGAGTAGATTTAATCAAGTGCAGTTTTACACTGGAAAAAAACTTTTTAAAAATAAATTTTTAAAAAACTGAAAAAAATAGGCTTCATTGTTCATTTAGTTAATATTCTGTTATCAAGTGTGTCCATTTCAACTCCACGCAATAAGATAAACATATTTTAGCATTATTTTTATTGTAATAAATACAGGTTGGTAGAAAACTGATAAATATAAAAGGAACTAATTCTACGTGTCCCAAGTATGTAGGGTCCAGCCCTACAGGGCCTGTGGGCTTTTCTCTTCCTGTGCGGAGACAAGAGATCGTAGAAATAAAGACACAAGACAAACAGAAGAAAAGACAGCTGGGCCCGTAGGACCACTACCACCAACGCGCGGAGACTGGTAGTGGCCCTGAATGCCCGGTCGCGCCGTTATTTATCGTATACAAGGCAAGAGGGAAGGGTAAGGAGTGTGAGTTGTCTCCAATGATAGGTAAGGTCACGTGAGTCACGTGTCCACCGGACAGGGGGCCCTTCCTTATTTGGTAGCCGAGGCGGAGAGAGGGGACAGCTTAGGACATATTCATTATTTCTTTTATGTATTTCTCGGAGAGATCAAATACTTTAATACTTTCACTAATTCTGCTACTGCTTTCTAGAAGGTGGAGCCAGACGTACAGGGCGGAACATGAAAGTGGACCAGGAGCGTGACCGCTGAAGCACAGCACCACAGGAAGAGGTTTAGGCCTCTGGATGACTGCGGGCGGGCCTGACTCATGTCAGGCCTTCCACAAGAAGTGGTGGAGCAGAGTCTTCCCCAACTCTCCCAGGGAAAGGGAGACTCCCTTTGCCGGTCTGCTAAGTAACCGGTGCCTTCCCAGGCACTGGCGTTACCGCTAGACCAAGGAGCCCTCTAGTGGCCATGTCTGGGCATAACTGAGGGCTCACACTCTTCTGGTCACTTATCACCCTTCAGCTCCTATCTCTGTATGGCCTGGTCTTTCCTAGGTTATAATTGTAGAACGGACATTATTATAATATTGGAATAAAGAGTAATGCTACAAACTAATAATAATAATATTCATATATAATCATATCTATATTCTATTTCTAGTATGACTATTCTTATTCTCTATATTTTCTTTATTATACTGGAACAACTTGTGCTTTCTATCTCTTGGCTCAGCACCTGGGTGGCTTGCTGCCCACAAGAATAGCCCATCCTAATTTTTTGTTTTACATCTACTATAAATCAAATAGATTTTGTTCCATATTTTATAGTGGAATTTAAGATGAAACCCACATTGTTAAATATGTGAGATTGATTATAAGCTCATCAAGGAGGTTTTTACTCAGTGAGGGAATTCAGAGAACATAAAGTTGCAAAGGCAGAAGCAAATGTTTTGAATGAATTTTGAGAGACAATACTAACAGAAGTGCTTCCCACTTTTATGACTCATATGACTCATATGATCTTTCTGTAGGAAAAACTGCCTCTAATTGTAGACACTGGTTCATAGCAGATGCTAAATGAACCAGCACCAAGTTTATATCCAGGAGAGCTGATCAAGAGGATTTTGTCTCCTGGCTGATGACATGATACTGTCTTTCATAGGCTACTCCAAATATTCTATGATGATGGTAGAGTTTAGTGAAGTGGAGCCCCGGGCCTGCCATCCCCATGCTCCTGGCAAGCAATAGCATCTCCCCTCAGCACAGTGACATAGGGCATGCCATTGTCACCCACCTTGCTGCTGTTTACCTCCACATACTAAGTTGCCGTGTGCTTTGCAGTGGAACTCCACCTTGCTGGGTCTGGTTGGCCAGAAGCCTGTGGGTAGAAAGGTATGGTCAGGAGAGCACATTGAGAGAATGAATGGGGCCTCAGAGGCTGCCCACCTTCCTGCCCCCTGCCCATGTGTCACAGCCCTCACCCAGATGCCCAGCATGCATGTCTACTGAGGGCTGCTGAACTTGTTCTCCATCACAGAGGTGAGCGACAGCAGTCTGAGGGTGCCACACTTCATGACCAGGCTCTATTGCTGGTGCCACAGCTCCAGGTGGAAGTGCAGATAAATGGAAGACAGGTCCCACCTTCCACATTCAGGCCACACTCTCACCAACTTCCAGGGCCACCTCGATGTCCTGATGTGATGCTCTCCTTAGAACTGTTGTGGTTTTTCAGCCAGGAGATGGAAAGAGTGGGGTTGCCAGTAGCCAGGCAGTGAAAGTTAGTTAGCGTGGCCAGCATGGTAGGCAATTTCCTGTCCATCCACTGGGGCCAAGTCCAGTTAGGGGCCTCTGCTGGTGGAAGTTCATGTGAAGGCCATAGCTGAGGTGAGGAGCAGAGGCCCTTCTGACCAGACCCCCAATTCAAGGCCGCCCCTGCCCACCCCAAGCTTCAGTTTTCCCTCCTGTATAGAGAGCTTTTTGGCCTTTCAAGGGCCTCTTCCTGGGCTGCATGAGGCTCCCAGGAACTTCAACATGATGTCCCCACCCAGTCATGCTCAGAGCTGGGCCATGTGTCCCCTCCCATTTCCTCTGCTTCCCCCAAGTGGCTGCTCCTGCTGAGAAGTCAGGGTGCTTCGTCCAGGCCTGAAAGCCTCAGGGAATAATGGAGTCTCCTGGGGAGTCCTCACCTGCCCAGGGTGGCACATTCAGAAGGCTCACCAGGAAAGAGGCCGGGCAAGTAGCCCAGCTAAGTGAATGAGCCAGGACAGGCATTGGGAGCGGTTTACCAGGAGGGGAAATCCAGCCCCTTGAAGGACTGGGAGCCTCAGAAGCAGCTGAGAAGCCTTGGCCCGCAAGCCTCTGTGCCCCTAAGCCACCCCCGCAGAGCTTCACGGCCTGGCATGCACAGGTGAAGATGGCCTCCTGGAGGCATCAGCTCTTTTTTGTCCTAGTGTCCAGGGCTGTCACCATTCCCTCCCTTACACCTCAATGAGTTTTCTTCTTTTTGGGGGCTGGGGTTGGGCTGCCTTCCTGCATGGACTCATGGGTAGGCTGGATTGCCTTATCCCCCAGGAGAGAGGCACCAGGGGCCCAGGAAGGAGAAAGGAGGGAGCTCCTTTCCCACGGTGACCTCCTCACCATTCACGTGCAGCAATAGGCCTACTTCTTGGAGGAGGATGCTTAGGCACAGGCAGGAGCAGTGTAGAGAGATACTGGGAAGAGGCAACCCTCACAGCTCTGAGCTGCCCTCCAGGCCTCCAGGGGTGGTGAAAGGAAGCCCCTGGGTTATGAAGACAGCTCACTGGGCTGTGGCAGAGGCTGTTCCCATGACTAGGAGATGACTATGACAACGCTGCCCACTTCTAGACTGTGCCTTCTGAAAGTGGCCCTTCAGTTACCCCCACAGCTCAAGCCCACACCTGCCTGGAATGGCCAGGTAGGCAGAGGCAAGCAGAGACTCAGGGTGAGGGTCCTAGGGTATGTGGGCAAAGGCAGAGGCCAATGGGGCAGGTGAGCAGAAATTTTCGTCCTCTTCCTGGGTCTGCTCCTCTCCTGAGGTCTACTTTCCTCTGCCTCTGTCTCCCTGGCTGATTCTTCCTCACTTTCTTGCCTGCTCACCCCAGAGGTCCCAAGGGCTCAGCCCACCACCATTGGTCCCCAGTTTGTAGCTGCCCCTTCCATGTCCATCCCATGAGGACCCTCATCTGTATGAGCACATCTCTGGGCTCCTCTGAAACCAGAAGCCCCAGCTGCCTGACAGACCCCTCCACCCTCCGCTGTCCCAAGTCAGAATATCTGGGCATTGTCCCCCTGTCTGCTCTCTCACACCCACAGCTCATTCCCCAAAAATGCTGTTGGCACCCCTTTCACAGCCCCCAGAGCCACCTTCCTCTCTTGCTGGGCTGTAGCTTTCATCTCCTGATGTCTTAACCCCTCTGTCCATCTGTCCCACAGCAGCCACCTGAGTCCCTGCCAACTGCTGTGCTCACACCTGCAGTAGCCACCTCACCCAGAGCCAACATCAAAGTCCCCACAGGCCAGTCCTGACCTCCTCACTGCTCCTTGAACCCCAGTGGCCTGTGCCTTAATCTCACCCCTCTGCATCATGGGGGTCTCCTCCCACCCTCAGCTGGCCACCCAGAGCCTAGGACAAAGCATCCAGGGCCATCTGGATGGCCCAGCCACACCTCCATCCTGAGGGAATGCCAACCATTGAGTGACCCCAGTAAGGTCATCCCCAGGCCTCAGTCCCTCCCCTGCCACTTGAGGACAGGGCTAGTTGGGAGGGAAGCAGGCCCCACTCCTGGTCAATCAGTGTGCCTGGAATCTGGTCTCGCCAGTGTCTTAGCTTGGTCCTCCCATCTTCTTCACCTCCTGAAGATGGAGCATCTGCAGTGCAGGAGAGGGTGGGAGTGGGCAGTGGCCCCAGGACGGCCCACATCCAGATGCCTGCTGCTTCTCAGCTGGGGGCAGAGGCTTTCTGTCTGGAACTCAGTCTTTGATCTGCCCCAGGAGAACCCCAGGTGCACCTCACAGGTAGGGCTGGAACCCCTTTTTCAGGCATTATGTCCTGGGGTGATTTCCTATTTACCAATGATCAGGGAGACCCTCAGAGGAGGGGTGCTGGAGACACAGCTCCTGAGAACCCCAGCAGCTCCTGGCCATGCACCCACTCAGGGAACTCAGTGGCCCTGACCCCTTCCATCCAGCCTCATGCAGCCCCAAGGCACTCATGGCCAGGCGCGTGGCTCACACCTACAATCTCAGCACTTTGGGAGGCTGAAGCCGTGGCTTGCTTGAGCCCAAGAGTTCAAGACCAGCCTGGGTAACATGACGAAACCCTCTCTCTGCAAAAAATTTATTAAAATTAGCTGGCCATAGCCAGGCGTGGTGGCTCATGCCTGTAATCCCAGCACTTTGGGAGGCCGAGGCGGGCGGATCACGAGGTCAGGAGATTGAGACCATCCTGGCTAATACGGTGAAACCCCGTCTCTATTAAAAATACAAAAAAATTAGCCAGGCGTGGTGGTGGGCACTTGTAGTCCCAGCTACTCAGGAGGCTGAGGCAGGAGAATGGCGTGAACCAGGGAGGCGGAGCTTGCAGTGATCCGAGATCACACCACTGCACTCCAGCCAAGACGACAGAGCGAGACTCTGTCTCAAAAAAAAAAAAAAAAAATTAGCTGTCCATGGTGGTACATGCCTGTAGTCCCAGCTAGAAGGCTTAGGTGGAAGGATCACTTGAGCCCAGTAGGTCAAGGCTTCAGTGAGCCATGACTGTGCCCCTGCACTCCAGCCTGAGTGACAGAGTGAGACCATGTCTCAAAAGAAAAAAAAGCACTCACCTGTCACATAGACAATGAAAGGGCACTGCATGCATGGGGTGAGCCCTGACAGCTATAGGTCCCAGTGTCCTGCTCGGAGGCATCCAGCACTCACAGCTGCAGAGGCCCCACAAAGATGTGATCCAGAAAACCAGTCCTGTGCCATTGTTGAACAAGAGAGTGGCTTCATCAAACCAAGTGCTGAAGATGACCAACTGCTCTTGTTGGCTGGACTCAGGCCTGCATTTCTGCAAGTCAGGTGGGTGACTGGGAGGCAGGTACCCCAAAACCTAGCACAGTGAAGCTCAAAAGCCCCATGGGAGGCAAAGTGACACTCCCGCTTTATTGACACATCAGCATGCGTCTGACACTTAGGAGGTGCTCAATAAACAGTAGTAGATGAATGAATGGTCATTAGTTTGGACAGTATAATTTTGTCTATGGTACTCCAAGAGAACACTGATACGGTAGTCCCCCATTATCGGCTGTTTTGCTTTCTGTGGTCTCAGTTACCTGCAGTCTGAAAATACTATATAGATATTTCAAGAAGTAAACAACTCAAATTTTAAATTGCTCACCAATTCTGAGTAGCTTGATGAAGTCTCCCACCCTCCCAGGATGTGAATCATCTCTTTGTCCAGTATTTTCACACTGTACCCACTACCTGCTGATTAGTCACTTTAGTAGCTGTCTCAGTTATCAGATCGACTGCTGTGTTATCATAGTGCATGGGTTCAATGAACGCTTATTTTGCTTCATGATGATTCCAAAGCACAGAGTAATTCAGATATGCCAAAGAAAAGCCATAAAGTGCTTTTATTAAAATGAAAACCCAAAACTTCTCAACTTAATGAGGAAAGAAAAACAATCTTGTAGGTTGAGGTTGGTAATGTCTATTGTAAGAACAAATCTTGTAAGAACAAGATTGTAAGAACAAATTGTGAAATTGTGAAGCAGCAAAAAGAAATTTGTCCATAGTATATGTAAGGTGTAGTACTATCCTTGGTTTCAGCCATTCAGTGGGGGAGTCTTGGAACATACATAGTCCCTGCAGACAGGAGGGGATACTGTACTTGACTTTCTTAGTTTCATCTGTTGTCAACAGTAGAAAAATACAGCTATGGACAAAATGTTTATTGTCTCACTTGGAAGCAAACTTTGTGAGACTGAGTGGGCTTCTATTTATTGAACAAGCAAAAAGAAGCAGCCTTGCATGTGGGGGAAAACCTGCTCGTGCCACTGTCTCCGTGGGTCTACAGCTGCCACCTCCTCCCTGCCCCTCATCCTGTCAAGGGCCTGGGGTAGACAGAACACAACCCACACACTGCTCAGAGCCTTTGGGACATACCTAGAGCCACTAGTTTAACATAAAAACCCAATAAGGCTGAAGTGAGAGTCAGTTGGCTACTAAACTGGAGAAATGTGTGGAAGAGTGAGGACTGTCTCAGGGCCTTTGTATATCTCTGAAGGTTTTGTTGGAGTGGCTGAACTGATGTCCCATCAGTACTGAGGATATTAATAATAACACCAAAGATATTAATAATAATACCAATAGTAATTCATGCCAGCTACCCAGCGTGTGCCAGGGCTTGCATTCATTTCACAAGTGTGACTTGCACTGCACTGAGGACTGACCTCACCCAGACCAGATGCAGCAGGTCTCCTTCTAGGTCACACAGGTGCCATGCTCCAAAGCCCTACCAACCTCATCACCACGCTTGCATTTCTACAGCATCATGCCTTTTCCCATTTGGGAATTTCCGTGCCCTGGGTCTTGGTGTCAGTGCTAAAATGACCCAGAGGGAGGAGTGTGTCAGTACTTCTGAGAATGGCCAGGCACCACCAAGTTTCCTGACCCATGCTCTTAGGAAAATGCTAGATCACTTGAATGTTCTCTGAAAGCCTGTTCTCCCATTCTTTCCTATCTCAGTAAGGAGCCCCACCACATCTCTGGAAATTCTCCTGACTTGACTAACTTGTACAGTAGTCTTGAAGACCCTTTTCCCTTTCATGCAACAAATCAACAGGTTCTATAGTCTCGTGCTCAAACATATCCCCAATCCACCTGCTTCATTCTGATTCCACATCACCCCGTCTAAGCCACCATCACTTTCACCTGACCTGTGACAAAAGGCTCCTTGTTTTCATATTTGTCCTCTTTAGAATGCATTCTCCATGAAGCAACTGAAAAAAACTTTTGAACATCTGAATCTGATCATGTCTCTTGCTTAAAACCCTCCAATGACTTCTCACCACATAGGGAATAAAATCACAGTCAGGTTTATATGTCTCACCAAGACTCTGTGAGTTCAGCTCCTCCCCTTGCTTTCTGTGCCCCCTCCCCCATGCCACTGGTCTGTGGTTTCTCAAACTCAAACTGTTGACTCTCATTTCAGAACCCTTGCTCAATAGAATTCTCTGCCTGGAATTTTATTCCCAGAATCTTTGCATGTCATTCCCTCTGTTGCTAGGTTACCGAAATCTCAATGTAAGTGTTACGTCATGACAGAGGCTTCTGTGAGAGCTGAATTGTGTGCTTTCCAAAATTCATATGTTGACACTGTCACCCCAGCACCAAAGAATGTGACTACATTGGGAGATAGCTTCATCAAAGAGGTAATTACATTAAAATGAGGTCTTTGGGGGTGGAGTTGGGGTGGTGGGGATATGGTCACATTATACAAAATTTCAGTTAGACAAGAGGAATAAATACAACAGGTTTATTGCATTTGGTGACTACATTTAATGTACTCTGTTCTTGAACATTGATAAGACAGTAGATTTTGAGTGTTCTCACAGCAAAAAAATGATAGGTATGTGAGGTAATGCATATGCCAATTAGCTTGGGTTAACCATTCCACAGTGTGTGCATGTTTCAAAACGGTACCATAAATGTAGACAATTTTTATCAGTTACAATAAAAAAGTTTTAAAATGAAGGCCTTAGGGTGGGCCCAAATCCAATGTAACTGATGTCTCCATGAAAGAGGATATAAGGATACAAATGTGTACATACAGAGAAATGGCCACATGAAAACAGAAAGAGAAGGTGGCCACTTACAAGCCCAGGAGAGATGTCTCGGGGAAACCCTCCCTGCTCATGTTTTGACCTTTGACATCATTCTCCAGATAAAGTCCTTCATCCTCCTTCATCAGATGGTAGCTTCTGATCCTGAATACTCTCCAAATGCTGGAAGGTATGAATGTGAGAGGACAGCACAGACCTCAGGGTGAAAAGTTTAAAGAGAATAACATCTTCCCATTGCCCCGTCCTCTCCCCAACACACACCTGTGCCAGCCTTTATTGGTCTTTTGTATTCCCTTGTCCTGGGGATAGTGTAACTTGCTAATCTGTGTTTATGTAGAGGATAACATAAAACAAAGGTAAACAATAAAATAAAACAAAGAGCAAAACTCAACAAATACTGTTTGGGCAGGGTGACAGTAAAAGCAGGCAGATCACATAAAATGGGGGTGGAGCTCTTGGAGCTCAATCAATGTCCTGTTGTGTTTCTACATCAGAATCTGTAGTAGCAATTTTCAGGTTTGATGCTTTTGTCCTTGCCTGCCCCGTAAGTGCCAGAGGGGATTATTCTAAATTGGGTGAGGAACAGGTAGAAATGTGTAAGTGAGACAATTTTCCCTGCCATTTGCCACAGTAGCAGGGCAGAATTTATCATGAGTGCCTTTACTCTCTGATGTCCAAAAAGTTCAACTCTGTTGGTGAGGTTCTGTTGGCTGCCAATTTAGAAGCATCTGCCTTCATGCTCCTGTCTAGAATGATAACATCTCTCTGCCAGTAGCTGATAAAATCCCCAACATCCCCTAGTCATGTTTTCCAGTTAAAATTCACTGGAATTATGTGGGCAGATTTACATAGCTCAGTTCTTCCAGCAGCCAAGGAATCCTTGATATTTTTTTCACTTGAAGCCTCTGAGAGAGGGAGTCAGCCTCCCCTTAGAGGTGGCCCTTAGAGTTTTTGATACATAATCTCCCTGACTCTACTACTTACACTGATTTGAAAGTCAGTGACAAGCTTGCTCCAAAGCTCCTGTCAAATTGAATCCTGACACATGAAGGGCTTGGTGCTTCCCAGCTTGATATTCCAATTTTGAAGTGAGTAAATTTGAGTTCTATGAGACATCAGAAGGTCACTTAGAATATAACATATTCTAAAAGAAAATTGGAATGCCACAGGAACATTAGCTGTAAAAGAAAAATTATGTTCTTTGGTGAAAATTTTATGCCCCTTGATATGGTTTGGCTGTGTCCCCACCCAAATCTCATCTGGAATTTTAGCTCCCATAATTCCCAAGTGTTGTAGGAGGGACCTGGTAGGAGACAATTGAATCATGCAGGCAATTTTTTCCATACTGTCCTTGTGGTAATGAATAAGTCTCAAGAGATCTGATGGTTTTATAAGGAGAAACCCCTTTCACTTTACTTTCATTCTCTCTTCTCTTGTCTGCTGCCATGTGAGACATGCCTTTCACCTTTTGCCACTATTGTGAGGCCTCCCTAGCCGTGTGGAACTGTGAGTCCATTCAACCTCTTTCTTTTGTAAATTGCCTAGTCCTAGGTATGTCTTTTTCAGCAGGGTGAAAACAAACTAATACACCACCCTCCACTGTTTGAAGCAAAACTGCTGGCTCTATGGGGTCTTCAATTCACTAAATATTTCCTAAATGCCTGGTTTATTTCACTGACAAGTCAAGGAAGTTGCCACCTTTTGGTGCTCACTGGGCTGCTGTGGATGTCTAACCTCATTGCCAGCCACACAGAACCTGAAGCAGGGATCGTTGCACCACTTAATGGTAAGAACTCAGGGTTTTGGGGTTATTGCCAATGTTCTAACTGTTTGGTCTTTCACATTGAAACTAAAGGCTATTTACATCTTTAGCATAATAGTCAGCTGACTCTTGCCACACCTTGTGTCCCTTGAAGCTCATTCCTGTAACTTTTTAGGCTTTTGAGACCACTTCTATTTTAATCACATTGTAGTTTTTATCACTAATTTTATTAACATGGCCAAATTGTTAGATTGTACTTTCTTTTTTTATCTGGGTCCACAAATGTTGGCTAGGTAATTTGTTGATTGAATATGACTTTCCCCTCAGAACCCAAAAATCTCTTCTTGACTGACTCCAAGATGAAGAGAACATCATTGAGGTCTATAGGCAACCGTTTTCAAACTTTGAGATTTCTCACTGACCATTCATGGAAAGGATATGTCTTTCTTTTCCTTAACTGCAACCCCAGACAAATTTGGTTTGCACATTCTCTGAATGGCAGTCTAGCCCAAAGAGGGGTTGTGTTACTCAACTCAGTTATGTTGAACTTTTATATAGAAGTTCTTGTGTACATATCATCTGGCTCCACTAGAAAAAAAATGACTAGAAGACAGTATGGGTGACTAGTCTAGAAAAATGACTACTGAAATTTATAGGTACTGGAATAGCACACAAATTTTGTGGATGTAGAGGGAGAACAAATACCCAAAACCTAAAAATGAACAAATTAGACCCCAAAAACTACAGAAATGCAGGGACATTGATAACATTTTATCTTTCTGAACTATCCCTAGTGAGACGCAGAGAAGAGTTGGGGAATCCTGTTGGACCAGGAGGAGGAATAATATTAGTTGGACCAAATGGTAGAACAGGACCTGTGTGCTCAACCTTTCTTGGGAATTCCATTCCTCTTTGAGGCAGGCATGGAATCCCAGTGAACATCCTGCACTCTCAGTGTCCAGCTGTCTGAGGCAACAGTTGTTTCTGATGATAGAGAACAATTGCTTTTTTTTCTGAGAAGACTTCCATGGCTGAGGTAAGCTGGATTCTATAGAACATTGATTCCATTTTCTCCTTCCTCTGTGAACTGCGGTTGCTTCTTTGATTTTTCATCTAGAGATAAAATTACATTTGCCAATATTTGTGTAAAATGGAGATATAAGTCTGGCAAGTAGATCCTTAGATGCAGCCCTCAGCAGAAATTTTTGCCTGTTTCTATTCTCAGTTTTATTAAATTATTGGCACAGAAAGTTGCCCTGACATGTTGTCCCTCAGGGGTAATTAGAATATTGTACTTCTAGAGAAGCTGATGGGACAGGCCAGGGCTTAGAGTGAGGATCGAAGCTTCTGTCCAAATCTCCCAGTCTATCTGTGTGTGGTAGGTGGACTCAGGAAAGACCCTAAAACTCTGGAAACGATCATTAAGAGAAAACAAAATCCCCATAAATTAGAGTACTAGGGCACATGTTCATTAGTCGCCTTCAGAGTCAGATGCTCAGGGCTGAGCTTGTGTGGGAGGGTGCATAGCAGTGCATGCCTGTGAAAGCCTCTGGTCTTGTGTGAGTGATGAGGCTCTGGATCAATGAGAAGTCCTGTATCTGACAGAACATGGTGTTTCTGTGAGTGTGAGATTCAGCGCCCTTCCTCAGCAGAGCACCACTGAGTGAATAATTGTTTTAGAATCAAGAATATGGAGGCCAATTTTATTTTGAATTTCTCAAAGACAGATTTTTTCCACATTGAAATTGAGTAAGAGTGTCAGAAACTTCAGCAAAAATGTCACAGGAGGAAACTCTGGGGTCTTATGAACCCCAGAAACCACAAAAGTCCTGATATAACCTGTGAGAATTTCCCTTGTAAAAACTTGATTTTTTCACAGTACAGATTTATCTGTCATTTGACATTTATTTTATTTCAGGTTATAATTAGTACTTTTTTTTTTACCTTTATGAGAGAAACATCAGATTCCTAAACCCAAAGCCTTAATGATGCCTACCCAACTGTAGTTTTTATTTCCAACTGACTTTCTGCTATGGTCTGAATTTATGTCTCCTTCTAAAATCTCATTTGAAAAATTTAATCCCTAAAGTGATAGTTTTAAAACATGGAACCTTTAGGGAAGTGACTAACTCAGGAGGGATTCATCCTCATAAATGTAATTAATACCCTGTAACAGAGGTTGAAGGGAGCACCCTTGTCCCTTCTGTCATGGAGGATACAGCAAGAAGGCACCACGTGTGAGAAACAGGACCCTCACCAGACACTGAATTTGCTGGTGCTTTTATCTTGAGTTTTCCAGCCTCCAGAACTGTGGCCAATACATTTCTGTTATTTATACATGACCCAGTCTAATGTATTTTGTTTCAGCAGCCTGAACAAAGACACTTTCTCATGCATTGTGGTTTACTTTGAATTTATGCTTCCACTGAGCTATCCATATATTCATAAATAAACATGTCTCATAGGGTTGGATAACCACTCTGGTTATGTTTTCAGAGTTTTCTCAGCTGTTCTTATTTATGTTTTCATCTATAGGAACTTTGCAATAAAATGCCTGCTTCCAATACCAGATGGCATCACTATTAGGACAAAATTAAATTTATGAATTACTTCTAATAAAATAATGATTGAGCAATATTGCATTTTTCTACCTTAGAACATGATGTGATTTTCCATTCTTTTATGCTGATTTTCCTATATTTCAAGGACTTTTTATCATACTTCTCATATGCTTTACAAATTTTTGTTAGATTTATGTATGGCTAGTTTATTTTATTTTGTCCTGTTAAAAAGTAAACTGTAGCACAACAGAAATTTTATAAGTTTTCTTGGTTGGGAATGGTGGCTCATATCTGTGATTCCAGCACTTTGAGAGGCCAAGGTGAGAGGATTACTTGAGGCCAGGAGTTTGAGGCCATCCTGGAAAACATAGTAAGACCCTGTCTCTACAAAATATAAGAAGAAATTAGCCAGGTGTGGTGGTGCATACCTGTATTTGCAGCTACTCATGGGGCTAAGGTGGGAGGATGGCTTGAACTCAGGATGTAAAACTGCAGAGAGCTTCAATTCTCCATGCCCTCCAGCATGGGCAACAGAGCAGGAACCTGTTTCAAAAAACATTTTCTTGAGTAAAAAGCAACTAATGAATTGTGGAACATGAGACCACAAGAGGTTTAGCATTTAAATGGCAAAGTGTCAGAGGTAAGAGGGTATTGAAATAATGCAGGAACAAAATATTAAAATTATTTGATTGGTTGCAGTTATAAAATTGTCTTTTTTGGTTTACCTTATAGACCTATATTACTATACACGTCTTGGGTACTTCTGATAACTAAAGCTTAAGTTCTGTTGTTGTTGTTTTTTAATACAAGCATTCACAAAAAATACCTCACATTATGTTTTGCTTGTTTGCAAATCAACAAGATGAGGTCACTGAGGAGGTCTGATTCTGTCTCCTCAGGAATGTTTTGGGCTTTGTCCCCCTTTTAATTTACTTTATAAATCACGTTGTAATTTTTATCTCCCACCCATACTATAACTTGTTAATTACTTTTATACCTATGTAAATATCATTTATGTATGATTTCTGAGTATATCACTAGTGAATAGTTTGTTACATAGGCATACCATGTCTTATTGCACTTTATTGTGCTTCATAGATATTGAATTTCTTACAAATTGAAGGTTTTTTGCAACCCTACATTGAGCGACTCTATTAACACTATTTTTCCAACATCATGTGACCTTTGTGTGTGTGTATATCTGTGTCAGCATTTTTAACAATAAAGTACATTTTTTATCAAGGTATATACATTGTTATTATAAACATAGGCTGTTTCAGTCTTATTCTACAGTATAGTGTAAACATCACTCTTATATGCAATGGGAAACAAGAAAAGCTGTGTGACTCACATTATTGTGATATTTGTTTAATCGCCCTGCTCTAGAGCAAAAGCCAGATATCTCCAAGATATATCTGTATATTTTCATTGAATCGGCTTTATTTACTGTAATGATAAATCACTATTCTTTGACTGAAAACAAGAGCTGCGGAGTGTGGAGAGGTTGGGGTAAAAATATAGAAGAAGTGAAGATAAAAAGTCCTCTAAGTCACACATGGAGTAATACAAATTCAGTATGGATTAAATATAAAATTATTTAAAATTGAAGAGTCTCAGAAACATTAATGTTTATATCATTATATATATAAATTATGAGGCAAAGAGTAAAACAAAAATACATTTAGATGAAAGATTTCATAATCTCACTGTAAAATGCAAGAAGAAAAACTATAAAATATAGCAATATGTAAAATAAATGATAATATATATTACATTTAATATTCTACAATACAGTATGACCAACAGAAATGTATAAAATAGAAGGAAGTCTAAATTTAGAAAATTTAAAATGAGGCAAATATGAGTCAGGTGAAGAATAAATAAATATGATGAATTACATTTAACATATCTTGACTTCACTTTTATGTAAAAATACATATTAATAGTAAACACTTGTGTAGTGATTTCACCATAATTTTATTGCACTGTAGAAACATATTGACATTTTTCCGTAGGGAGTACTATTAAAGGTTTGTGGATATTAGTCCTCCATGGGTTCAGCGTGGGGGGAAGGAGAGGCTACAACCTCTTCTAAATTAAAAGAGAAGCATATAATTTTATATTTATTTTGCTACAATTTAAAATACACAAAGGCATATGAATGATTACCTTCTAACATTTGTTTGATTATATAGAAATGCATGACAGTTATCAGACATCTAAAATACATCAAATATCTAACAAGACATATAAAATTTGTTTAGAATCTTAGCCCTCTACAAAATGCAGGGTTCACCATTTTGAGTATATTGTTCAAGTTTCCTTCCTATGACTGCTTCAGGTTCTGTTATTTATTAACACAGTACATCTAAAATTGTCACTGCTGGTCATCTGGAAGAACCTGAGAAGTAGCAGGTTCTTGGTGTCATTCCAAGAGCTGCATTCGCTGCTAAATATGGTGAGAGTGCAGCCAGCTCAAGCCTCATCTGATCTACTAACAGGCTCAGTTAACTCCTGCTCATGCAAGAGGTGGGGTTCTTTCTACAGGGCTGGATCCACAGGGCCAGCCAGTGTGGCTGAAACAAGCTAGTTCTTAGCAGGGAAGACATAACCTGCCTGGGTGGCCATAATATGGAATGCCTGCAACTGGGCACACAGAGGTCCCCAGAGCTGGCCAAGCTGAGTGACCTACTCCCAGGTCAGTGGAGAATGAGCCTGCTTCACCAACACCTGGGATAGGTCTAGACAAATGGCCTTTGACACATCTTGCAAGGTCACCAAGCTTTCCGTAGTGATGACTATTGAACTCCTGGGTCCCGAGACCTATGTCACTTGCCACACCCAGTGTGAGCCATGAAAGGCCCTCTGTTGTGGGCGTCACAGGTCTCCTGGATTTCACTGCTGTGCACAGCAGTGGAGGACTTTAGTTTCTTTTTTTCAACATCGAGCTACGCTCCTCTCCTCGACATGCCCCTGCAGAGGAAGAATGTGAGTGACAGACTCACCAGAACAGTGCCCACAGACCCTCATTTCCACAACCTCCCGTGCACTTTCAGGTGAACCTCATTTGTCTCTTCTTCTCCATCCTCACCATCTCAGCACTTTATTGAAGTGAAGCTTAACCCCATTTTAGTCCCCACATATCCTCTGAGTGCCAGGATCTCAAAAACTTTCCAAGTCACTAAGAAGCCCCCCTGCTGTTCAAACTGTGTATAAAATTTTCCTATTTGTTTGCCCTTTGGGGCAAAAAAAAAAAAAAAAAAAAAAAAAAAGGTAAGATTCTACCTGCTCTGTCTTGGCAGCTGTCCTTGGAACTGATTTTCCTGTTCTTGGAGTTTCCCCCATGTGAGCTCGATTCTGTCTCTGTTGATTAAATGAGTGTTTGAGTTAAGTGCCTCCAACCAAACACCCTAGAAACTTTAGTACATCCTGGACACACTGGAGCTGAAGTTGCCACCAAAACCCAGCCCACTTCTGTTCTCCAGCATCCAGGATCTGCAAGGCCCTAGCTGCCAAAGAGCTCCCAGTTTTCTTCCCAGGGAAGACTGTGTTGCTACTCTGTCTCTTTTTACCTTGAAAGAGTCAAATCTTACCCTATCTAACAGTACTGTTTCTTTGAGCTTGATTTCCTCAGAATTCCTCTCATTTAGATTGGGCTCTGATCATAGTGCAACATGGAGTTTAAGTGACTCACTTCTCCCAGGCACACAGTCCCATAGTCTCATCACTGACAAACATTTGTGGATCAGTCTTTCAAATGAAGCTCTTCTGCCAGTGTCATGAGTGAACACATTTCTCAATCTCTCCTCAAGGTTCTAAGCCATTTCCCATCCCCAATCTCAAAATAAAATCCTATGAAAGACACATAGCTCAGTATACCTGATTCCAACACTCCTTCCAGCCTCCATGGTAACAGCCCAAGGCTTTATCTTGCCTTTGCATGTGATTCTCACTGGAATGGAAGGAAGGGGTCTTGCCTTTTTCTTTGAATGGCTTCTTCTCATCTGAGCCCTTTTCTGTAAAGGAGATCTGTTGGAAAGGAGGCTGGTCAGTGGGGCATTGAAAGGAAGAGCAGTGGGGTCTTCATTTTCTTTTCCCATGTTCAAGCTCAAGTGAAAGGTGCCCTTATATGTCCAGATTCAGAGTGTGATTCTGGTGGACCTGCCTTTTGTAAGTCCCTTGGCTGGGAGTGGCTTACTCTTACTGGTGGAACAGTTTTCTTTTTTCTGCCACTCATTAGGGCCTCAATAAGAAAAGTTTCTGGCTGTCGTTTTACTAGGGACCTAAACACAGTTAAGGGGAGACATTTACTGAGTCTTGACATAGTGTCAAAAATAAAAAGAAGAATAAATAAAGCTGGGGGCACAGGAATCATAAGATAGGGGAATCATTTTTTTCTAATTTCTCTCCCAATTCCTACATGAAAGTATTTATGATACTGCTTATCTTTCAAGATTCAGAATTAAACATACCTATATTGAAATGTGTCTACATTTTGCAAAGAAAGATAATTATATATAGTGTTAAAGTCATATACATAAATACTATAATTTCTCAAATGCTTGGAAATGTCAAATTAAAGTTATGGTCAGTTGTATTAGATACATACATATATGATAAAATAAAAATGTGGAGAAAAAGTAAAAACCAAATAAAATGGCCCTTTCTACCTTAAAAATGGAGACAATAATTAGATCAAACACAACTGAATTGGATTAGATTAGAGCTGGTGGTGACTTAATCAGCCCGTGATTCCTGAAGTAGCAAAAACTCTAGGTAGAGAGATAAACTTCCCCCATTTCTCATGCTCCGTCAGTCATCCTGGGAGTTCTACCTTGTTCTGTAGAATTTATTCAGCTCCCTAGTAAAAAAGGACTTGGTCCTACACAGGTAACCCAACTGACCACAAGAAAAACAGCGTGGATCCTTAGCATTCAGCTTCTGTCTTTACACAACAGACACCGCCTGAATCCCATGAAAGCCTGTGTTGTTTCCCAACATCCACCATCGAGATATATTCCAGAGCAGCCTCTCAAACTTGCCTAAACGAGATGAGACAAGGTATGGTGGAGCTCCACGTTTGGGACAGCTGCCTTATCCATTCCTACTGAGAAGTCTGTATCTGCTGGTTAGAGCCCTCGAACTGTAGAAGGCTTAGTGTATTTCCCAGCTAGTGTCCCCGAAAAACACCTTCTTGTTTCCCCGACTTCTGAGAAAAGCATGCAGGAATGAGACCTTTTGTGTTAGGGAGTACTCGGTCTCCACTGTCAAATGACTTGGTTGACTGATGAAGTGATGCCCTGAGGAAGAGAAAGATTCAGGGAAGAGCCTGTGCTGGGTGAGTCTGTGTTTTCCCAGGTGTGCTGGCTGTGCAAATAGTGGAACCCCCAAAAATATAGGGTGGTAGACAGACACTTTCTAATAAAATTGTCTGAATGTAAATAGGATTTAAATGTAACTTATAATATCATTATATATTGATAACATAATGTCACATAAAATTTATTTGACATATAAACAAATTTTGACATGTTTGTAAGAATTAAAGAGGAAAGAGACACGGAAGTTGGCTTGCCAGTCAAGATAGGTTTATTTTAGAGAAAACAAACTTGAGAGTGGCATCTGGCAGAGTTAGGTCAGAGGCACACTTTTCTACAGACAAAGAGTTTTTAAGGATTCAAAATGGGAGAGTTTATCAGAGCCTTGGACTGCTTCCATGTTTCTTTATTGTGCATATGTGGGAGAAAGAGTTGTGTGTCTTTTCCCACGCATCTTTTTGCAGCTGCAGACATACCTCCCAAGTCTGCTTTTAGCTTCCCTATCTTAGTGCACCTGAAGGGACAGAAATGTGCTTATTAAGGCCCACTGTTTTCCTGGGGCCCATTGTATGAGGCTGAAGTTTGGCAGTTACCCAAAAGACTTTTCCCCCACCTCTCTCTGTGCCTAAGCTGTCTTATCTGTGTTTTACTGTCCGCTCTTTCTGGCTGCTTGTAGTTAGAAAAGAAGTGATTTTTTTGAAATGTATGAGGCTAGAAAGGGAGCTAGAACTTAAAGTGGCAGTGTTTGTCAGAGGTGACGGTGCTCCTGCTCTGTCAATGTTATAATATCATAAAGCAGTCGTTTATACAAAAGCAGGAAATATTCTTAGGTTTTATTAAGTTTATAGATCAATGTTGTTACAAAATTTAACTCAATTTTCTTGTAAAATTACCTAACAAAATTTTATGTTATTATGATATAATTACATGAATTATAATATATTGTGATGTTATAATAGTATATGAATTATGATATCATAATATATTGTGATATCATAATGCACATTATGATATCATACCATTGTGATATAATAAACATGAGTTATGATGTCATAATATATTATGCTGTCAAAATACATGTCAATTATGATGTCACACTACATGGTGATGTCATACTACATGGTGATGTCATAATACATGTGAATTATATCATAATAAATTGTGATGTCATAATGCAAATGATGTAATATATTGTAATGTCGTAATATATTTATTTATCATATTTATGAAACACAAAACATTTTGTCAGGTAATTTATAAGGAAGTTGAGTTAAATTTGTAGCAACATTAACATCTAAAGAAGCTTACAATAATAGTGAAATATTAAAGAGAAGCAGGCATCTCCCATGGTACAAGCAGGAACAAGAAAAATGGGGGAGGGATATGCCTCACATGTAAACCACCAGATCTCGTGAGTACTCGCCATGACAAGAACAGCACAGAACCATGAGGAATCCATCCCCATGATTCAACCACCTCCCACCAGGCCCCACCTGTAACATTAGGGATTACAATTTAATATGAGATTTGGTGGGGACTTTTAAACTCTATCACACGACTATTAGAAAAACAGATGAAACATTCATGGTTGCTACTGTTCAGATACTTTCATTCCCAAGCAAATGGTTAAATGATTTAGTTCAACATTCTATGGTCAGAAGAGAGAAGGGCGGTGTACAGGGGACTTTGACTGCATTTATTCCACTTCCCTTATGCTGTTGTTGTGAGTTCTGATGTCACCACCTGAAGAGCTATTCATGACAGAAGAATTATTGCTATTGTTGTGATTATTCCTATTTCTTTTATCTCAGTAAAAATAATTTTTTTAGCTTCTCATATAATTTTCTTAAAAAACTCTAAGAGTTTTGATTAAATTCCTTGTTATTGTGTGTTATAAAAATTGACAGGGAAATGGCTAAAATAGATTAAAAGTACACAAACTCTAAGAGTCAAGTTTCTATTGGGCAGGCTTAAGAAAGACAGAACTGGAAATACTCCACCAGCATAGACATCAGCCACTTTCTGTCTCAGCCCTGCCCAGATCCACCCTCTTCTAAGGCCTCACCCTGGTCTGGCCTCACCCTAGAATCTCCTCTCACAGAACTAATTAAAAGAGACCATAAATATGAGAGGTGGTTCCTGCTGTCTCTCCTGAGCTGGTGCCCACAATTACCTGAAAATAAAAACAGATAAATGGGAGCAAATAATTATCTATCTGTGGGCCACAATTGCTTTTTCACTGAAGCCAGTGCATCTAGAGACATCTCACCTAGCAACCTGTTTTTTATTTCTGCAGATCCAGTAGTTGCTCTACAAAGCACAAGAAAGTCAATATAAATACCAAAAAAACCCTCTGAACAGTTCACTGTTTATTTCTGTATTCCTGTCATCTGTCTACACAGCTTTTATTCTACACATTTTCTTTATAGGTAAATAAGTTTTAAAATATAAGAAAAAATAGAAATGTCGGGCTCTTCACTTAAGTCCTGAGAATTACAGACACCTAACACCTAACTCCCAGTGAGCAACGGGGACTAAATCACATCATGTGATGTTTCCAGCACAGTGCTGTGTAACAGACTTCTGGACACATAGTACATGCTCAATAAACATTGTATTAACTCATGTGTACATGTTTTTCAAATGCAGACTTACTTTAACATTGAAGCCTTCTCTAGCCTCTGTAAACTTCAAAGAGCCAGCTGACATTAACATGTTTCTGAATGGTATTGGTGGTTTCCACTTGGGCCAAAAATATTTATGTTGTGGTAAGAGCGTTGGGTGTCAGAAACTCTGTGCTGTGCCTGCTTTCTCTAGCTGAGTGATACTACAATGGATGTACTGGGAGAAATATCAGCATTAAGAGAAAACTTTTTAAAGAAGCCAATTCATGGACCCCCTTCCCAACTTGCAGAATTACATTACTAACAGAGAGGCCTGAAATCATAAATGATTTATATGTACCTTGAAACTTGAGAGGCAATGTTTAGCTAAGTGTTTCTCAGCCTAGGCTTCCAACCATAATCACATGACCATGTTAGAGAAATACCATCATCTGTGCCCTTGCACAAATTCTGTCTGTTGATCTTGGTGGGAGCATCCATATGGTTTAAATTAGGAAGTCAAATTGTTTGTCTTTGATGATTACATAATATTATACCTAAAAAAATCTAAAGACCACCAAAAAAACTTTTAGATTTGATAAATGAATTTAATAATGTTTCAGGATACAAAACTCAATGTTCAAAAATTAGCATTTTTATATACTAATAACAATCAACCTGAGAGCTGAATTAAAATGTCAATTCCTTTTACAATAGCTACAAAAAAGGTATTATACCTAGAAATATAATTAATCAAACCGGTGAAACATATCTACGAGGAAAACTACAAACCACTGAGGAAATAAATTGTACATGACACAAACAAATGAGAAAAACATCCTATGCTCATGGATTGAAAGAATTATTATCATTCAAATCACCATACTACACCAAACAATCTACATATTAAATGCAATTCCTACCAAAATGCCAATGTTATTTTTCATAGAATTAGAAATTTTTAAAAAATTCATACGGAACCATAGAAAAGCCTGAATAGCCAAAGCAAATTTAAACAAAAAGAACAAAGTTGGAGATATTACTATTACATTACCTGATTAAAAAATTGTACTACAAAGCTTTAATAACCAAAACAGTATGGTACTGATACAAATAGATGCATAGATCAATGGAACAGAATAGAGAACCTAGAAATAAAGCCACATACCGACAGACAACTGATCTTTTACAAAGTGAAAACAAACACACACTGGGGAAATGACATTGTATTCAACATATTATGCTGGAAAATTATATTGCCATATGCAGAAGTATGAAATGGTACCCCTAACTCTCACCATACACAAAAATTAACTCAATATAGATGAAAATACTAAAATGTAAGATGTGAAATGATGAAAGCTCTAGAAGAAACCCTATGATAAACTATTTTGGTTATTTGTCTGGGCAAGGAATTCTTAACTAAGACCATCTCAAAAGTAGATACAACAATACCAAAAATAGACAAATGGAACTTAATTAAACTGAAAAGCTCCTGAAAAAAAGCTTTTAATTGACAGGTGAGCAGACAACCTATGGAATAAGAAAAATGTTTGTGAACTATGCATGTGAAGAAGACCTTATGTCCAGAATATACAAGGAAATCAAACATCAACAGGAATAAAATAAGTAACCTCATTGAAAAGCAGGCACATAACGGGAACAGATATTTTTCAAAAAGAAGACAATGATGGCCAACAAGCATGTAAAAAATGCTCAACATTGCCAATGGTCAGAGAAATGTCAATTAAAATCCACAATGAAATACCATTTTACACCATTCCTAATGGCTAATTATTAAAAAGCAGAAAAATGACAGATACTGGCAAGCATACAGGGAAAAGAGAATACTCATACATTGTGGAAATGTAAAATTCTACAATCTCTATGAAAAACAGTATAGAAATTTCTCAAAAAACTAAAAATAGAACTTCCATTTGATCCAGCACTCCCACTACTGGGTATCTACCCAAATGAAAATAATTCATTACATAAAGAAGATACTCACACTTATAAGTTTATTGCAGCACTATTCACAATGGCAGATATAGAGTCAATTTAAATTTAGCAATTAATGATTGAAAAAAGAAAATTTGCTACACATTTATACCACGAACTATTGTTCAGCAATAAAGAAGAATAAAATAATGTCTTCTGCAACAACATGAATGAAACTGGAGTCCATTATTGTAAGTAAAATAACTCAGAAATAGAAAATAAAATATTACATTTTCTCACTTGTAAGTGGGAGCTCAATAACGCACACACTTGGATATAGACTGGAAAAATAGACACTGGAGGCTCAGAAAGATGGGAGGTTGGTAGAGGGGTTAGAAATGAGAAAATATCTAATTGGGACAATAAGCACCATTCAGATGATGGTTACACCAAAAGTTCATACTTAAATCACTATGTGACATGTCCCTGTAATGAAAGTGCATTTGTATCCTCTAGCGTATTAATAAAGAGGACAAAAACTGACCTTTATCAAGAGTGTAGACTGAATAGACCTCATAATTTTCATAAATATTTAGATTAGGCAGAAAAATAACTTTAATAAAAATAAACATAAAATAATATTGTATTTTAAGAATGGTATAAAAAGATAATGTGATGAATTAGAATAGCTAGTACTTAGCACAGACAATGTGCAAGGCAAGATTCTAAGCCATTAGACATTTGTAGACAGAGTATCCCACATCGTAAAATAACACAAAGATTCATTGGCAATCACAAATTGACATATTTTCAAGCATATTACGTGCTATTAAAACCATTATCAAATTTAACATTTTGTTTCATACTAAAGGATCATAACGTTAAATAACTTCATTAAAAAGTTTGACTAATTAGGCATATAGATAAATGGGCATTGTGTTGACCACTAAACGGAGCATACACATTATTTTCAAAGACCAAACAAAATTTTCTTAATCAATTTTTATTTATTTATTTTGGTTGGGGGAGCAGCTTTATTAGCTGGGGGTATAGTGGGGTTCTCTCCCTGGGAGGTGGGGTCTTCCACTGGTCACCTCCGGCAGTGGTCCAGGAGACCCCCTGCAATTCAGCGCTGGGCTCAGCTGGGGGCCAGGCCTTTGAGAAGGTGAACTGTGCAGGGAAGCAGTAGCTGTGGGGTCCTCACCGTCCGCTCGGCCTTGCTTCACGGGGTCGTTGGTGCTCCTCAGGGTCCCGCAGAGCCTGCGTCTCTATAGAGCAGTGACCATCCAGGCCGCAACCTTATCCTCAGAGCCCAGTTTGACGCAGGCCAGGCATTTCCGCTTACTCCCCTTGGGTTGGACTTTGCACTCGGGTTTCTTCCAGTTCTTCTTCCGGCACCTTGTTTTCAAGAGTTTAAATTCCAGCCTTACAAATGTTCCAGCTGGGAAGGGCGTCTCCAAGGCGCGATCCACACTGGTCTCCTGGAAGGCCCACTGTAAGTGTGAGTGGATTCCTCCAGGGCCACCTGCAGGCCCCAGCGCTGGGCCACAAGCGCTCGGCCCCGTCCCCGCCCCCGCCCCGTCCACCCACGGGGCCAGCGGGATCCACAGCCATCTCTTGTTTCTGCTGTCACCCTGGCCCTGCGAAACGACTGTGCTCCCCTCAGCTCTCCGAGCCGGCTGGGAACTGCCTCCCTGGGGGGCCATGTCCGCAGAATGCTGGGCCGAGGTGAAGGAACCAGGAAATGTCTCTCTCCACGTTGAACTTGGGGTCCACCTGGTCCTCTCCACTCCCTCCCACCCTGCCTGCACTGTTCCCTGGGGCCTGCAGTTTTAGCAAATTTCCCTGCCATCTGCCCGGGTCGGGAAGCAGTCCTGTTGCCCGCTCCCACCCTTCACCCCTTTTCTGGCCCGTTCTCTCTTCCCACTGGGTCTCCAACACGACCCCCTCTCCTCCATACTGACCCCGGAGACCCTCTCTGGTTCCCCCGCACAACTTCTCCTTCCCCATCCTGAATTTTCTGGCTCCCATGGGGTACCCCCCATTTCCAGGCACTGACAAAATTATTTTATATGGGAACATTTGAATTTCACTGAATTTATAACAGCAGAAACCCGTCTGGTCATATTTTAAAGAATCGTGAAATGATAATAGCAACTATCAATTTGAAGTGTAACTAGGGTTAAGAATACCTGCCATTTTACTGACAGCAACAACAACAACACTACCCTGTTAAAGCTAAGAAAGTAATTCAGTAAAGTCGCAGGATGTGATATTAACATGAAAATCAGTTGCAGTTTTTTTACAGTAACAAAAAAATCTGAAAAAGGAATAAAGAAAACAATTCCATTTACAATATTATCAAATGGAATGAAATAATTCATTAAATAGAACAAGTTTAACCAAGAATATCAAAGATATGCCTACTGAAAGCTATGAAATGTTGAGGAAAGAAATTAAAGAATACAAAATGTGAAATATACCCTGTTTTAATGGATTCCAAAAATTAATATTGTTAAAATATAGTACAAAAAGTAATCTACGGAGCTAAATAAATTTCCTTCAAAATTTTAATGCCATTAAAAAATGTAGAACAAACATTTGTAAAATTAGTAAGGAGCCACCAAAGACCCCTAATAGACAAATACTTAGAACAAAAAGGCTGAAAGCCTGAAACCTCCTGATTTCAAACTATATTTCAAAAGTGTAGTCATCAAAATAGTATATTGACTACATAAAAACCAATGGAACAGAATAGAGGACCCAGAAATAAACACACATATATACTCAACTGATCCCACAGAATTAGGAAAAGATAGACACATCAAAAAATGGTGTAGAAAAAAACTAAATATGCACACAGAAATAGTGAACATTTCTCTTATATCCTCCCAAAAGTGAGTTTAAAATAAAGACTTAAACATTATTATTTTTTTAAATTTTACTTTAAGTTCTGGGGTACATGTGCTGAACGTGCAGATTTGTTATATAAGTATACATGTGCCGTGGTGGTTTGCTGCACCTATCAACCCATCATCTAGGTTTTAAGCCCTGCATGCATTAGGTATTTGCCCTAATGCTCTCCCTTCCCTTGCCCCCCACCCCCCCGACAGGCCCTGGTTTGTGATGGTCCCCTCCCTGTGTCCATGTGTTCTCATTGTTCGACTCCCACTTGTGAGTGAGAACATGCAATGTTTGGTTTTCTGTTCCTGTGTTAATTTGCTGAGGATGATGGTTTCCAGCTTCATCCATGTCCCTGTAAAGGACACGAACTCATTCTTTTTTATAGCTGCATAGTATTCCATGGTGTCTGTGTGCCACATTTTCTTTATCCATTCTATCATTGATGGACATTTGGATTTGGGTTGATTCCAAGTCTTTGCTATTGTAAATATTGCTGCAATAAACATACATGTGTATGTCTCTTTATAGTAGAATGATTTATAATCCTTCGCGTACATACCCAGTAATGGTATTGCTGGGTCAAATGGTATTTCTGGTTCTAGATTCTTGAGGAATCGCCACACTGTCTTCTGCAATGGTTGAACTAATTTACACTCCCATCAACAGTGTAAAAGCATTCCTGTTTATCTGCATCCTTGCTAGCATCTGTTGTTTCCAGGCTTTTTAATGATTGCCATTCTAACTGGCATGAAATGGTATTTCATTGTGGTTTTGATTTGCATTTCTCTGATGGCCAGTGATGATGGGCTTTTTTTTCATGTTTCTTGGCTGCATAAATGTCCTCTTTTGAGAAGTGTCTGTTCATATCCTTTGCCCAATTTTTGATTTTTTTTTGTAAATTTGTTTAAGTTCCTTGTAGATTCTGGATATTAGACCTTTGTCAGATGGAGAGACTGCAAAAATGTTCTCCCATTCTGTAGGTTGTCTGTTCACTCTGATGATAGTTTCTTTTGCTGAGCAGAAGCTCTTCAGTTTAATTAGATCCTGTTCGTCAAGTTTGGCTTTTGTTGCAATTGCTTTTGGAGTTTTAGTCATGAAGTCTTTGCCCATGCCTATGTCCTGAATGGTATTGCTTAGGTTTTCTTCTAGGGTTTTTATGGTTTTAGGTTTTACATTTAAATCTTTAATGCATTTTGAGTTAATTTTTGTATAAGGTGTAAGAAAGGGGTCCAGTTTCTGTTTTCTGCATATGGTTAGCCAGTTTTCCCAGCACCATTTGTTTAATAGGGAATTCATTCCCCATTGCTTGTTTTTGTCAAGTTTGTTGAAAATCAGATGGCTGTAGATACATGGTGTTATTTTGGAGGCATCTGTCCTGTTCCATTGGTCTATATATCTGTTTTGGCACCAGTACAATGCTGTTTTGGTTACTGTAGCCTTGTAGTATAGTTTGAAGTCAGATAGCATGATGCCTCCAGCTTTGTTCTTTTTGCTTAGGATTGTCTTGGCTCTTTTTAGTTCCATATGAAATTTAAAGTAGTTTCTTTTATTTCTTTGAAGAAAGTCAGTGGTGTCCTCTCTTATTTCCTTGAGCAGTGGTTTGTAGTTCTCATTGAAGAGGTCCTTAACAGAATACAAGTCTGTTGGGGAAATGGAATTCAAATATAATTCCAAGGAGGAAAAGGAATTATGTAAAAATTACTTATTTAAACATGCTCTTTTTAGCTCATCATTGTTGGTCATTAGAGAAGTGCAAATCAAAACCACAATGAGATAGTATATCATGCCAGTTAAAATGGTGATCATTAAAAAGTCAGGAAACAATGGATGCTGGTGAGGCTGTGGAGAAATAAGAACACTTTTACACTGTTGGTGGGAGTGTAAAGTAGTTCAACCATTGAGGAAGACAGTGTGGCGATTGCTGAAGAATCTAGAACCAGAAATACCATTTGACCCTGCAACCCCATTACTGGGTATATACCCAAAGGACTATAAATCATTCTACTATAAATACACATGCACACATATATTTATTGCAGCACTATTTACAATAGCAAAAACTTGGAACCAACCCTAATGCCCATTAATGATAGAATGGATAAAGAAAATGTGGGACATATTCACTATGGAATACCATGCAGCCATAAAAAAGAATGAGTTTATGACCTTTGCAGAGACATGGATGAAGCTGGAAGTCATCATTCTCAGTGAACTAACACAAGAACAAAAAACCAAACACCACATGTTTTCACTCATAAGTGGGAGCTGAACAATAAGAACACATGGACACAGGGAGAAGAACATCACACACTGAGGCCTGTCAGGGGGTGGGGGGCAAGGGGAAGCAGAGCATTATGACAATTACCTAAGGCATGCAGGGCCTAAAACCCAGATAATGCGTTTATAGGTGCAGCAAACCACCATGGCACATGTATATCTATGTAACAAACCTGCATGTTCTGGACACATATTCCAGAACTGAACGTAAAATAAAATACAATAAAATAAAATAAGACTTAAACATAAGAATTGAAATCATGAATCCTCTAAAAAATAATAGGGAAAAAGCTCTTGACACTAGTTGTGGCAATGATGTTTTGAATCCTACACAAAGAACACAAGCAACAAAAGCAAAAATAAAAAAGTGGAACTATATCAAAGTAAAAAGTTTCTGTGCAATAAAGTAAACAATCAACAAAATATAAAGGCAATATATGGGATGGGAGAAAATATTTGTAAACCATATGTAGGATAATATGTTACTATCCATAATATATGTAATACTAATCAATATGTGAAAAAATGCACAGCAGAAAAAAACAAAAACCAATTCCCTGATTAACTGGGCAACACATCTAAATAGCCATTTTCCAAAGACATACAAATGGCTAGCAGGTGTATAAAAACATGCTCAACATCACTAATTATCAGAGTAATTAAAATCAAAATCACAATGCAATATCACCTTATCCTGGTGTTAGGATAGCTGTTATCAAAAAGTCAAAAGATAAAAAGTGTTAGAATGCAGAGGAAGAATATTTGTACACCGTTGCTGAGCTTGTCCACTGGTGCAGCCATTATATATAAAAAAAATTTTAGAGGTTCCTTAAAATTTTTAAACTAGAAGTACCATTAATCCCAATTCTGAGTATATAGCCAAAGAACATAGAATCAGTATCACCAAGGGTATCTGCACTCCTTTGATACAAATAAATGAATAAACTGTGTGTGAGACAGAATTTCAGCTTTAGTAAAGAATGCAATTCTTTCATTTACAAGAATATTAATAAACCTTGAAGACATTATGCTAGGTGAAATAAGCAAAATGCAGAAAGACAAATACTGCATGATCTCGTTTGTATGTGGAATCTGAAAGAAAAAGAAAGAAAGAAGAAAGAGAAAAGAAAGAAAAGAAAAAAGAAAAGAAAGGAAAAGAAAAGAAAGAAACAGAGAGTAGAATGGTAGTTACCATGAGCTATGAAGTGGGGAAAAGTGAGGCTCTATCCATTGAAGGGTGCATACTGTCAGTTATATAATGAAAAACTGCTGGGGACCTAATGTGCAGAATGGTGACTATAGTTAATAATAATTTGTACTTGAAATTTGTTACAAAAGTAGATCTGAGGTACTCTCACCACACACACAGAAATGCATAAAGTAGCTATGTGAGGGGATAGATATGTTAACTAGCTTAATTGAGATAATTTAGAGATGTATGCACATCTCAAAGCTCTCTATTGTACACCCTAAATATATACACTTTTTAATGTGTACATCATAGCTCAATAAGTGTGGAAAAAAATAAGAGTAATCGACAGGTCATGTCTAGCCACATGTAAAGTTTATTTAAAACTCTCTTGGCCACTGTTTCTGACTCAACCTAGGAATGGCCAGAGCGATTCTGGCCCCTTGACTTCTCCGAGGCTCCTCCCACTGTTCCTGTAGCTGGGGAAGGTGTAATAGTTCCCAGGAGTTTTCCAGGTTCCAGGCTGTGCAGATTGAGCAGGGCCATCAGCCATCCCTTTACTTGTTGCCCACAGCCCTGTTTGGCTCCAGGAAATGCATTTTAGGGTGTCCTGGCAGGGCCCACACCAGCCACCCAGGAGGAGGCTGCTTTTCCTGCCTGTACTCTTGTGCCCTCTGTCTCCTTAGGCGTCTGGTATGGCCCCAGCATAGTCCCTCCTCACATTACCAGTGAAGGCAATGTAACTTCAGAAGATACTGAGGAGGAAAATAAGAAAAAAAAATTGACTCCCATGTATTAGAGTAATTGTCATTAGATCACCTGTGTTGCAGGCAGGATCACACTTTGTCATTACTGCTGTAAAACTTGCTGCAATTGGAAGAGAAAATGATCTGGAGCATACTCTTTGAGTCCCTGAAGTTGGTGTCAGTAAGTTTCATGCAGAAATTTATTTTGACCAAGACTTACAAACTTATGTATTTGTAGATGAAGGCAGTCAAAATGGAACAACTAATGGAAAAAGTATTGTTCAGCTGAAAACTAAATGTGACCTTTATGTACCTGAGCATAGACGTGAAGTGGAGATTGGAGAGACTGGGTTACCCTTTTACATTCAACCTGGAAGTGATACCTGTGATGGCTGCGAACCACAGCAGGTTAGAACTCACCTTTGCCTTGATAAGAAAGATGAATTATTTATTGGTTCAACACTAAGTAAGGACAAAAAAGAGTTGGAAATAAGAAAATAATTAAATAAAATCTTAGTAATATATGGTTTACAGAATATACACTATGAAGAGGTATAGACATTGAAAAACCTAGAATATAAAGATACAGTTGGAAGACATAGTGAGCAGATTGGAAGTGAAGGAACTTTCCAAAGAGATGGTGCTCCTGCATCTGTTCATTCTGAAATTACTGACAGCAACGAAGGTCGGATGATGTTGGAGAAGATGAGGTGGTAAGAAAGAGAGGGCCTGGGGAAGGATGGTGTAGGAATGAAAACTCTGATTCAGCTTCAGCTTTGGCAAACACACGTAGGCCTGGGGACAGGCAATCCATCCTCAACTAAAGGTGTTCACCTTCTTCAAAACAAAAACAAACAAACTGGGACAAAGCATGAGATAGGTTTGATGAAAACTTCCCAGAAACTAAAACTTAAAAAGATGACCCAGGGACCATGCCTTAGGTAAAAGGGACTGTAGAGTGAAGTTTAATCATATAAAACAAAAATAAACAAACAAACAAAAACAAGCTTTTCAAAAAATAGAGTTTGGAAACTCTTATCTATTTTATTTTATTTTTTGCAAAACTCTTCTCCCCAAAAGAGTCGGTGGCACAGGGGAACTGTGTCAGTTTACCCCTTCCCGATTCAGAAATGTGTAAAAAAGCTTGCTTTACAGCTTTTCAAAACCATTTTTAAACTGATAAATAGTGACTGAATCAAGTAATACAGTAAGTGGACTAAAGTTTACAGGGCACAGATGAGTTTATCAAACTTCATGGTTTTATCTTGTCATTTACAACATCCCTATAAGCAAAAAGCCATATAAGCAAAACTAATGACCACTAATGACTTAAATGTACATTAGTTTTTGTCTCCATGTATTCACAGGAAGACAGCAAAAGAAACATCAAAAGTTTATAAAAATAAATCTGACTATATGCATCCTTTTTATGCCATTTAGAACCTGGATAAAAGAACCTCTTGCCTGGGCACAGTGGCTCACACCTGTAATCCCAGCACTTTGGGAGGCCAAGGCAGGGGGATCACCTGAGGCCAGGAGTTCAAGACCAGCCTGACCAATATGATGAAACCCTGTCTCTACCAAAAATACAAAAATTAGCTGGATGTTGTGGCATGTCATGTTGTAATCCCAGCTACTCAGGAGGCTGAGACAGGAGAATCGCTTGAACCTGGGAGGCGGAGGTTGCAGTGAGCTGAGATTGTGCCATTGCACTCCCGCCTGGGCAACAAGAGGAAAACTCTGTCTCAGAACAAAAAAGAACCTCATATACTCGAAATAGCCTAAATAATATTATTAACGAACTAATTAAAAGGTGACATATTGTAGAAAATCAGTCTGTTATTGTTTTCTTCTGTGAAGAATCTGTTTATTTGTACTACACATTCAGCATTTATATTTGGTTTGTATCATAGCTACTGAGATTTTTTTAGATATGAACAACTGAGTATAGTATTGATATAGTGTGCTGGTGTTTGTAGTTTTCATAAATATTATTGCAGGCAATGGAATTGCACCAGAGAAATCTGATTTCTAGTACAAAAGGAATACTTAGCCAGAGCCTCAAGTTTAAGATATTTATTGAAAATGTCCTCAGTTGCAATAAAAACATTATTACATTAAAAATGTTTTCAATAAATTCTGAATTAAACAAAAAATTCAAATGATAACTTTTATGGAGTTAGGGAAGTGCTAATGAGGTAGAATAGCAATTGAAGCCAAAAGATTTGAGTTCAGATAATTTTATCCATATTAGTTTTATGTTAAAAAAATAATTCTCACCATATACTATTTACTGCAGTGAAGTATTCCAGAAATTTGTGCATAACATAACAAATAATTAATTTTCTAATGGTAAAAAAGCAATCACATTCTACAAATTATTACCACGTGGTCTATTGAAAAGAGCAGTATTTCAAATGAAGAAACTTGGAATTTCTCATGAGATGGTGATCTATGCCATAGAATACCTATGTAAAATATTTTACTTATGTATGCAACTGTTGATATTTCTGCTTTTCAGGAAAATAACATGCTATAAAAACTTAATAAAGATAACTAAAATCACCAAGAAGTTACAAGAATTCACAAAATGCTTAATATAGTTGAAATAAAATTATGGAAACTTCTTAGGATCAGAAGTAGATAAAGGTAATGATACAGAGAAGCATTAACCTAAGAGGCCATTGCTCCATTCAGATGCATTTGATCACAAGGATGTCAAATCTATGTGGGTTGTTCAGCTTCTGACAAGGCAAATGGAATAAACATAGATAAATTGCCTGCTGTCATCTGGAGTGTGCTGTCTTTCATGTGTGAGAACTAAATTATAAATTATGTTGCACAAAGGAGATAAGCTACTAGTATGAAGCATTAGATAATATATATGGCACATAAAACTCAGATATGATGTTTATATTTAAGTGCTTGCCAATATAATGAAAAAAACAAGAAACCAAAATAATGTGGAAAAAACTTATGAGCTTGTCAAGTCATATTTAGAAAAGAGGCAAATGGAAAGTAAAGTATTGAAACTGTAGTAAAAAAAAGTTTAATGGATAGCATACAAATTACACATTAAAATAGACTGAGCTGATGAGAGAACTAGTAAACTGAAATGCTGAGCACAATTAATGTGGTTTTGTACTTTTTAGAAGGCAAATTAATACAAAATACAAATTATTTATATATGAAGATTAGATGAGAAGAAATGAAAAACAATTAATGGTTTTACTATACTATATAAACAGGAAGGCAATATTCAAGGAATCGGTGACTCATAAGCTTCAGAAATTGGAAACAAGACATGAATCCTATACAAGTTTAGAGTGTAAGGTGTCAAAAAAGATAAGAAATACTTAAATGATAGTTTTGGTTATTATGAATACTGCTTCAATAAACATGAGTGCAATTATCTTTTTGACATACTGATTTTATTTCCTCTTGATATATACCCAGTAATGAGATTGCTGGGTAACATATATGGTAGTTTTATTTATAATTTCTTGAAAAACCTCCATGCTGTTTTCCCTAAGGGTTGTACCAATTTACATTCTCATCAACCGTGTATAAGTGCCCATCTACAGATGAATGAAGTAAATGTTACACACACACACATATGCACACACACACGCATGTATGCATACACACACGCATGCAGGCACACACACACAGGAATAATGTTCAATAATAAAACAGAATGAACTTCTGTCATTTATGTCAACATGGATGAACCTAGAGGACATTATGTTAAGTGAAATATGCCAGTCACAGATTGAAAAAAGACCACATGGTACCACTCATGTGACATCTATAAAAGTTGATCTCACAGAAGTAGAGAGTAGAATGGTGGTTACCAGAGGCTAGGCAGCATGAAGGGGTGAAGAAATGGGGAGAGGTTTGTCAAAGTTACAAAGTTACAGTTAGACAGGGAGAATAAATTCTGGTGTTCTATTACCCCATCTTTACTAAAAATACAAAAATTAGCCAGGGGTGGTGCCATGCGCCTGTAATCTCAGTTACTGAGGCAGGAGAATTGCTTGAACCTGGGAGGTGGAGGTTGCAGTGAGCTGAGGTCATGCCACTGCACTCCAGCCTGGACAACAGAGCAAGACTCCGTCTAGAGAAAAAAAAAAGAATAATGATCAAACTACATGACACCAAAAAGAAGAAAAATTCTTAAAAGCAGTGAGATAGAAGACAGACAACATATGAAGCTGAGGGAAAACTCTTACCTTTGTATCAAGTCAGAAAACAGAAAAATTAATATAAATAAAATATTAAAAGCTTCTGGACAGCATACATATCTATTAACAGAGTGATAAGACAACCTATAACCTATAAAATAATAGAAAATATGTGCATCTGACAAGGAGTTAATATCCAAAATATATAAGGGACTCAACTCAACAACAATAAAAATCAAAAAACCCAACTAAAGAGTGAGCAAAAGACCTGAACAGACGTTTTTCGAAAGAAGACACAAAGAAATACTCGACATCACTAATCATCTGGAAAATGCAATCCAAAATCACATGAGATAGTACCTCACCCTATTTAGAATGGCCATTATCAAGAAGACAAAAGATAACAAGGTTTGATGAGGATGTGGAGAAAAGGGAACACTTAAACACTATTGGTGTGAATGTAAATTTGGTACATTTTTAGATTTATTTATTTATTTATTTAGAAACCTCTTGGAAAGCTATGAGGGTTTCTCAAAACAAAACAACAAAAAACAAAACAACAAAAACCTAAAAATAGAATTACCATATACTCCAGAAATTCCACTATTGAGTATATATCAAAAGGAAATAATATATTGAAGAGATATCTGCACTTCCATGTTTATCATAGCTCTATTGACAGTAGCCAAGATATGGAATCAATCTTAGTGTCCATCAAGGGATAAATGGATAAAGCAAATATGGTGTATACACACAATGGAATGAGATTTAACCACACAAATAATGAAATCCAGCGCTGCGCGCTGACATCGGCCTCTGAAGTGGTTGCCCCGCACTGGCTTCTGGCCTGGCCGTGGCCCCGACAGTTGGGCGTCCTGCAGCAGTCCCAACCTCAGGACTCCCTACCCTCCACCTCCAAACAGCTCGGGTCTTTGCGGTCGCGGCGGCTGCTGCTCCTGCTGCCTCACGTTGGAATTGGAGATGCCTTGTCCTGCTCTCAGGACAGAACCATGAAACCAGCAGCAGCGGCGGTGCACGATGCTCCCAATCCGTCGCCAGGCGCCGCCTCAGAGCCTGTGGCTGTTCGCCATCCCCGGAGCCGATGGGCCGCGTAGCACGGAGTTGCTCCTGCTGGCGGCGACCAAGGCGGGACTGGAGCGGCGGGACATCTCCGGGGAGTGGGTGAAGGAAGAGCCGCAGCCGCCACGTCCTCTCTTTCTCCGGGAATGTGCAGGATTACCGTGAAATTATGACTCGTCATCCTGCAAATTACCAATGGGAAAATTGGAGTCTAGAAAATGTTGCCACTATTTTAGCCCACCGGTTCCCCAATAGCTATATTTGGGTGATAAAAGTGCTCCTGAATGCATTTGCACAAATTCAGCTGCCATAATAGTTTTGTGAAAAGTAACGTGTTTGGTTCCCCAGAACACAATACTGACTCTGGAGCTTTTAAGCAGTTTTATATGTTATTAGTTAAGGCTTTTAAGTCATAATAGTTTAATCAAAGAAAAATTTGAATGATTGGAAAAAGGACTCCACAGCATCTAATTGTAGTGCGGTTCTTTTCATACTACAAATCGTTTCCAGGGAGAAAAAGAGAGGACCTGTAAAAAATCTGATGAGTCAGCCATGAGTTTTTATCCACCATCACTAAATGATGCATCTTTTACTTTACGGGATTCAGTAAAGGTTGTGTCGTTTTGAATCAATTTCTTTTTTAATTGAAAGAAGCCAAGAAAGACAAGAACATGGATGCTTTCATTAAAAGCGTAAGAACAATGTATTGGCTAAATGGTGGTCATTCCGGAGGAAGCAATACTTGGGTTACTTCACCATAAGTCTTGAAAGAATTTGCACAAACGGGGATTATTGTTCAAACCCATGTAACACTGTACTAAGTACATGATCCAATGGGATCTTGATTTGGAAAAGAGCAAAATAAATTTGTTTCGATACTTAGGGATATTGTTTTGCAGGTGACTAGCTGAGTTCATTTCACAAAGGAAGCTCCCTCCATAGAGAATCACTTCAGAGATCATGAAGTATTTTGAGACTACAAGTATATTAATGTACTTGTTCAGTGGAAGAGCATAAGCACTTTTCAGTATTTTAAATTCAGATAATGGAATGTAATTGATAGATGCATTGTCAGTTTGGGGGTATGGGGGGAAGCACACATTCCTCCAATATGAGTGTAATGTGCAATAGTATTTCTTGCTTGTGAATGTGAGCAGTTTTTAATTAGGATTGGGTTAAAATTAGGTACTTTGAAATCTAACACGGTGGTTTGTGATAATAGTGAGGAACTATAAGACCCTTAAAAAAGAAAGTTATAACATAGTTCTTGTAATAGGTAACTAAAATTGTTTCTTTACTAATTTTGGTGGCATTTTAACAGTAATTAGCTATTCTGTCACTTAAAACTTGAGTGGAAACATTTTACTTCTCTTCAAACAAAAGCACAGGCACAATGTTGTTTTGGAATAACTGTACCCTGCTTCTTGTGTTTTGTAAACTCAATGACTCATTCTTTAATATGCCACCAAGTACTTTTTTTAGAGAGTCAAAATACATTTGTTTCCCAATGTCCAAAAATTTGCAATAGTGTAAAAGTGGTTTTTAAAAACATAGCCAGGTGTGGTGACATATTCCTTTAATCCCAGCTACTCAGGAGGCTAAAGCAGGAGGATCCTTTGAGTCCAGGCTGTAATGCACCATGATTGTGTTTATGACCAGCTACTGCACTCCAGCCTAGGCAACGTAATGAGACCTCATCTCTAAAACAAAGAAAACAAATTCCACCTAGACACTATCGCTAATTTTTAATTGACAGTCTTTAGTTTATTATTTTGGATAAGACATTCTGGGGCTTCTTGAATCTTGCCCAAAAACCAGTTGTTTTGGAAAATCATTTTAAATTGAGCATATTTATAAATTTTGGATAAAAATGTACTACAGAGAAAATTTCACATTTTTCACTGTATTAGCCTTTTTTAAAGGGAACAACTTAGGCAAGATAAATATGTAATGCTCAATTTGTTCATGATCTGTTAAAAAGGAAACAGATTCCATATATCTAAATCAACTTTTCTCCACAATGATGACTTTGTCTGGGGAAAAAAAAAGTTATTCTTGGCCAAAATGCAAAATTACATTGCTGTAAGAAAAGTTACAAGGGAAAGTTTAAATATCATCCAGCCAGAGGCCAGACCCACATATGACAGTCACAATTTCAACTCTGAACTGCATTTTTGTGTGATTTAGAATCTCACTAGTGGACCCTGTCCATGTATGAAGGTGATAATCCTAATTGTTGGCTACATGTGTCTATGAGAGTTACAAGCTCACTTTTTGCTGGCCCCTGTTATGTAACTCTCTATACACCCCAAGGGCTTTATAACATACATGTGAAGGTCATAATCTTCTGTGACATTTTTACAATCAGTAGACCAGGGACCTTAGTTGTTGCCCTAATCCTAGTTGTTAGTCAAAGTTTCTTCTATCATATTCACGGAAACACATCATGTAAGAAAGGTACCATGTAAGAAAGGCATCATCACCTATACCTAGGCCAGACTGTTGCCTGGGCCTAGGTATATGTCACAATCCCACCTGTGAGCAGAACCAGGGAGGAAAGTCACATCACCTGAACGCTGGTGCAGGGAAATGTCAATATCCTTCTATGGGCAGGACCTACACAGGAAAGTCACATCACCATTATGCTAGGCTCAGTGATATGTCACAATGCCCACCGTAGGCAGAATGCAGTCAAAAGAGTCACATCACCTAGGTGCTGGGCCCAGCAATATGTCACCATCTCCCCCTGTTAACAGGACCCAGTCATGAGAGGAGAGTCATACTACATAGGTAATATTCCCAGATTTCTGTTACTGGAGGCAGGGCACAGGCAGGAAAGTAGAGTCTCATCACCCAGGTGATGGGCCAGGAGATACATTACAATGTCCCATGTGGGTGGGACCCAGGCAGGACAGTCACATCCCCTAGGTGTTTGGGTCAGGTATATGTCACAATCCCAACTGTTGGCAGGGCTCATGCAAGGGAGTAAAGTCAATCAGGTGATGAGAAAATAATTATGTGTCAAAGTCACACTTGCAGGAAGGTCTAGGGATGAGATTCACAGTCCCACACATTTTCTGGCTCAGGGTATAAGAGACAACACTTTCTGTGAACTGTGTTAAAGTACACAAATCACAATCTCAATAGTCAACAGAATTCATGCATAAAAGCTCCAACCTCACCTGCAAACACTGTCTAATTAGAGCAGTCACTGCCTCACAGGTGTGCTGAGTTTTGGTATAAAAGTCACCATTCAACCTGTGATCTGGATCCACATATGAGAGTCACAATGTCAACTTTCAACTGATCTGGATGTGATATTCAGAATCTCAACAATGGACTATGTCCATATGGGAAGATGACATTCCTCACTGTATGTTGTGTGTGCATAGAAGAGTCACAATATCACCAATGTGCTGGGTCTTTATAAGACAACCCCTGTGCCACTTAAGGGCTCTATAATGTCTGCATGACAATGAAACCTTCTCTGGGACCTTCATGATGGTATAAACCCATGATCCTACATGTTGCCCTAAGTTCAGGCATAAGAGTCAACACCTGTCCTATTTGCTGAGTCCAGGTATGAGAGTCATCAGTATCCCTGTGAGTTGGGTTCAGAAATGAGCCACCATCCCATTTGTGGATGGATCCAGATATGATAGTCACAATTCTAACTGTAAACTATTTCTGTAAGTGAGATCCAGGACCTCCTGAGTGGGTTCTCTTCACATTTAATCCTAACTGTGGGCTGTGTGTGCATATAAGAGTCACAATCAAAATTTTGAGCTGGGCACTCTTTTCACACTCTCTGTACCACCTTAGGGTATTATTCAATATGCATGAGTGTTGTAATTCTCTGAGACGTCTGTAAAAGTGGAAAGCCCAGGATCTTATCTGTTGCAGTAAGCCTAGATACAAGAATCAACGTCTCTTCTACTACCTGGGACCAGGCATGAGAGACATTCACATGACTATGAGTTGGGTCCAGAAATGAGTCACCTTCCAAACTGTTGCCAGATCCACATAGAACAGTCCCAATTCCAACCGTGGACTGTTTGCACATGTGAGATTCAGAACCTCACCAGTGGGCTTTGTGCATGTGTGAGAGTGATAATCCTAATTGCTGGATAGTGTGCCCATAGGAGGCAAAGTTTTACCTGTATAATGAACTCTGATAAGACCCAAGTATTTTATAGAATATTCATGAGTATCATAATCATCTATATTCTTTATACAACTAGGAGATCCAGAACCTTACTGATTTTTTTTTTTGTTTGTAATGATAATCAGACCAGATGAAGTGACCACAGGGATATAGCCTGACTATTATCAGGTAATCAGGACTTAAGTGCTGACTGATCAAGGTGCTGTATTTTCACTGCCTTGACAGGCAAATGTCTTTCAAACTGCCTGCCAAACACAGGCTAAACCTGATGACACATTATGCTGGAGCAGAGTCAATTGACCATTTATGTGTAGGTGATTAGTGTGCTTTAGTGCAGGTAGGGAAGGCAACTCATGATAATAGCCACAAACTGCTATTTAGACAAAAGCAAAAGCCCATCACCAGCTGGTGGTTCTGACAGAGGTGACTTTTAATGTATCATGAAACCAGTAGGCCAAAAGCAGTTAATGTTGAGCAGGTGTCCTCAGTCATGAGTGATTAATCCAGTTTGTGTTGTGAATTGTTTGATTAGCCTCCCCTTTACCTCATTGGTGAGGGAGAAATTACCACCCTAGGGCTACTGGAACAGTTAAAGCCATGGCACCAATCATTGGATTAAAGAGATTGACAGCAGATATTCATTACATATAATCATGGAAGGAGGAAAGTGTGTAAGGTGTACAGATCCACACAGGGATTGCACTTGGGAGTAGAGAAAACAAACAGGAGGCACCAGGGGAAGGCTTTGTAGTATCAAGAGAGTGAGATGCTCCTGGTTCCCAAAGGAGGTTGTTATTTGTTGGTCTGAATAATTTTGTGATCTTGGGGGAAACCGAAACACATTATACCACCAATTGCTAAGACTACAATAACATACTACAACAGTCTAATTCTATAATGTACTATACACTATAATACTAATTAGAGTATGTTGTCAGTTTGTTGATAGATTTTTGGAAACTGTGACTTTAAGTAAAACAATGTACTATATAATGAAACCAATTTTACCACTGGCTAATTGATATAAACAAGAAGTACTTTTCTATGGTATATAGTATTTTGTTTCACTTAAAGTGAGTTTCCAAGAACCTATCAATGACATTAAGTCAGCACTTACTGAACATGTATTTTAGTAAAGTGTAATAGAAAGTAGCTATATAAAATATACTGTTCTTGTAAAAAATGTACTTTGTGCTACACATTACAGTCGTGAGCCACATAACAATTTTCTAGAAATTGATAAGCCATATATATATCCTTGTTTTTTCAAGAGTAGGTACATGTAAACCTACCTCTAAAGGTCAAGGGTATTGAGAGGTTGAAGAAAGAGGCTGACAAATCAAGTTTCTCAGAAAAAAACATTTAAGAGGGACTTATGAATAGAAGCTCTGTTTCAGGTGGCTGAAGTTGGTGGATCCCCACGATGTTACTCCCCAAACCCAGACACTTATCACAGAAAAAGGAATGTGTAGGACAATTGAAATCACTATATAAATTTGCCTAAGGGTAGGATTTATGCTAAGTACTTGTTCACAATAACATCAAGGTTGTTTTGACTTAAGGATAGGGCTTACAGAAACTGTAGGTTTCAATATATAACATAGGTGCTTGAAACACCCCTCTAAAAAATAATTAGAGGAAGTACCTGTGTCATAATTTTAATTTTTTTAGTGATTTAAAATCTTAAAATCTTGTTATGTTAAATTAAGTAACCTTAGGTTTCTCACTAAAAATTAGCATTGCTAAGCATTAAAATAATAGTTAATATGTGTAATTAAAATTATTGGATATAAAAAATCTACATACAAGGGGTATTAGAAATTAAGATGTGTTTTCAGTAAAATAAAAGCTTGTTAGAATGACATATAGATGTAGTTTTTATTAAAAATAATTTTTTCTAATTTAGAGCTTAATGATTATTTAAAAATAAAAAATAATAAAACTAAATTATTTAAAAGTTAAAAAATTATTAATACAAATTTTTATTAATTTTTTGTAAACTACAAGGAAAGTGATTCATCCTAAGAAAATAAAAAAACTGGTTATGATAAAATAATTTTAATAAAATAACATTAAAACAAAAGTCTTAATGCATCAGGGGTGACTTCTCCCTGCCACACGGCTTCCAGGCCTGTGCAGGACAAGTTTTTTCTTTTCATTCTGTTCACAACACACATACCCAGCTCTCCCTCACAACATCCTACTTTGTTTTTATTATATCACTTGCTCTTTTGTTATATGTACTTGCTTTAGTTTTTTTCTCCAGCTGTCATCACACTGTGAGTCTCTGGGGGTCAGAGACCACTTGGTCATTTTTAGCACCACATGCTTGGCCCACCAGGGCACCTAGCACAGAGTGAATGCTGAAGGCAGAGTTGCTGAAGGCAGAGTTGCTGAGAACAGAAATGGGATCTTGAACCTCCTTTATGCTTCTGAACACCTTACAATGTGAAGATAATTGAAGACAGGGGGTTTAAGTTGAGTCTTAGGCAGTAAATGGCCAAAATGACTTCTGCAGGAATCTCCCCTGGCTCCAGCTGCTCCAGCAAACCTCACTGGGTACCAGGGACACAAGAGGGTGCTGCCGCCTGGTGGCCCGCACTAGCATTGCAGCCCCAAGCAGAAGCATCACAGAACAAAACAGGCATCTGCATTCAGTGGTCCTCAAGGTAATAGCTCTCCAGGGTCCCAGCGGACCTTGGAGTAGGATCTGTAGCCTCCAGGGTCAGTAAGAGGGACTTCAAAGTCTTCCCTTTTCCCCTTGAGGCATCCAGTTCCCTCATGACACATCCTCACCTAATCCAGGGCAGTGATTTCTTGCCACCTCCCAATGAAGACCTCAAGGATCCAACACATCCTAGTCCTGCTCCTGAATCCTAGATTCAGCGCCCAGTGCTCTAAAACATTCTCTATTCCAAGCCATCATCTACAAAATCCTTTACATCTCTCTCTGTTCTGAAGGACCTCTAGGGAGCAGAAAGCATTTTCCCAGAGTTTCAAAGCACAGTGGGTCACCAATGGGGAAACCAAGTCCAGCAGAAACTTTTGACTATGTGAAACTCTTGGGGCCACCCACTTAAATACCTCAGTTTATATAGGAGGAGGTGAAGGCTTTCTCTGCTGTAGCTCTTGTCTACACTGGTGCAGGCAAGTTCATCCTAGTTCCAGGTACCCACAGAAATGGGCTGCAAGAGCCCAGCCCAAACTTCCCAAGGGTGTGCTGGGTATAGCCTCAACCCAGACAGAACCCTTGGATCCTTGCAGATCCTCCTGTTCATGCCCTGGGCCCCTGGGTATGTGGCTAAAAGAGTGGAGGCCACTGCCCCATGGCAGATCTCCTTCAACCTCTTTCTTCTCTTCCTTTTGTCACTTCCGTGGTGTCTACTTTTTAAAAAATCCTACCTCTATGGCTCCCACCTAGGAAGTCACTGTGCATGTGTGTGTGTGTCTGTCTTACCTGGGGAAGTGGAAAGGGAAATAATCCCAGGTGAAGAGGGAGTTGTCAGGTATCCCCTGGATCTTAGAGGACTTTGTTTTTACAGCAATCCTGATGGATTTGGTGGAACCAAGGCCTAGGAAGCCAGAGCTCTCCCTAATACCCTGGACTCTGCCCACCTTCTTTGGTCTGAGCCAGTCCCTTCCTCTTTCTGGACCTCAGTTTTCCAATTATACAATGAGGAGTAGAATAAGTGTGTGCTCAGTGAGGACATGGTGTCAGGCTCCATCAACACCAGATAGGCTGTTGGCACGGGCCAGAGTCACTCATACATGGGTGCACAGGCCTCCTGACATGACCCATGCTGGGGGCATGGAGCATAGAAAAGCCAAGTCTCCTGTCAAGGTTAAGTGGGCATGCAAAATGCACCAACAACACTGCTCTGAAGCCAGTTGCATCTGATCCTCCACCCACAGCCTCTGCCTGCTCTTTGTGCTTTATGTCCTCTGGGGCCCATGGGCACAACCAGTGTATTCAGGTAGAGCCACAGGGTGCTAGGTCTGGTGGGTCTGAGAAAGAGAAAACACTTTTCTATTTCTCCACAGCTTTAGGGTTAGTAGTTTAACTTTGAATTGGACAATTTTGTCATATTATGACTGAGCCTGAGCATATTCTCTTATATTTAAATGTATTGATATTTCTTTTTCTGTGAACTGTGGGTTATCTTGTGAAATTTTCTGCTTTGTAGTTGTTTCTCTTCTTATCAATTTCTAGGTGTTGTTTATGTAGTGGGGATGTGAGTCCCTTTGTGATATGCATTGAAAGTGTTTCTCCCCAGTTTACTACTTCTTGTTTTATTATGGTGTTTAGTTTTAGTTTCAACTGTTTTTTTTTTTTTTTGGTGTTTTGCTTGCTTTGCTTTGTTTTGTTTGCTATGTGTTATTAAGACATCGCTTCTCTCCAAATTGATCTACAGGTCTATATAACCACAGTGAAGTATCTCACCAGATATGTTGTGCAAACTAATAAGCAAATTAGAAAATTTACATCAAGGTATGGGCCAAGAACAGTCAAGACAATTGTGAAGAAGAACAAATTTGGAGGATTTACGCTGTCAGATATTAGGACTTAGGTTAAAGATACAGTAACCAAGGTCACGTTAGTGCAGTAATAGACACAAGGATAAAGAAAAAAATACAAAGTCCAACTCAGACCCACAAACTCAGATGTCTTGTGTATAGTGAAAGAGACCCAGTTGGGCAATGAGGAAAATAGTCCTCTCAGTAAATGCCCTCCAGGGTCAACTGGCTGTTTACATGAGAAAGAAACAAATCTTGATTTCTGCCTCACACTGTAAATAAAAATGAATTCCAAGCAAATTTTAAATTCAAATGTGAAAGTTTAAATATATAATTCTAGTAGATAACAAGGGAACATTTTTATAGTTTGGGAACAGGTAAAGATTTCTTAGGATGCAACAAACACTAAACATAAAAGCAAAAATTTATAAATTGGACTTTATTAAAATTAAAAACTTGTCTTCATCAAAGGATATCTTTAAGAAAGTAAAAATGTGATAATACTGTGGGAAAATATTTGCTCTAGATTAAAGTGACAAAAGCCTTAATCTAAGATATGTCACTAACTCCCATAAACTAATAAGAAAAAAAGAGAATACACTGGAAAAAATGGTTAAGAGATTTCTCTAAGCATTTCATAAAAAATAACCAAATGTCTAACAAGTAAATTAAAAGGTGCTGCACATTCTTAGTCATCAGGAAAATGCAAATTAAAATAACAATGTATTATTTTTATGCAATGACTTTAAAAAAAGACAACATCAAATGTTGATAAAGATGTAGAGTGACTGTAACTATCATATGCTTCTATGTGTGTAAACTTTTATGAACACTTTCAAAAACAATTTGGTAGTCTCTCCTAAAGACAAATGTACATATACATAAACTTTATAATCCAACAATTCAACTTTTAGGTATATATCCAATATAAATTCCTGCATCTGTTCACCATGCAGAAGAATGTTCACAGCAGTATCATGTGGTGTTTCTTAAAACTGGAACCAACCCAAGTGTACATCAATAATAGAAAGAATAAATAAAATGTGAGAATATGAATTCCAGGCCATTCCTTTCTTCCTCTATTGTCTGGTTGGCCTATCTCAATGTTGTGTTCTTTAGAAAATTGTTGGCCTTTTCCAGGCAAAACTTCAGTATTTCCTCATGGATCTGCTCCCTCTGTCCAAGAGTTTATGGAGGTGAACCTCCTGGATTTGGTGGTATCCCCAAAACAAGAGGAAGCAGATACAAGCCACAGAGTTTCAGTGGTATACAAAGACCCTGCAACTGGAACTAAGATCCAGGTGCCCAGGCAGGCCCAGGACTTTCTTTTCTAAAACAGGGACACCAAATCTGCTACTGCCCTCACTCTTTTTCCTTAGGCTTCTGGGCTCTTCTGCAGGGAATATTCTTTCCTGCCTCATAATGGCACCTGCACATTGCTCTTCTTCTCACCACTGATGCTCAAAATCAGTTGCTGAATATGCCCCCACCCATTTCATAGACGGTGTTGCCTCCCATGGTGGCAGAGTGCCTGACAGATTCATTCCATACCTATCCACCCCACATCTGTCTCTCATGCACACTTTCTTACAGACGTATTTCATTCCAGGGAGTCATCAAACAGCTGGAACCTTGCATGGGTAGACTTCTGCTGCTTCTCTGTGATCTGATGACCAGCGTGAGACTCAAGCTTCTATGTGTACAAGTTTTGTGCCTTAAGGTTTTACATTTGCATCTAGAATTGGATTTAAGTTAATTTTTGTTTCTGGTGTGAAATATGGATCAATGTCTCTTTTACTTCAACCAGAGAAAGCCGATTTAAAAAAAAAATAAAATTGTCTCTTGTTTTTGCGTCTGGATCCTGGCTGGGTTCACAGGCCACTATGCTGAGCCCTAAGGGCAGATGACTGTCTGGTTGTGACCCATCTCTCATCCCCCTCAGGGCTTCCCCAGCAGATGGGGCCTGCACCTGTTTCTCCAGGCTGTGCTTGTCCTGATGCTTCTCTGTTCTTTTTTGAGTCTCCAGCTTCTTCAGCAACAGCTTGCTCTGGTGTGCCTCCCACAGCCACAGAGCCTCCTGGAAGTAGTTGAAGAGGTCTGATATCTGCCACACTATTCACTTTGTCACAACATTAAAGCATTTCTGCAGTGGCAGGACCCAGAGAAGGGGCCTTGAAGGCTGACCTGCCCAGGGTTAGAATTCTTTACTTGTTAGCCAGTGGAGGCTCCACATCTCAGGGACTGGCCACCACTACCTGGGCACCTTCCCTCAAACATCAGGTGTTGAAAAGACTGTAGAGCAACTGGAGCCATCATATTCTTCTCTGTGTGTAAACTGTTATGAACACTTTCACAAACACTTTGGTGGTATCTCCTAAAGATGAACATACATAAACTTTATAATCCAACAATTCTACTCTTAGGTGTATACCTCAAAGTCAGCTTCTGGGTCCCACCTTGGCTTATGTTGCTCCCTCTGGGGTAGTGTTTCTGGCCTTCCCAAGGACACATCCTTGGTATGACTGCCCCCAAAATCCCATCTCTGGACACATACAATGTTGCACTGATGTCGTTGGTAGGAATATGGAGTTTGGGATCTAGAAGAAAGAAGGATCAACAATAGAAGCCAGTTGGGGCTCTCACATGGACCATACTGACCTCTTTCTGAGTCATCTCTCCTCCTTTTTTTCTTTCTCATTTAAGCCTTTGGGAAGAAATCTCTTCCTTTTCGGTTTCCTGAATCACAGCATCTAAACCAAACATCACCTGCATTTAAATCATCACTCCAACCCCACACTCTTTTAAAAAATATATGCCTTATGCCCTAATCCTGGTCATGGGTCTGCAAATTGAGGCTTAAGGCTAAATTTGGCTCTTTGCCTATTTTCGTTTGACCCTGTCAGGATGTGCGATAATTGAATAATTGAAAAAGACAAAAAATTAATAATGCAAAAATTATAGAGAGTTCAAATCTCAGAGTATATAAATATTTATGGAATACAGTCACATGCACACTCATTTCAGCATTGTCTTAAAAATAAACATAGGCAAATTAAATTTTTAAAAATATTATTTGATCATTTAGAGATTTATGAGTTGGCCAGCACTAGACTACATGTTGCTTACTGCTCCATGTAGGCACAAAACCAGAAATTTTTATAAGGCACTTGTAGAGAAAAACCTGAAATATTTGATAGGTTAACATAGTCTTTAGTTAGAAGTTGGTTGAGTTTCTAGTTAAGCTTAAGTTTTGTTTTACTATTTACATTAAGATAGGTTTTGGTTTACTTAGGTGGAAACTCAAGGTGCTAGAGTCATCTCAGCCTAATGGACTGCAAATTAATTATGCTATAAATTTCTCCCTTTTGGTCACCTTCTAATTTACGGGTGAGATAAGCATCATTCTGTTGCCATCATGGATGACTTGACTTTGTCTCAGCATGAGGCCCATAAGTCATGACATCAGGCTCACTGAAGACATTTTCTTTCTTATTTTTGTCATTCTCTGCACAGTGGACCTATGTGGCCTATCCTTGATGGGCAAAAACATAACTTTCATACCCTTCATAGAATACAGTGCACGAGGGAGATGAAAATGACTGTCAGGAGAATAATACCAACATAGTAGGATATGATCTGTAGCCAAAGCCCCTGTGAACAAAGTCAAATAAAACAAAAAAGTTAAAAAAAAGAGAGAAACAAACGTCAATGGCTATAACAAACTATGAAGTCAGTCTGACTCCAGACAGCAGTTAAGTCAAGAAGATTTCTAGATTTGAGCTTGAGGCATGTTTTTCTGGTTTGCAGTTTGAATGTCCCTGGTTATTGCTTCTAGAATTTCAGTGAACTCCCTAAAAGATCCATAAATCAGCATGCATAAAAGTTGTCCTCTGAAATTTTTATCAAATTATTCAGTTCCAGGATGTAAGTCTTTAAAGAAAGAAGAGTTTATAGATAGGTAATAAAATATCAAAGACTACAATCAAGACCGGAATATGATAATGAGAGCACTGTAGTTTTCTATTGGAACATAGTTTCTATCTATAGTAACCTCCATTTCTACCAAAGATAACCACAGTAATACTACTTTGGAAAAAATAGATCTAATCCTTGGCCTAATTTTTTCCGTAAGTGCAATAAGAATAGTGATTGATCCTATATGCACTTTTTTTTTTAAAGTTTGCTTTGCTAGCACTTTTAATAAAGAATCTCAGATTAGACTGTTAAAAGCCACTTCAGGGAAGGAGGCCATGCCAAGGACTTGGCATCAGACTTCGTCTGCAATATCTATAGATCTGGGGAATTTCTCTTCTTCTCAGTGTCCTCAAAATATTTTGTAAGTTTTCTAGGACTTCTTTATTCAACTTGTAAGACTTGGGAATCATTAATAGGAAGTATCACACCAGTTTTTTTCTTTCCCCAAGGGGCCTTATTGGGTCCATAAAGTCAACCTTAGGTCCTTAAAACTCTCTGGACATATTTGGCATTTTGCACATTCTCACGTATGGCATTTTAATCACATTCTTGATGATATAACAAATTTTTTCAACTATGACCTGCTATAAAGAGAACAGATTTTTTTAACTTATGCAAATAACTATATTGCCATGAAAATAAGAATACTCACTAACAGTTTTTGAGTTCTAGAGAGATCAGACAGGAAAAAAATTATTTCATCTTTGTTCACAAATCTATACCAAATTATTGTATGCTAGAGATAGCATAAGATAAAGGAAATTTTTTTATACATAGAAAACAAAACATTAAAGAAATAGCAATGTTTTATACAAAACTATCATTTGAAAAACCCATAATTCTTTTTCATCAGTTTACTCAGTAACATGTGATTAATACTTGTTCTGATTGATGTTTGATTGGCAGCTCAATAAACCAATTAGTTTCTTCATTAGAGTTCTGATAATTCTTACTCAGTCCAAAGGTAGGATGTTAAAGCTATAAGAAGACTGTACTACTGGCCAAGTGTGGTGGTTCACACCTATGGTCCAATGTTTTGAGAGGCTGAGGTGGAAAGATTGCTTGAGGCCAGGCATTCAAGGTCAGCCTGGAAAACATACTGAGATAGGGTCTCTTTTAAAAAAATTACCTTGTACTACTCATAGTCTTTTCCATGAATCTCTTTGAAGACAGAGTAGCTACTAAGGCTTTTCAAAAAGCATAAGAGTAAAGCAATTAACTGTCTCTGGATGACAAAAGATTTAACATGACCATTGTTAAATATCTGATAAGAGTTCATGATAATGAAATTGTCAAGAAAATTTTATTACTTCTGTGGCATACATTAATTAAAAATAATAACCAAAATTATGACTGGTAACATTATACCTGAAGATAAATTTCTAGTAGGTTCATACAATTTCTAGAAAGCCATGAACACCTTTTCTTTGCCTGGGGGGACATTAGAAGCTCATTGTGGCAGAGTGAGAGAATAGGGTGGACTATAATCTGGAAGACCTTCTGGGAGTGGGTTTTTAGGCTAAGAGTTTCCTTAAAAGGAGTGAGATCTTGTCTCTGTTTGCAGTGGTATGTAGAAAGTGGTTTAGGTTGGTGAACCTTTCTCATCTTCCAGCTGTCGTGCTGGATCTAGATACACAGGCATCTTTAAAGCCAGCCCTCTAGCTACCAACACCACCAATACCAGATCTAGGGACAGCTACGGAGCTGGAAAGCACTGAGATTACCACCTTCTCTAGAGTTAGGGCCAGGGCCAGCTCTAGAGTCAGCACCAGTGACAGCACCATTGCTAGAGCCAGCCTGGGTATGTGACTAGAGTCAAGAACAACTTCCTGGAGGACGAGCTGTTTGAACCCAATTCTGATCAGGTTTGGGCCTAGATGGAATTGGAGGGGAGAATGGAGGTCGTTAAGTGCAAAGACACAAAGACTGGTCCCTGGGCCACTCTTAAACCATGCATAAGGCCCTTCTAGCATGAACCACACAAACACTGTCAGCATTATGCCCTTCCTTCTTGTCCAACGAATTCACAGTAAGTCAGTAGATGCAGTTGGCTGCAAATAATTATAACCATTAACCCTAGGAGCAATTTGGAACTCGATTCCAGGCCATGGAATTGTAATTGGGCAAGAACTAGGTGAGGGTCAGGGGCAAACTCTTTCTTGACCTCAGCTGCAGAGAGCCTGTAACCATGGCTACCTGGTCAGATTGGTCATATTGTGTGGTGAATGTTGCAGCACCAGGACTTCAGTTGTTGGGCAGAAACTGGGAGGTAGACCTGAAATGTGGATTCTGGTAGCCTTGCAGCTGCCTCTCTGTCCTACAGCAGCCACCTATTCTGCAACAGTTGCACCTGTCTTGCAATTGAGTCCTAGTCCCAGTTGTCCATCAACACACTGAAGGCCAAGAAAACTGACTATCATGAATCCCAGGAGCAAGACAGTGCCCTGGCGGGTAGGTGTGAACCACCTGAGAGCTCAATGAAGCTTCAGACTATGCATGGGCTCAGGGAGTCAGGGAGCTGGTAATGGGATCCCAGCTCTACCAGTAACCAGCCATGTGACTGCGCTGAGTCACCTCACTGTGGGACATAGTTTTCTCCTCTGTGAAGTGCAGTGATGCTAAATGGTCACTCGCATGACAGGGACACATGGGTACAGTTGGTTAACCAAGCATTAGAGCACACAGTGCAGTTGAGATAGGAAGGCTGGTTCTGGGGGAGGCTTCCTATGGTCATCCAGCCCTTCCATCTAGCCACCTGGCCCTACCATACAGTTATGTATTGGTGGAAAAAAACCTCAAACTCCTGAGACTATCTCAGGTGCAGTTCCTACTACAGGAGCAAGATGCACTTGGGGCACCCAGAATTCTGATTTGGCTCCTGTGGCTCTGATGTGAAGAAGTGCATTGTAAGCATTTTTCTGGGATCTCCTGAAGACCAAGAGAAGAGGGGAATATCCTGCTCAATTTATTTGATGGCTCTTTCCCACAGCCTCTATTTACCTATTGAGGAATATCTATCTGTTATCTATCTATCTATCTATCTATCTATCTATCTATCTATCATCTATCTACACACACACACACACACACACATTCTAAATGGTAGATATTAAAGTCACATTTCTACTATAGCCTGAGAGGTGTGATTTTTTTCACTTCCTGCATTTAATTAAATGAGATGCAAAGTCTCACATTTTCCCTTGAAATAAGCAACCTTTCAGAGTCAGCAGTATAATGTGTGTGGGAGAAAGGAAGATTACCAGGCATTCTCTCTGGCTCCTGAAAGGGACACCCAAGTCCACCTTTCTCAGTGTACATGTTTATTTCAGGATCATTAACCTGGCCAATGAGGAAAGAAAGCCACTCAGAATTTCTAGGGTTCAGATGTTGAAGGTACTTTATCAGGGCATAGAAAATCTCAGAAGTTTGGGTATCTTCAAGAATAACACTTGCAGGGACTACTTCTTGTCCTAGGACTGTAGGTGCCTTTCTACAGCTGTGGCGGGATGGAATACACTTTGTGTTTCACCTGCTGAGTTTCTCTTGACAAACTTCTAGAATCTTGTAGTTTTATAGTTTCAACTCGGAAACTGAATCAGGACTACATGGAGAAAAATGTGAAAAGATAATAACAAGCAATATAGGAGGGACAAGGTCCAAGGAATAGCATTTACAAATCTACTGAGGGTGGCAGGACATCATATCCTCACTCTACCTCTAAGAACCAATGATCAATCCTTGACCTTAGATTTGAATCCTCCCAGGATCCTTGTCTCTGACTTCAAAATTTCTTTTCCTGCTGGTTTCTTATTTAGGAAGAGAGAACTGTGATGCAGCTTTAAATTTACAGCAGAACTTTATTCCATGATCATAACTGACACTTATGAACTAGGGCTCCTTGCATCTATGTATTTCCTTGATCAATTCTTTTTAAGGTAGAAATACCCCAGAATGCTACCAACTTATCTATCAGGTTCATTGTGTCCTCTCCTCCATGGCTGATGAATCATTGCTGAGCTTTCCTAACCCCAGATAAGGGTGTTTATTCCTCACCAGTGAAAGAACTCCAGTCTCCCTTGCTGGCCAAAGTGAAGTCTGGGGCCCTAGTGGTCCTGAGGTCCATGGTCTCAGGGGGTCACAGGCTTACACAGTCAACTGTGTTGTTAATGATATGTTCTAAGGAGGAAGCTGAGGCTTAGTTCATAGATCCTGCAGCAATCCCTCACTTCCCACCCCAGGACGGCTGTGTTCTTCTTCCAGTCTTGTGCTGTGGTTATGTCATGTGGACATCAACGTTTCCCATAGGGAGGGTTAAAAGATGAAAGATGAGGGAAGTGCGAACAGCCAGCTGGGTACTGCTCCCAACACTGATGGTTCATGGGCATGCACAGACACAGCCTTCCCAATTAAAATCCTGAGATGCTTCCAGTCATTGTGGTCAACAAACACTGCTCTGAGCTCTCCTCAAGTTTCTAACTAAAGGGTTAACACTGAATTTTGATCACTATCCTCTGAAAATACTCTGTAGGAGAGGACCCAGATTTATTGCTTGGTCATTCTTAGTTATCTTCTATCCTTCCCAACATTTGCAGTTTCTCCTAGACACATGGGCTCTCCTCTGAAAGGGAGGCCTTTTTGGTGCAGCCAGGTGCTGAGCACAAACCATGATTTCTGACAGTCCAGGCCCTGCTGACCTGGCACAGCCATTCAGGAACATAATTTGCTAATAACAGACAGGGATGGCTTCACATTCCTTTCAAGGAGAAAGAAGTGCCAGGTTTCAGGAATAGTCCAGGGTAGGAAGGAAGGCTCAGGTGTTCAAGGCATTTCTCTAGCAGGCTTGTGAGTGTCCTGAGATTCAACTCAGCATGTAGCAGCATTTAATAATGCTTGTATCTGTCCATATGGTGGGGGAAGTAAAACATTATTGCAACTGATCGTATTTCAACATTTTTCATCATTATTATATCTGTTATGGTGAGCTGTGATCAGTGACGTTTGATGTAACTATTGTAACTGTTTGGGGGCACTTTGAACTGAATCATATAAGAGGTTAGACAAAATGATAAATCTTATATGTGCTCTGGCTGATTCAATAACTGGCCATTTCCCTACCTCTCATTGGGCCTCTCTATTTCCTGAGACACAACAATATTAAAATTGGGCAAGTGAATAATCCTAGAATGGCTTCTAAGTGTTCAAGTAAGAGAAAGAGTTGCATGTCTCTCATTTTAAGTCAAAAGTTAGAAATAATTAAACTTAGTGATGGAGAGAAGTCTAGGTCAAAAGCTAGGCTTCCTGCACCAGACAGCTAGCTAAGTTGTGAATGCAAAGGAAAGGTTTTTCAAGGAAATTAAAATTTCTTCTTGAGTGAACACATAATAAGAGGTTTTTCAGGGAAATTAAAATTGCTTCTCCAGTGAACACACAGTAAGAAAGTGAAATAGCCTTATTATGAATAGGGAGATGTTTTAGTGGTCTGGATAAAAGTCAAATCAGACACAACATTTTCTTAAGCCAAAGCCTAATCCAGAGCAAGGTCCTCTTTTCAATTGTATGAAGCCTCTGAGTGGTCAGAAAATTGCAGAAAAAAGTTTTCTTAAAACACATGGTTCATGTGTTTTAAGAAAAGAAGCTATCCCTATAAAAGTGAAAAGTGGGCTGGGCACAGTGGCTCACGCCTGTAATCCTAGCAGTTTGGGAGGCAGAGGCAGGTGGATTGCCTGAACTCAGGAGTTTGAGACAAGCCTGGGCAAAATGGCGAAACCCTGTCTCTACTAAAATACAAAAAAATTAGCCTAGTGTGGCAGCATGTGCCTGTAGTCCCAGCTATTCAGGAGGCTGAGGCAGGAGAATCACTTGAACCCAGGAGGCAGAGGTTGCAGTGAGCTGAGATCCTGCCACTGCACTCCAGCCTGGGTGACAGAGTGAGACTGCACCTCAAAAAAAAAAAAACCCAACCAACCAAACAAACAAAAAGTGAAAAGTGAAGCAGCAAGTGCTAATATAGAAGCTGCAGCAAGTTATCCAAAAGCATTACCTAAGATCATTGATGAAAATGACTACACTCAACTTCACATTTTTAATGCAGAGTGTCACTCTGATATGAAAACCAAAGATGCATTAAAAAAACCTATAGGCAAATATCTCTGATGAATATTAATGCAAAAACTCTTGACAAAATAGTGGCAAACCAAATTCAAACATACATTTAGACCATTCATAATGACCAAATGAACTTATCCCAGAGTTCATGATATGTCTTGCCCTGTGGCTATGTCACAGAATGTTTCCACATTTGCAAGTCAGTCAATGTAGTTACATCATAAGAGAATGAAGAACTAAAATTATATGATCATTTTATTTAATGTTAATAAGGGTTTGATAAAAATTGACATGTTCTCATTTTTTAAAAACCCCCAAGAAACTGGAATATTAAGAGAACATACTTCAACATAATAAAAGCCATATATGACAGACCCAAAACTAGTATAATACTGGAAAATAAAATGCTAAAATCTTTTATTCTGAGATCTAGTAACATTAAAAAAGCCAACTTTTGCCACAGTTTATTCAATACAGCGCTGGAAGTCCTAACTAGGACAATCAGATAAAAGGAAGAAATAAAGGGCATCCAAATTGGATAGAAAAAAAAATTATCCTTGTTTGCAGATGATATGAATTTATATGTGGAAAGACCTAAATACTTCACCAATAAACTATTAAAACTGATAAACAAATTCAGTAAAGTTGCAGGACACAAAATCAACATAAAAAATCAGTAGCATTTCTACATGTCAACAGTGAACAAGCTGAACATGAAATTTAAAAATAAATTCCATTTACAGTAGACATGAACAAATTTTGACACCCCAGAATGAAGTTAATCAAAAAAGTAAAAGATCTTTACAATAAACACTATAAAACACTGATGAAAGAAATTAAAGACAATACAAGAAAAGTACAATATTTTATGTTGATGGATTGGAATAATCAATATTGTTAAAATGTTTATACTACTCAAAGCAATCTACAGATGAGAGTCCTTTAGTGTGGATAAAGACAGCAACTCCTGATAAAGGTCATAAACTCCTGTGCAGACCAAACAAAAGCTCACCAATTGGTGGCTCTGAACCAGGTGACTTTCAGTGTATAATAGAACCAGTAACCCAAGAGCAGTTAGTTAAAGTTGAAAAGACATCCTCAGTCATTTTTGGTCCACTCTTTTTGTGTTGTCAATTATTTCAGTAGCCTACTCATTGTTAAGGGAGGAATTAGCACCTTAGTGCTACTGGGACAGTCAAGCCCATGACATCCATTACTAGACAGAGAAGATTAACAACAGTTTATTAGTTACATATACTCAGTCAAAAGGAGAAAAGTATTATAAGCTTTGCAGGTCCACCCAGGGACTGCACTTCAAAGCAAAGAGAATAAACATAGGGTGTTAGGGGAAGGCTTTGTAGTATCAAGAAGGTGAGATATTCCTTGATTCTCAAAGGAAGATGTGACTGGTTTACCTCTGTGGGCTGGCTAGGAACTGAAACATGTCATACTACCAACTGTAAAGATTACAGTAACATAGAATAGTACTATAATGCTGTAATATACTATTTACCACAACACTAACTAGAGAAAATTGTCACTTAATATTGTTGACAGATTCTTGAAAACTGTGACTTTAAGTCAAACAGTGTACTATAAAGTGAATTTTGCCACAGGCTGACTGACATACAAAAATAAAGTTCCTATGTCATACAGCATTTTGCTTCAAGTCACAGTTCTTAAGAACCTATCAATGATATTGAGAACATTCTGTACATGTATTTTAGTAACATGTATTATTACATAGTTGTATATAATAAACACTACTTAAGAACAAAATTACACATTGTACAACATATCACACTCACTGGCCACATAACATTTCGGTCAATGACATACCACATATAAGATTGCATATATGAGGTATGTAGGAGGTAAAATTGTGTAGTTTTCTGAGTAAACTGCATGATGTTTCTACATTGACAGAATTGTCTGAGAATGCATTTTTAGAATGTATCTCTGAAGTTAAATGATACGTGACTATATATATTTATACATACATATTCACACACGTATGTCCACTGTTTATACACTAAATATACACTATATGCTATACTGGGGCACACAAATCTTATAATATACATACAAAAAGTCTCCACAAAATATTAAACTCCAGCTACCAATATATAAAAAGATTTGCACTTTATTACCAAGATTTAACCAAGAAAAAGAATATTGGTGTCAAATCTGAAAGTCAATTAATAGAATAACATTTTTTCTTTTTTTGAGACAGTTTCCCTCTGTTGCCCAGGCTGAGGTGCAAGTGGCATTATCTCATCTCACTGCAACCTCTGCCTCCTGGGTTCAAGCAGTTCTCATGTCTCAGCCTCCCAAGTAGCTGTGATTACAGGCATGCACCACCACACTCAGCTAATTATTTTGTATTTTTAGCAGAGTCGAGGTTTTGCTATATTGGCCAGGCTGACCTTGTACTCTTGGCCTCAAAAAATCCGCCCACCTTGGCCTCCCAAAGTGCTGGGATTATAGGTGTGAGCCACAATACCCAGCCAGAGTAACTTTAAAAAACAAGGATCATCCCAACAAAAAATTATTTTAAAAACTTCAACAATCCTTAAAAATAAAATCCTAAATAAATTATAAGTACAAGAGAACATTCTCAAATGAGAAAATTAACTGAGAAAATCAACTGAAAAAATTAAATGCTTTTCCACATTGCTTACATTAATTGGGTTTCTATTCAGTATGAGTTCTTTTATGTTTTGGAAGAGAACTATAAAATCTGAAGGTTTTACCACATTTCTTACATTCATAGGGTTTTTCTCCAGTGTGAGTGCTTTTATGTTGTTGACAAAAACTGGAAGATCTGAAGGCTTTCCCACAGTCTTTACTGATAGGGTTTCTCTCTGGTGTGAGTTCTTTGATGGCTACGAAGATGATTGGCATAACTAAACATTTTCCTATAATCCTTACACTCATAGGGTTTCTCTCCAGTATGAGTTCTGTCATGTTTTCATAGGGAACTACTATATCCGAAGGCTTTACCACATTTTTTACATTCATAGGGTTTTTCTCCAGTGTGAGTTCTCTCATGATATCAAAGGTAAGAGGAATAACTGAAACCATGACCACACTTCTTACATCTAAAGGGTTTCTCTCCAGTATGAGATTTTCGTGTTTCTGAAGGGAGTTGGAATAAGTGAAGGCTTTTTCACATTTTGTACATGCATAGCATTTTTTAACAATGTGAGTTTTTTATGTGCTTGAAAGGAACTGAGGGAATAAAATGTGATTTCACATTCATTACATTCATGTTTTCCTCTAGTATGAGTTCTTCCATGTTTAGAGCAGTTACTGGAATAACTAAAGGCTTCACCAAATTGTCTACATTCATAGTGTTTCTCTCCAGTATGAGTGGTTTCATGGTTACAAAGATAACTGAAATATCTGAAGGCCTTACCACATACCTTCCATTTACAGAGTTTTGTCCCAGTGTGAGTTATTTTATGTTTCTCAAAAGAATCCAAGTGGCTGAAGGCTCTACCACATTGTTTACACTTACAGGCTTTCTGTTTGGTGTGATTTCTCTGACGTATATAAGGTACATTGGGAAAATCAAAGGCTTTTTCACATACAGTACTTTTATAAGGTCCATTTCTAGTGTGCAATGCCATGTGTCCTTGAAGATGTGTGAACAAAATGATGGCTTTCTGACATTGTTAAGGTTTATCTGGCTTCTGTCTATTTTCTTCACATTCATATGGCTTGTTTCCAGGGTGAGATATGAGGTGCCTAGGAAGGAATAGATAAAAATAAAGATTTTCCAACACAGACTACATTCACATGGATTTACTTCAGTAGGAATTATCTTGCTCAGATTAAAATTTAGGATTGGACTGAGGGTTTCTCCACGCTGACAAGTTTCTTCACCTTTACAGTCTCTGCCATATGATATCTGTAAGCATATTGTTAATGGTTGGTGTTTTAATAGTTTTCAGTTGATTAATAAGTTTTGAATTTACATTGCTACCAGTACCCAGAAAAGTACACACTTTCTGCAATATCTGAATTGCTTGAAATTGAGTAGATTGATTAGACTAAAATACAGGTCCCTATAGCTATTATCATAATTATAATATTTACATACGAAGTTTGTTACTACAGTTTCAAAGTGAACTATTTTGTAAACACTAAACAACTATGTTACATTGAAGTATTTATTATTGGTATTCTTTTTCTAAAAAAAGATAAATTTAAAGTTGTGCTTGTTTGTTTTATTTGCTTGTTTGTTTGGAGCCAGGTCCAGCAATGAGTCACCATTTTACCTGTGACCAGATCCACATATGACAGTCAAAATTCCAACTGTGGACTGTGTCTATGAGTGAGATTCAGGGCCTTAAGAGTGGGCTTTGTCCATATGTGAGACTGACAATTTTAACTGTTGGCTGTATGGTGGGCCCTGTAATAACAATCTCTGTACCATCAAAGGGCATTATAGAATATGCATAAGCTTCCTCATACTTTGTGACCTTTCCAAAACTAGGAGACTGAAGATCCGATACATTGCAATAAGTCCAGCTTGAAGAGTCAAAATCTCTTCTGTTTGTTGTGTCCATGTATGATAGTCATCATCATGCCTATGAACTGGACCTAGATATATGAGACAATACCACCTGTGGGCAGGGACCAGGAAGGAGAACCACATCACCTGAATGATGACCCAGAGATATGTCAGTATCCATTTTGAGAGAAGAGCCCTGGCAGGAAAGTCACATGACCTGGCTGCTGAGTCCACTGATATATCACAATGCCTTCTGTGGGCAGGGCCATAGCAGGAGAGCCAAATTATCTGGGTGCTGGGTCCAGCAATGTGTTACAAATCACCCTGTGGACAGAGCCCAGGAAAAAAAATAAGAGTCATATGACCTAGGTGATGGGCACAGAGATATATCACAATGTCCTCTGAGGAGGGACTCAGGGAGGAGAGTTACATCACCTAGAAAACACGGCCAAGGTATATTTCATAATCCCAACTACAGACATTGCTTAGACAGGAGAGCCACATCACCTGGGTGCTTGGCCCATTGATTTGTCCCAATCACTTCTGTAGGGAGAGTCCAGGCAAAAAAGTACAGTCAAGTCTACCAGGTGCTGGGCCCGGTAATACATCCCAATTCCTCAGTAAGCAGGTCCAAGGCAAAAGAAGAGAGTCACATCACCTAGGTGATGGGACCAGGAATATGTCTAAATTCCAAATGGGGATGGGGCCCAGGCAGGAGAGGAGAGTCACATCAACCTAGATGATGGACCCAGTAATATGTCACAATGCCCCTTGGGGGCTGAGCCCAGGCCAGTGAGGAGAGTCACATCACCTGGTGATTAATGCATAAATATTTCAATATCTCCTCTGAGAGGATAGCCCAGGTGGGACAGTCACATCACCTATGTGCTTTGGCTAGGAATAGGTCACAATCCCCTGTTTAGATGGGAACCAGGCAGAAGAGTAAAATCAACTAAGTGCTGGGCAAAGATATGTGTAAAACTCACACCTGCAGAAATGTCCAGGGATGAGATTCACAATATTGCATGTGGCCTGGCTCCAAACATTAAAGTCAACACCTTTTGTGAGTTCTATCCAAGTACATTAGTCACAATGTCAACAGTGGACTGGATCTGTGCATAAAAGCCCCAACCTCCTCTGAAAAAAAAGTGTCCTAATAAAGCAGACACAGCCTCATGGGGTGTTTAATCTTGATCCAAAAGTCACTATCGTACCTGTGGTCCGAATGCATGTATAACAGTCACAGTTCCAACTTTCACTTCCCTTCAGATGTGAGATTCAGAACCTCAACAATGGGCTGTGCCCATGTAGGTGGATGATAATCCTTACTGTTAGCTGAGTATGGAGACAAAAGTCACAATTTCCTCTTCATGATGGACCCTGTTATGAAACTCTTTACCACTTGAGTGCAATGTGCAATATGCTTGAGTATTGTAGGGCTCTGTGACTTTTGTACAAGTAAGAAACCCAGGACATTACCTGTTGCCTTAAGCCTAGTTACTAAAGCAAACATCTATGTTATTGGCTGGGTCCAGCTATTAAAGTCATTACTGGGCCTGTGAGCTGGGACCAGAAATGGGTCACCATCCCACCTGTGGCCAGATTTACATATAGCAGTCACAATTCCAACTGTGGACTTTATCTGCATGTGAGATTCAGGAGCTCACCAGTGGGGCTCTGTCCATGTATGAGGGTGGCAATTCTAATTTTCAGCAGGATGTGCCTATGAAAGTCACAATATCAACTGTGCTCTGGTTTGTATTATGAAACTCTCTGTACCACCCAAAACCTTCATAATATATGTGTGTGTGTCAGAATCTTCTGTAACTTTTTACAAGTAGGAGACTCAGGACCTTACCCTTTGACCAAAATCTGTCTGTAAGAGTCAAGATATCTTTTATTGGGTCATTCCACACCTGAGAGACATCATGATATATGCTTGGTCTAGGTAGAGGTCACAATCTTACCTGTGGGTGAACAGAAAGCAAGAGAGTCAGATCTCCTGGGTGATAGGCCAGAGATATGTCACAATCCCTTCTGTTGACAGGTCCCAAACAAGGAGTTACATCACCTGGGTGCTTGGCTCAGTGATATGTCACAATGCCCAGTGTAGGCAGGGACAGGCAGGAGAGTCACATTACCTGGGTGCTTGGCCCAGTGGTATGTCACAATCCCTTATGTAGGGAGGGCACAGGTAGCAAAAGACTGTCACATCATCTAGTTGCTGGACTAGAGCTATTGGTCTCTCGGTCGTTCAGGGAGAGGGTTAGGATCTCCTTAGACATCCATGTAACAGAGCCCCAACTCATCCGTGCTCAGAAGCAAAGGCCAGTGGAGACCAAATAAGGCTTGAAAGGTAAGTCCCTTAAAAAGGCAGAATGTCTTGGCCTTTGGCCTCTCCCCTTCAAGCACAACCAGATCATCACCTCTCTTCTGACTTCTCACTATGCCCAGCACTGGAAAAATGCTCTTGACTTCACCCCTTTGCTTCTCCACACCCCCTGCACTCTTACTGGGCAGACCAGAGACTAGGAGACCCAAACTCCAGCACGCACAGCCAGAGGAGAAGTGAATCCAAAGTGGCTGGTGGCGGTGAGGCTTGAGCTCTCACAGGTGTCCCAGCCTAAAGCTGCAGGCCCAGGTTGTGGTTCAGGTGGCACTCGATGCAGGTGCTGAGATGCTGCTGAAAGGCCTGGAATAGCCTCTGCGGCTGCCACTTCTTCCTTTTCTTAAGTGCTGAAAACGTGAACACTTTCCCAAGATTTTCAGATATGCCCAGGTGCCCCCAGCTGAAGGTGGGGATAATGACATTCTTCAGCATGGTTTATTGCCCAGGGAGCAACCAGCCCCAACCTCGCCACCCCAGCTGAAGGTGGGGATAATGACATTCTTCAGCATGGTTTATTGCCCAGGGAGCAACCAGCCCCAACCTCGCCACCCCAGCTGCCCCAGGCTGGAGGCGATTCTGTCAAGCCTCTGCCCTGCAACTCCACTCCTTTTCTTCTTCCTCAACCACCAGCATACTTTTGATCATCGTCCCTGTCGTCACAATGGGGCGCCTGACACCAAGGAGACCCTGGAAACCCACTGAACTCAGGCCCTGCAGGGGTCAGGTGAACATGTAGGAAGTCCAGGAGAAAAGTCATCTGCCGTCTCCAGAATGAACAGCATTCCAGGAAGAACTCCCCCACACTCCAGGAAGAAGTCATGAGCCCAGTGGGGAGGCAGGTCCAGCCTGCAACAACTTAGACATATGCGGTGCTCCATAGCTCATGCTTGTGTCCTGCAGGCAGGAGCACACATCAGGGTCCGCAGTCTTTGTTCTGGGTGTGGAATTAGTGCTTCAGCTGGTTCCCCAGGTGTCCCCAGAGGGGGAAAGGGTGGAAAAGGTAAGAATCTTCAGCACAGCAGATCGCCTTGCCCTGGCAGCGACCAGCCCTGCCCCTGAGGGGCACCAGCAGCCCCCAACTAGAGGCAGTCATGTCAGGCCTCCTCCCTACAGCAACTCTCCTGCCTTTTTTTTTCTTTTTTTCACCGCCCTAACCCCCTACTTTTGGTCATCCTCCTTGTCACAATGGGGCACCTGCACTGTAGAGACTCTAGAAACACGCAGATCTGGGGTCCTGCAGCGTCCAGGCTAACATGCCAGGAATCAGAGAGAAAAGTCCTCTGAAGCCTCCAGAAGGAAGGGAACAGGACCCGTCACTGCAGGAAGAAGTGGGGCACCCAGTGGCAGATGGAGGCCCCACGCACTGCAGAGGTAAATGTGTAAGGCGCTCCCTGGCCCGCGCCTGTTTCCTGGATGCTGGAGTCCGTGACCAGGCCTGGGGTGGCCCTTCCACACACAGAATAAGCTGTTGGGCTGGCTGCCTCACCCAGCACCCGGGCCGCGCCAGAGAGTATCTCAGATGCTGCTTTCCTGCCACCTCAGCGACCCCAGTAACACTTCTCCCACAGGGACTCCGCCGTGCCCAGCTCTCCAGCCTGGGGATTCTCATCACCCAGTGATTCCAAAAGAAACGATCTACAATGTTATGACCAAATGCCAGAAACAAACAAACAAAATATCTGAGGGCAGTCCATTGGTCACTTCCATTTTTCAAAGGTGACAATTGTCCCTCCTTGAAATCTTGAGAGTGCATGAACAGGCTATTCTAATAGATGTGCAATTTGCACTAAAACTGATTGAAGAGCAAATTCTGATTCCAAGGTACTTTGTATTCTCAAATTGCCTCTGCTGCCCCTGGCCCCCTCAAAATGGAAGAGTGAGGACTACTTGACATCTTAGCACTGTGCGGACATAGAGCCTTACATGGAGGTGTGTCAAAAACGGCATTCCATAAAGGGCTGTCACTTCCAATTTTCAAGCAAGGTAGGAAACTAACCATGATGTAGGAAACACTGTCAGCCAAAATGCACCATTAGTAATATAAAAATGAATGGTATAAACTATTCTATATATGTGAGGCCATCATGGAAATTTGGACATCAAAAAACATTGCCAAATTCAGGAAGAGGAACCTGTAAGGTCATGGCTGTTAGGAAGCTTAACTTCTGTGTTCTAGAACCTATCAAAGTTATTTCTCCGTGTCAATCTGTCCAAACAAACCTTGAGTTGTTTATTTCTATAGAATTCCTGTAGAATCCTAATGGGCATGACCTTCTGGCCCCATCTTCGCAGCTCTGGTGCCAGTGGAATTGCACTTGTTCGTGCTTCCCCCTATTTTATTAAGTGTGGAAATATTTAGAGACACGGTGGGTTGGAAAGGTACTGAATTAATGGCTGGGGCCTCCTGGGTGGGTGAGTCAGGTTTCCCACAGCCTAAGCCTTTTTACAGTAAATAAGTTATAGGTAAAGTTAGAAAAAAATAAAAAGAAAATGGAAATCATTCTCTTTCTTTGCTCACCATAAAGGCAAACACACAGGGTCTAGACATGTCTGTGTCTAGGCTTGTCCTGGGAAAGTGGAAAGCACTGAGCAAGATACCTGGGAATGGAGGGTAGGTGAGATGGGGCTCCCAGGGAAATGCTGCCAGGGTCAGGGCCTGGCCCACTCAGGCTGGCAGGGGACTTCTGAAGGCAAGGAAAGATGGCCCAGGACACCAAAGGCTCAAGAGGCCCATCTGAGCCAAAGATTTGTCCAGGTCGTGCTGAATCTCAGCAGTCCTGCCAACAGGGGTCCTGATCAGCCCTGATGATTTTAGTCACTGGAGCCAGGTGGCTGGGGGGTGGGGCAGAATAGCTGCCTAGTGTGAATGTGGGAGTCCACTGCCCAGCACACAGGAGAGAGCCTCCGTGGGTGCTGGCCCTAGTGCTGTCTGTCTGTGGGTCTGTCAAGGGGGGCATGTGGACCTTTGCAGCCATGCCCATCTACCAGAGTCTTATCTTCTCAGTCTGCAGAAGTGTAGGACAGTGGAGACTGGATAGGACTTGAATGGGAGGCCCCCTAAAAAGACAGTGTGTCATGAGCTTTGGCCTGTCCTTTCTTCTCTGAACAGAACAAAATGACCACCTCTGTCCCCTCTTCTCACAGCACCCAGCACATGAGCAGGGCTCTCATCAATCACCTCCCCCACTCACACTGCTCTGCCTCTCCAACCTTACACACTTCTCAGGCAGGGCCTGAGATCAGGCCGCAAAAATCTTGGCACAGCCAGACTAGGAGTGAGCCAGAAGAGGGGAAGGATGGTGGAGGCACAGGCTGCACTCTACTGGTGCCCCAGACCCAGACTGCATGCCCAGGCTGCAGTCCAAAGGATACTCGGTGCGGGTCCCTGTCCCCCATAGCATCTTAGATCAGCTGCTGAGGCTGGAGCTTCTTCCATTCCTTGAGCATCAGGGGTGTGTATCATTTCCAAGGGTTTTCAGACAATCCCTGGTGACCCCTGGCAGGGGGCGGTTATCATGGCGATCGGTCCATGGCCTTGCCTCCAAGCAGCACCCAGCAATCCCCATGCCCACCAATGCACTAAATGTTTGTGGTGGGCCTCTTTCTGGAAGCTCACCTTCTCCTCCTGTTTGCCCTCCATCTTCCCCAAACCAGTACTTCTGGCCATCCTCCTTGTCACCACAATGGGAAAACTGGGTCCTGGAGACTCAGAAACCACTGTGCAGGCCTCGAGTCTTCCCCTGTCCTGGCTAACAGGGCATGGAATCAGAGAGAAAAGTCATCTTCCACCTCCTGAAGGCTGCCAGCGTCAGGGCTTGGCACACTGAGGCTGACAGGGGCCTTCTGAAGGCCAGAGGAGATGGCCCGGGACATAAGGCTGAAGCAACCTGTCTGAGCCAAAGATCTGTTTGTGTCCTCCTGAATCTTAGTGGCCTTCTAAAGGCGGGTGTGATCAGCCATGGGTATCAGAGACACTGGAGTCCAGTAGCTGCTAGGTGGGACACGGGCACAATTTCACTTGCAGACCAGCTGCACGGAGTGGATAAAGAGAGAGTTCTGTGTGGGAATCTCCTTTGGTGGATCATCAGGGAGGTGAAGTCTTTGTCATAGCCTCATATCCAGCTTGTGTGATACCAATTCCAGTGAAGCTGGAACAAGCTGGCACTGCTCAAACAGGCCTACCAAGACATCATGTTTTTTTTTTTTTTTTCCACCAAACCTGGACCTGAATGGGGATGTGGACACACATAGAGTCCAGAGGATGGGACCCTGGTCAGTGGTGGTGCTGGTGTGCGGCATGAAGCAGCTGGGGCAGGCCCTCCAGGTGGGAGGAGGAGCCAGCCTCTCCTGTGGGGTCCTGGGCAAGTCATTTCCCTCCTTGACGCTCTGTTTCCTCATCTGGAAAATCCAGGAAGCCTGTTGTGCAGTCCTCAGAGGGTCATGATAAGGTGCAAAGGAGGAAGAAATTTTGAGAGTTCTTGTGCCTTCCTCTTCCTGAGAGGGATGATGGTGAGAACAGTGTGGATAACCACATGCAACTGAGTCCCCAAAAGGCCCTGTGAGGAAGGTGTTGTTCCCATCATGCTTCCCAGATGAGGAAACAGTCTCAGGGAGGCCTGGCTGCATGCCCAAGGGTTACACACACACTGAATGTTGGAGCTGGGAGTAAATCTAGAGTCAGGGCTCACTGGAGGTGGTGGGAGCATTGCACCAGCTGCCTCATGCAGTTATCCAAGATCTGAGGTCAGGGGTCTGGGGTATAACTCGGTGAGAGAACCACAGTCTCACTGACCCTGTTTCTGACTCTGCTAGGTAGGGAACTTTTTAGAGTCCAGATGCTGCTGTTGCTGCTCCAGGGAGTTAAGGACAGGGCTTTTCCCTCCCAGCTGGAGTTCTCCACATCAAGAGACCAGAGTGTCTTCCTCCTCTAGCCCTGCCCTCCTGTGGCCACAGTACTTGGAATGCCTTCATTAACGTGACCAGAGAAAGAGACTTAGAGAGCTGAGTTCACAGTGGATTGGGAAAAGAGTGAGGCTGGGGACAACCTGACTTTGTGACTTATTAAAATCCTACCTTAGAGTTAACTAGAAAGAGCTTGGTGTCTTTGGAGGCCAGCTGTGGAAAGAGGAGGTAAAGATGTCTTGTAAGGAGGCTGAGGGTCCTTGGCTGCTCCAAGTGGGAGACTTGGGTAGGGGCGTCAAGGAGACATGGGTTGGTGAGAGTTCAAAGGACAGGCCTTATGCAGGAAGCTGAGAATTTGTGCTCATCACTGCTACCACCTTGGAGGAACAGGGAGCTGTACCCTCTCTCGGCACACTTCTCACTGACCTGATGATGCTGGACATTGCCATAGAGGATTATAATGATGTGTGTGACACTGGGGCAGGCAGGCAGTTTGGGAACCAAGATCCTGAAGCTTGTGAGAACAGAGTCCTGGAATAAGCCCTGAGATTGCAGCACTCAGCAAACCTGCTTTCCTGAGAGCCTACCAGATGCCCATGTGAAAGGGGGGTGTCAGTTCCATCTTATCTATGAGTGACAGAGGCTCCAGCAAAGACACCAGTCACTGTTCCTTGAGTAGTGAAGCTGCAGAGCTAAGTCTCAGCCTCTGCCTTAGGTGGTACCCATTGGAGAAAACAGAAATTGGGCCCCTCCTAAGACAGGAAGTTCCTAAATTGTTGAGTGCCTTTTTTGTTTCCTAGGCCTCAGTTTCCCTGTCTATCATCACAGAGAATCAGGGCAAAAGGTGTCCCTTCTGTGGAGCCCAGAACCTGATGTAGGTCCAAGTCCTGTTTTATGCACATGCCTTGACCCTGGCAGCCCTGGCGGTGGTGCAGCATGGGAAGTACAGGGGATGAGGGCTAGTCATGGGCCAGGGGGTCTTTCTGAGGGATCTTGGCTGTCTACCTTCCAGGAAAATATAATCAACACTAATAAAGGAGGAAGGAGAGCAGCTGGGGTCTCACTTTGAGGGAGGCTGGGGACGTGACAGTCAGACACCACCCTGAAGAGGCCACTCGCTGGCTTCACCCTCTGCATCTTAAAGTTATTGGGAAGGTTTGATACACAGAGGAGATCCATTCTAATGGAGGGTTTGATTAGGGGACTAGAATCAACAATAAATTCCTAGATGAGGAACTGTTTATATCCAACTCTGAGAACAGGTTAGGGTTACATGGGATTGGAAGAGAGGGTGGGGTCCCTTAAAAGAAAAGCCCCAGAAACTCACTGCTGCTCTATCCCTCCCCTATAAGTTCTCTTTGTTATCTTCCACCCAGGACCTGTCAGAATCCCACCCTTCCTTCTGTCTCCCATCGAAGTCCTCCAGGAAATGCAGCTGTTTCAGTGACAGGGGGTGATTGCCATCTTCCAACTGAGGAGGAATTTGGGGTTTTGGTCCAGTCCATGAAGTGTGACACAGTCAGAATAAAAGGTGAGGGCCTAACAGATTAGCAGACGGTAGGAGAAGACTATCTTGCAGCCAGCTTCAGAGAGCCTGTGGCCATGGCTCCCAGGTCAACATTAGGCCCTGTTGCCTGGGAACCCCTGGGCAGGCAGTGGGAAGGTTGAGGTGTGGCTCCTGGTAGCCTCAGAACTGCCACTATTTCCTGAAGCTCCTACTTGTTCTGTCAGCTAAGCCCCCATCCCAGTAGGCCAGCAACACCCTCAAGACCAAGAACAGGCCATGGTGAATCTCAGGGCCACTAAGTACCTGGGCTGGCAGGGGCAGAGTGCCTCAGGGCTCAGTGTTGTTTGGGCTGAGCATGGGCTTTGGGAGTCAGACAGCTGCACTGGGCTCCCAGCTGCACCATGGCCAGCCCTGTGTATGGGGCACTGCTCTGTAACTTGAGACACCATAGTCATAAATATAACACACCCTTCTAACTGCTTTTTCTTTTTTGTCTATTTTTCTCTATAATCCCCATGTACTACTGATCTGTTTATTTAAATTAATAAACATGTTATACAGTGTATATTGTTCTTCCTCATGATTTCTTTACTATATTGTGTGATTCCACTCATATGAGGTTCTTATGGATGTCCCATTCACAGAAACACAAAGTAGAAGAGTAGTTAGTTCCCAGGGGCCAAAAGAAGGTAAATGGGGGCTGTTTCTATCTTTTATTTTTATTTTTGCAAAATGAACAAAATTCCCTATGAATGTGGATGATGGTTGCAGAACAATCTGAGCATGATTAATTCCTCTGACTTGCACGTTAGAAATTGTTAAAATAGTTAATTTTATGTATATTTTACCACAATGTAAAAAAGGAATTTTTAAATGAACAGACTGTAGATACATGCAACAGCATAAATGAATATCACAAATATAATCTTGCATTTAAAAATTGATGTAAAAGTATCCAAACTATATAATTTCATTTATACTAAATCCAAAAATCAAAACTGACATTCTTGCTTTCACTAATGGGAATTAGCTAGTTAAACTAACACTCTCACAGAGAAAAATGATGAATCCTAGATAAAATAGTATATATCATTATAAACACTTCTATATATAATACATATATGAGATATGTGTGTATAAGAAGTGAATGAGGATGTCCCCTGTGCCCTCCTTAGGAGAGACAAGAATTGAAGTTATAATCCAGGCCAATTAGCACTCTCTTTAAAAATCAACACTCTTCAAAGGGACACAACAGAATCCAGAGTCTCTATAACTCTTGTATACAGTCTCTTGTACACAATTTTCAAATTCGTGAGATGGGTGAAGACACATGAAAATGCAATACATACACAAGATAAAAGGCAGGCAGTAGACATCTCCAAGATATCCAAGATGTAATCAGCAGACAAGAATTTGAAGGCAGCTATTACAAGTATGCTAATGGAGGCAAAGGAAAAAATATACTTATAAAGGAACAGATGTGGAACCTCAGCAGAGAAATAAAAAATAGCCAAATAGAAAAATAAGACACAAAAAGAATAATTTTGAGCTTATCTATAGATCAGAAACAAAACACACAACAATAGAAATTATTCAATCTGAAGATACAAGTAAAAAAAAAAGTTTAAGGAAAATGAACCCAGCCTTACAGACCTCTCATGGGGCACTCTGGGAGTTGTAGTCTCTTCTCCGGTTCCAAACGGTGGCTGTTGTGGCTGCAGGATAACAGTCCCAGATTGAGACAGGGCAGAGGCTGTGTGCAGCCCTACAGGAAGGGGCAGGGTGGTGTAGGCCTCTTCACTTACCAAGATTTGCTGGCCATTGATTCCGTGCCAAACCCTTCCCAAGGGGATTGAGTCAGGAGAGGATCTTGAGAGTCACTCAGGGTCTTCCCAGAGCATCTGTGCCTCCTCCAGCCCACGGAGCTGCCTGATTTCCTAAGTGGCTGTGGGAACTGGTCTGAAGTACCAGACGCTGTCTACTGTGCTGCTGCCCTCTGTTCTATCTAACCAAAGTGCAAGTTCAGCTGCCTTTGAAAGACATCCACTGCCTGACCTGGGGATGCACGGGTTCAGAGCTTTGCAGGGAGTGAACATGGGCTGTGGCTTCATGAAAATATCACCCTCCCCAACGCGTTTTTGCAGATCTGGACTTGGAGGCACGAAGGACGGTAATCATTGGGTTACCAAGGTGTTACTAGGAGCAGAGGAGAAAACCGCAATTCCTAGCCATGTGTCTGGTGTGACATTTCGCCAACCCATTTAAGTGTGCAGACCCCCAAATATCTACCTAAAGATTATGATAGTTTAGGCATTTTACATTTAAAATTATTGGCTTCATGTCCACTGAAGCCTGACTGGCCAGTGTCTCAAAGACACAGATGATGATCTGATCCCTCAGGAACAGATGGTTCTCCAGCTTTGTTGGAGTGACTTTCAAGGTATGGAGCACTTATATAAATTTGCCTAAGAGTAGGATTTGTGCTAAGTACCTGTTCACAATAACATCAAGGTTGTTTTGATTTAAGGGTAGGGCTTACATAAGCAGTAGATTTCAATATATAACATAGATTCTTGAAACCCCCCCAAAAAACATTAAAGGAAGTACCTATGTCATAATTTTAATTTTTTATTTAGTAATTTAAAATCTTAACGTCTTGTTTTGTTAGCTAATCTTAAGTTTCTCACTAAAAATTAGCATGATTAAGCATGAAAATAATAGCTTTAAGACAGTTTTTACCCCAGAACCAGTGATTGGATAATAGGGTTCCAGGCCCTCCCCTTCAGGTCCTGCGTGACAGAATGTGAACCAATTCATAGCCAAGCGAGGAGAGAGTGAAACGTTCCTAGGTGCAGCCCCTTTCAGGCAGGACTTACTCCTTATGCTGAAACCTGGCCCTCACTATGAGACATTTGCATTTAACCTTGTATATAAGTTTATTTTTATTCATAAATTATATATATGCACATATATGTATATATACAGCTGGACATGGTGAATCTCACCTGTAATCCCAACACTTTGGTAGGCTGAGGGGCGAGGAGCTCTTGAAACCAGGAGTTCGAGACCAGCCTTGGCAACATAGTGTGAGCACCCTCCGCCCCCCAACCTTTTCTACAAAAAAAAGAAAGAAAGAAAAAATAGCCAGGCATGGTGGAGCTTGTCTGTGGTCCCAGCTACTTGGGGGACTTAGGTGGGAGGGTCATTTAAGCCTGGGAGGTAGAGGCTGCAGTGAGCTGAGATCAGGCCACTGCATGCACTCCAGTCTGAGTGACAGAGCGAGATCCTCTCTCTCTATCTCTTCCTCACTCTGTGTGTGTGTGTTGGGGAGAGGGGTGTGTGTTTGTGGGTGTGTGTGTGAGTGTGTATGTGTGTTTATTATTCAAAATGAAAACAACATAATGACAATTATTTTTATTTTTATTTTTTTGAGACAGAGTCTCACTTTGTCAACCAGGCTCCAGTGCAGTGGTGCGATCTCGGATCATTGCAACCTCCGACCCCGAGATTCAAGCAATTCATCTGCCTCAGCCTCCTGAGCAGCTGGGATTACAGGTGCCCACTACCTTGCCTGGCTAATTTTTGTATTTTTAGAAGAGGCAGGGTTTTGCCATGTTCTCCAGGCTGGTTTTGAACTCCTGAGCTCAAGTAATCCGCCCACCTTGGCCTCCCAATGTGCTGGGATCACAGGCATGAGCTGCCATGCTCGACCAATGACAATTATTTAAAAATTTTAGATTTTACAATCTTTCTGGCCTTTTGGCTTTTGAGGCAGCCTGAGCTGTGAAAATAGGCAATCCTCTATTGCAGCAATGTGCAATAGAAGTAAAATGTGAGCCACGTGTGTCAAATAAAATTTTGTAGTAGCAACATAAAAAAAGAAAAATGAGTGAAATTGATTTTAATAACAATATATCGGAAGTATTTTAACATATGATCAGAATTAAATTATTTTATATATATATTTTGGGAAGCACACAATTCAGCTCACAGCAGCCTCTGTCAGGACATAACGTTTACATTGAGATCCCAGTAACCTAGCAACAGAGGGAATGACATACAAAGATTCTGGGGAAGAAGATTCCACACAGATGATTCTATTGAGCAATGGTCCTGAAATGGGAGTGAACAGGGTGAGTTTTAGGAACCAGAGACCAGTGATGGCAAGGAAGAGGTATGAAAAGCAAGGAGAGGAGGTGAAATCACAGAGATCCAGTGAGATATATAAACTTGATTGTGATTTAAGCAGTTTCTACCTTTTGGATTTTGAGAACAATACTGTTATTAACATGAGTGTGCCAATGTTTCTTGCAGGTCCTGCTTTGAACATTTAGATAGATATCCAGAAATGAGATTGCCAGATCGTATTAGAATTCCATTTTTAGTATTCTGAGGAATATCTGTACTATTTTTCATAATGGCTGCATTATTATTTTTTCCACCACCAGTGTACAGTGTTCCAATTTCTCTACATCCTTGAGAACATTTGTTATTATTTCTTGTTTGATAGTGGCCATCCTAATGAGTGTGAGGTAATATCTCATTGGGATTTTGCTTTTTATTTCTCTCAAGATTTGTAGTTTTGAGCATCTTTCAAATTCCTCTTGGCCATTTGTATATCTGGTTTTTAAAAACATACGTTGATCATTTTGCCCATTTTTAAATAGGGTTATTTACTTTTTGTTGTTGAGTTTTAGAGGTTGTTTATACATTCTGGATATTAACGTCTATCAAATATGTTATCTGCAATTTTTTCTCATTTCTTAAATGACATTTTTACTCCACTTAATGTTTTCTTTGATGTCCAGAAAGCTTATTACACTTGATGTAGTCCCATTTTTCTGTTTTTATTCTTGTTACTTCTGCTTTTAATGTCATGTTCAAAAAATTACCAGGACAAATGTCACAATTGTTTACCCTATAATTTATTTTAAAAGTTTTAGAGCTATCTTACTTACATTTAAGTATTTAATTCATTTAAGATATTTTTGTATACAGTGCAAGTGAAAAGTTAAATTTCATTTTTTTTAATTTTGATATTCGGTTTTGTAACACTATTTGCTAAAGCGTCTGTTCTTCCCCTTTGTTCGGTCATGGCAACTTGATTGAAGATTATTTGCTGATATTCATGAAGATTTATTTCTGGGTTCTCCATTCTGTTTCATCATCTATTTGTCTTTCTGTTTGAATTTCTACAGCTTTGTAATATATTTTGCAATAAAGTTGCAATCCAACTTTGTTCTTCCCTACAGCTATTTTGGCTACTCATTGTCCCTTGAGATCCCATATGCATTTTAGGACTTAAAATAATATTTCTCCAAAAAAGAAAACTCAGCTTTTGTGCCAGACATGCCTTGAGATTCCATATAAATTTTAGGACTTAAAATAATATTTCTCCAAAAAAGTAACATTGAGATTTTGATATAAAATACTTTTCTTTGAATTTGTGCTTCAATCCAAGTAGTATTGACATCTTAACAATAATAAAATTTCTGATCCTTGAACAAGAGGTCAAGAGTGTGCTGTTTTAAGTTTCATATATATTTTGATTTGCCAGTTTCCTTCTGCTTGTGATTTGTAGATGAGGGCTTATTATGTTGCCCAGGCTGGTCTCCAACTTTTGGCCTCAAGCTATTCTCCGTCATCAGCCTCCTGATGTATTTGGATTACATAGATAAGCCACTGCACCTGGCCTCTTTATTGTTTTTCTTACATTTTTATGATTTGAAGGTAATTTTTGAAAAGATTTAAAAATATGTATCTCCTTAGAAGGTTTTCATTTTTAATGTAGTCAAAAACACGTAAAATTGACCATCTTAAATATTTTAAGTACATAATTAAATAATATTAAATATATTTGCACTGTCATGCAACATATCTCTAGAATGTTTTTGCTGCAAAACTGAAACTCAATATCTATGAAACAACAACTACCCCTTTATCTCCTCCCCTGAGGCTCTGACTACTTTCTGTTTCTAGGAGTTTAACTACTTTAGATATCTTATTTAACTGGAATCACACAGTGTCCTTTTGTGGCTGGTTTATTTTATTTACATAATGTCCTCAAGATTTATGTTTAGTGTAAAAATAATCAGATCTCCTGCTTTTAAAAAACTGAATAATATTCCATTGTTTGTATATTTCAAATTGTCTTTACCTACTCAATCACTGAGGGACGTTTGGGCTGCTTCCACCTATTAGCTTTTGTGAGCAATGCTGCAATGCATATGGATATACAAATAATTCTTCATTTGGCCATATATATGAGATTTTATTTCTGTGCTCTGTTCTTTTCCGTTGGTCTGTCTGTCTGCCTTTATGCCAGTACCAAATGGTTTGGTTACTGTAGCTTTGTAATACATTATAAAGTCAAGGAGTGTGATGCCTCCAATAGCATTTCTTTCTTTGAAGTTTGTTTGGTTCTCGATACTCACTTTAGATTCCATATAAGTTTTAGAATTTTTTTTTGTATTTCTTCAAAATAATATGACAGTTAAAATAAGATGGAGATGGCATTAAATCTGTAGATCACTGTGTAATGTGGACATCTTCACAATATTGTCTTCCAACCCTTGAATAAGAGCATGCTCAAAAGTATGTTGTTTAATTTCCACATGTTTGTAGATTTTGCAGTATTTTTCTGCTATCAATTTCTAATTTTATTCCCTTTTAATAAAAAATAATAGTTTGTAATATTTTAATCTTATTTTTTGTATGTTGTATGTTGACACCCTAAACCCCAGTACGTAAGAGTGTGGCTATATTTGAAGAAAGTGTCATCACACAGATAATTATGTTAAAATGAGGTCCTTGGGGGCACAGGTGGGGTGGTGGAGAGAAGGTCACATTATACAAAATTTCAGTTAGGAAGAATAAGTGCAAGAGATCTATTGTACTTGGTGACTACAGTTAATGTATTGTGTTCTTGACTAATACAGTAGATTTCGAGTGTTCTCACAACAAAAACATGATGGGTATGTGAGGTAATGCATATGCAAACTAGCTTGGGTTAACCATTCCACAATATGTGTGTATTTCAAAACAGTACCATAAATGCAGACAATTTTGTGTCAGTTACAATCAAAAAAGTTTTAAAATGAGGACCTTAGGGTGGGTCCTAATCCAATCTAAGTGATGTCTCCATGAAAGAGGAAATAAGGATACAAATGTGCACACAGAGAGAAATGGCCACATGAGGACACAATGAGAATGTGGCTACTTACAAGCCTAGGAGAGAGGCCTCCGAGAAAACACACCCTACCCACACCTTGATGTTGGACTTCATCCTGTAGACGAAGTCCTCCACCCTCCTTCATCAGGTGGAAGCCTTTGATTCTGAATATTCTCCAAATGCTGGAAGGTACAAAAGTGAAGAGACAGCACAGACCTCAGGGTGAAAAGTTTAAAGAGAATAACATCTTTCCATTGCTGTGTCCTATCCCCTACACACACCTATTCCAGTCTTTATTGGTCTTTTGTGTTTTCGTGTCCTGGGTATAGTGTTAGTTGTAAATCTGTGTTTACATACAGGATAACATAAAACAAAGGTAAACAATAAAATAAAAACAGACAGCAAAACTCAACTAATAGTGTTTGGGCATGGTGACAGTGAAGACAGGAGAGTCACATAAAAATGGAGGTGGAACTTTTTGAGCTAAATCAATGTCCTGTTGTGTTTCTGTGTTTCTACATCAGACTCTATAGTGGCAATTGTCAGGTTAGGTGTTTTTATCCTTGCCTGCTCAGTAAGTGCCAGAGGAGATTTTTCTAAACTGGGTGAGGAACAGGTAGAGAAGTGTAAGTGAGACAAACTTCCCTGCCATTTGCCAAAGTGGCAGCACATAATGTATCATGAGTGCCTCTACCCTCTGATATCCAAAATATCAACTCTATAGATGATGTTCTGTTGGCTCCTAATTTAGAAGCATCTGCCTTCATACTCTTTCCTAGAATGGTAACATCTCTCTGTCAGTAGCTGATAAAATTACTAAAATCTCATAGTTCTGTTTTCCAGTTAAGGTTCACTGCAACTATGTGGGCAGATTTACATAGCTCAATTCTTCCAGCTTGACATTGTTTTCTTTTGAAGCTTCTGAGAGAGGGAGTCAGCCTCCACCTAGAGGTGGCCCTTGGAGTTTTTGACACAGAATCTCCCTGACACTACTACTTACACTGATTTGAAAGTCAGTGTTGAGGTTGGCTTGCTACAATGCTCTTGTCAAACTGAATCCTGCCACATCAAGGGCTTGGGGCTTCCCAGCTTAATTTTCCAATTTTGAAGTGAGAGAATTTGAGTTCTACAAGACATCAGAAGACCGCTTAGAATATAACACATTCTAAAAGTAAATCGGAATGCCACAGGAACATCTTAGTTGTAAAAGAAAAATTAGGTTCTTTGGTAAAAATTTTATGCCCCTTGATATGGTTTTGCTGTGTCCCCACCCAAATGTCATCTCAAGTTTTAGCTCCCATAATTCCCAAGTGTTGTGGGAGGGACCCAGTAGGAGATAATTGAATCATGGGAGTGGGTTTCCCCATACTGTTTTCGTGGTAGTGAATGAGTCTCATGAGATCTGATGGTTTCATAAGGAGAAACCCCTTTGCTTTACTCTCATTCTCTCTTTTCTTGTTTGCCACCAAGTGAGACATGGCTTTTACCTTCTGCGATGATTGTGAGGCCCCCTCAGCCATGTGGAACTGTAAGTCCATTAAACCTCTTTCTTTTGTAAATTTCTCAATCTTGAGTATGTCTTTATCAGCAGTGTGAAAATGAATGAATACACCTCCCTTCACTGTTTGAAGAAAAACTGCTGGCTCTATGAGGTCTTCAGTTCACTGAATATTTTTTAAATGCCTAGCCCTAACTCACTGACAAGTCAAGGAAGCTGCCACCTTATGGTGTTCACTAGGCTACTGTGGATAGCCCTCATTGCCAGGCACACAGAACCTGAAGCAGGGGTGGCTGCTCCACTTAATGGTGAGAGCTCAGGGTTTTGGGTCATTGTACATGTTCTAACTGTTTGGTCTTCCACATTGAAATTAAAGGCTATTAGATTAAGGACATCCTTTTTCAGATTCAAATCATGCAGAATTTCAGCTGCTGATCTGTAAGGTCATTCATTTAAGAGTCCATGGTAAGGGTTGGTCCTCCGAAAATGCTAACCACAGTTAAGCCAAAAACCAAGCCTGAACCCATGTGTAATGCAGTGGTCATCACTGCATGCCAGATTTGTTCTCCTTGGTGAAAGTTGACCTATTTGTCTCATGGTTTAGAAGGCCCCAGACCATTCCTGGCATAATAACTGCATTGGCCTTTGGCCCACTTCCTGAAGTGTTGGTCATGTCTCACCACTATTAACACTTTTAGGATAATAATCAGCTGACTCCAGCCAAAGCATGTGTCCCTTGAAGCTCATTCATGTAATATTTTAGGCTTTTGAGACCAATTGCACTTAAATCACATTGTAACTTTTATCACTAAATCTGTTAACATGGCCAAACTGTTTGATTTTACTTCCTTTTTTCCTTTAGGTTCACACATGTTGGCTACGTAATTTGTTGATTGAATGTGACTGTCCCCCCAGCACCCAAAAATCTCTTCTTGACTGACTCCAAGATGAAGAGAACATCATTGAGTTCTATAGGCATCCATTTTCAAAATTTGATATTTCTCACTGACCTTTCCTGGACAGGATGTGTCTTTCTTTTCCTAAGCTGCAACCCCAGGCAAATCTTGTTTGTACATTCTCTGAATGGCAGTCCAACCCAAAGTGGGGTTGTGGTTTTCAACTTAGTTGTGGTGAACATTTACATAGTTCTTGCATCCATATCATCTGGCTCTACTAGAAAAAAAAATTACTAGAAGACAGTATGGGTGACTAGAATAGAAAAAATGACTACTTAAAATTATAGGTACTGGCATAGCACACATAAATTCTGTGGCTGTAGAGGAAAGACAAAAACCCAAAACCTAAAAGTGAACAAATTAGACCCAGGAACTACAGAAAAGGAGGGAAGTTAATATCTTTCTGTCTTTCTGAATTATCCCTAGTGTGGCCCAGAGAAGAGTTGGGGAGTCCTGTTGGGCCAGAATGAGTAGTAGTATTAGTTAGACCAAATGGTAGAACAGGATGGGTGGGTTCAGTTTCTCTAAGGAATTTCATCCTTTTGTGATGTAGACATGGAATCCCAGTGAGCATCCTGCACTCTCAGTGTCCAACTGTCTGAAACCACAGTTGTTTCTGAAGACTGAGAACAATTGCTTTTTGCTGAGGAGACAGCACTCCACAGCTGAGGTAAGGTGGATTCTATAGAGCATTAATTCCATTTTCTCCTTCTTCTGTGAGCTGGGTTTCTTTCTTCAGTTTTTTATCTAGAGATGAAATTACATTGTCAATATTTGTGTAAAATAGAGATATAAGTCTGGCAAGTAGACGCTTAGATGCAACCCTCAGCAGAAATTCTGGTCTGTTTTTCTTCTCACTTTTATTCAATTTTTGTCACAGAAAGATGCCCTGACATGTGGTCTCTCAAGAGTGATTAGAACATTGTACTTCTAGAGGAGTTAGTTGATGGAACATGGCAGAGCTTAGAATGAGGATGGAAGCCTCTGTCCAAATCTCCCAGGCTATCTATGTGTGGGAAGTGGAGTCAGGAAAGACCCTAGAGCTTTGGAAGTGATCATTAAGAGAAAACAAAATCCCTGTAAATTAGAGTACAAGGGAACATATTCATTAGCCACCTTTAGAGTCAGATGCTCAGGGCTGAGCTGGTGTGGGGAGTGTTCAGACCTGTGCATGCCTGGGAAAGCCTCCGATCATGTATGAATGGTGAGGCTTCTGGGTGCATGAGATTGAGTGCCCTTCCTTGGCAGAGCACCACTGAGTGAACAATTGATTTAGGATCAAGCATATGGAGATCAACTTTATTTTGAATATCTCAAAGACAGAAACTGAAAAGATTTTTTTGCACTTTGAAATTGAGTAAGGGTGTCAGAAACTTCAGTAAAAAAGTCACAGGAGGAAACCCAGAAGTCTTATTCATCCCCAGAAACCACCAAAATCCTGATCCAAACTGTAAGAATTCACCTCGTAAAAATTTGATTTTTGAATAGGAACAGCTCCGGTCTACAGCTCCCAGTGTGAGCGATGCAGAAGACGGTTGATTTCTGCATTTCCATCTGAGGTACCAGGTTCATCTCACTAGGGAGTGCCAGACAGTGGGCGCAGGTCAGTGGGTGTGCGCACCGTGCGCGAGTGAAGCAGGGTGAGGCATTGCCTCACTCAGGAAGTGCAAGAGGTCAGGGAGTTCCCTTTCCTAGTCAAAGAAAGGCATGACAGATGGCACCTGGAAAATCGGATCACTCCCACCCGAATACTGCGCTTTTCCGACGGGCTTAAAAAATGGTGCACCAGGAGATTATATCCTGCACATGGCTTAGAGGGTCCTACGCCCACAAAGTCTCACTGATTGCTAGCACAGCAGTCTGAGATCAAACTGCAAGGTGGCAGCGAGGCTGGGGGAGGGGCGCCCGCCATTGCCCAGGCTTGCTTAGGTAAACAAAGCAGCCGGGAAGCTCGAACTGGGTGGAGCCCACCATAGCTCCAGGAGGCCTGCCTCTGTAGGCTCCACCTCTGGGGGCAGGGCACAGACAAATAAAAAGACAGCAGTAACCTCTGCAGACTTAAATGAGCCTGTCTGACAGCTTTGAAGAGAGCAGTGGTTCTCCCAGCACGCAGCTGGAGATCTGAGAATGGGCAGACTGCCTCCTCAAGTGGGTCCCTGACCCCTGACTCCCGAGCAGCCTAACTGGGAGGCACCCCCTAGCAGGGGCAGCCTAACACTTCACACAGCTGGGTACTCCAACAGACCTGCAGCTGAGGGTCCTGTCTGTTAGAAGGAAAACTAACAAACAGAAAGGACATCCACAACAAAAACCCATCTGTACATCACCATCATCAAAGACCAAAAGTAGATAAAACCACAAAGATGGGGAAAAAACAGAGCAGAAAAACTGGAAACTCTAAACAGCAGAGTGCCTCTCCTCCTCCAAAGGAACGCAGTTCCTCACCAGCAATGGAACAAAGCTGGACAGAGAATGACTTTGACAAGCTGAGAGAAGAAGGCTTCAGGTGATCAAATTACTCCAAGCTACGGGAGGATATTCAAACCAAAGGCAAAGAAGTTGAAAACTTTGAAAAAAATTTCGAAGAATGTATAACTAGAATAACCAATACAGAGAAGTGCTTAAAGGAGCTGATGGAGCTGAAAACCAAGGCTAGAGAACTACGTGAAGAATGCAGAAGCCTCAGGAGCCGATGCGATCAACCGGAAGAAAGGGTATCAGCGATGGAAGATGAAATGAATGAAATGAAGCGAGAAGGGAAGTTTAGAGAAAACAGAATAAAAAGAAATGAGCAAAGCCTCCAAGAAATATGGGACTATGTGAAAAGAGCAAATCTACGTCTGATTGATGTACCCGAAAGTGACGGGGAGAATGGAACCAAGTTGGAAAACACTCTGCAGGATATTATCCAGGAGAACTTCCCCAATCTAGCAAGGCAGGCCAACATTCAGATTCAGGAAATACAGAGAATGCCACAAAGATACTCCTTGAGAAGAGCAACTCCAAGACACATAATTGTCAGATTCACCAAAGTGGAAATGAAGGAAAAAATGTTAAGGGCAGCCAGAGAGAAAAGCCAGGTTACACTCAAAGGGAAGCCCATCAGACTAACAGCAGATCTCTCGGCAGAAACTCTACAAGCCAGAAGAGAGTGGGGGCCAATATTCAACATTATTAAAGAAAAGAATTTTCAGCCCAGAATTTCATATCCAGCCAAACTAAGCTTCATAAGTGAAGGAGAAATAAAATACTTTACAGACAAGCAAATTCTGAGAGATTTTGTCACCACCAGGCCTGCCCTAAAAGAGCTCCTGAAGGAAGCGCTAAACATGGAAAGGAACAACCATTACCAGCCACTGCAAAATCATGCCAAAATGTAAAGACGATCGAGACTAGGAAGAAACTGCATCAACTAATGAGCAAAATAACCAGCTAACATCAAAATGACAGGATCAAATTCACACATAACAATATTAACTTTAAATGTAAATGGACTAAATGCTCCAATTAAAAGACACAGACTGGCAAATTGGATAAAGAGTCAAGACCCATCAGTGTGCTGTATTCAGGAAACCCATCTCACGTGCAGAGACACACATAGGCTCAAAATAAAAGGATGGAGGAAGATCTACCAAGCAAATGGAAAACAAAAAAAGGCAGGGGTTGCAATCCTAGTCTCTGATAAAACAGACTTTAAACCAACAAAGATCAAAAGAGACAAAGAAGGCCATTACATAATGGTAAAGGGATCAATTCAACAAGAAGAGCTAACTATCCTAAATATATATGCACCCAATACAGGAGCACCCAGATTCATAAAGCAAATTCTTAGTGACCTACAAAGAGACTTAGACTCCCACACAATAATAATGGGAGACTTTAACACCCCACTGTCAACATTAGACAGATCAACGAGACAGAAAGTTAACAAGGATACCCAGAAATTGAACTCAGCTCTGCACCAAGCAGACCTAATAGACATCTACAGAACTCTCCACCCCAAATCAACAGAATATACATTTTTTTCAGCACCACACCACACCTATTCCAAAATTGACCACATACTTGGAAGTAAAGCTCTCCTCAGCAAATGTAAAAGAACAGAAATTATAACAACCTGTCTCTCAGACCACAGTGCAATCAAACTAGAACTCAGGATTAAGAATCTCACTCGAAACCGCTCAACTACATGGAAACTGAACAACCTGCTCCTGAATGACTACTGCGTACAAAACGAAATGAAGGCAGAAATAAAGATGTTCTTTGAAACCAACGAGAACAAAGACACAACATACCAGAATCTCTGGGACGCATTCAAACCTGTGTGTAGAGGGAAATTTATAGCACTAAATGCCCACAAGAGAAACAGGAAAGATCCAAGATTGACACCCTAACATTACAATTAAAAGAAGTAGAAAAGCAAGAGCAAACACATTCAAAAGCTAGCAGAAGGCAAGAAATAACTAAAATCAGAGCAGAACTGAAGGAAATAGAGACACAAAAAACCCTTCAAAAAATTAACGAATCCAGGAGCTGGTTTTTTGAAAGGATCAACAAAATTGATAGACTGCTAGCAAAACTATTAAATAAGAAAAGAGAGAAGAATCAAATAAACGCAATAAAAAATGATAAAGGTGATATCACCACTGATCCCACAGAAATACAATCTACCATCAGAGAATACTACAAACACCTCTACACAAATAAACTAGAAAATCTAGAAGAAATGGATAAATTCCTCGACATATACACTCTCCCAAGACTAAACCAGGAAGAAGTTGAATCTCTGAATAGACCAATAACTGGAGCTGAAATTGTGGCAATAATCAATAGCTTCAACCAAAAAGAGTCCAGGACCAGATGGATTCACAGCCGAATTCTACCAGAGGTACAAGGAGGAAATGGTACCATTCCTTCTGAAACTATTCCAATCAATAGAAAAAGAGGGAATCCTTCCTAACTCATTTTATGAGGCCAGCATCATCCTGATACCAAAACTGGGCAGAGACACAACAAAAAAAGAGAATTTTAGACCAATATCCTTGATGAACATTGATGCACAAATCCTCAATAAAATACTGGCAAACCGAATCCAGCAGCACATCAGAAAGCTTATCCACCATTAGCAAGTGGGCTTCACCCATGGGATGCAAGGCAGGTTCAATATATGCAAATCAATAAATGTAATCCAGCATATAAACAGAACCAAAGACAAAAACCACATCCTTATCTCAATAGATGCAGAAAAGGCCTTTGACAAAATTCAACAACCCTTCATGCTAAAAACTCTCAATAAATTAGGTATTGGTGGGATGTATCTCAAAATAATAAGAGCTATCTATGACAAACCCACAGCCAATATCTTACTGAATGGGCAAAAATTGGAAGCATTCCCTTTGAAAACGGGCACAAGACAGGGATGCCCTCTCTCACCACTCCTATTCAACATAGTGTTGGAAGTTCTGGCCAGGGCAATTAGGCAGGAGAAGGAAATAAAGGGTATTCAATTAGGAAAAGAGGAAGTCAAATTGTCCCTGTTTGCAGACGACATGATTGTATATCTAGAAAACCCCATTGTCTCAGCCCAAAATCTCCTTAAGCTTATAAGCAACTTCAGCAAAGTCTCAGGATACAAAATCAATGTACAAAAATCACAAGCATTCTTAGACACCAATAACAGACAAACAGAGAGCCAAATCATGAGTGAACTCCCATTCACAATTGCTTCAAAGAGAATCAAATACCTAGGAATCCAACTTACAAGGGATGGGAAGGACCTCTTCAAGGAGAACTACAAACCACTGCTCAAGGAAATAATAGAGGTTAAATGGAAGAACATTCCATGCTCATGGGTAGGAAGAATCAATATCTTGAAAATGGCCATACTGCGCAAGGTAATTTACAGATTCAATGCCATCCCCATCAAGCTACCAATGACTTCTTCACAGAATTGGAAAAAACTACTTTAAAGTGCATATGGAACCAAAAAAGAGCCCGCATCGCCAAGTCAATCCTAAGCCAAAAGAACAAAGCTGGAGGCATCATGCTACCTGACTTCAAACTATACCACAAGGCTACAGTAACCAAAACAGCATGGTACTGGTACCAAAACAGAGATATAGATCAATGGAACAGAACAGAGCCCTCAGAAATAACGCTGCATATCTACAACTATGTGATCTTTGACAAACCTGAGAAAAACAAGCAATGGGGAAAGGATTCCCTATTTAATAAATGGTGCTGGGAAAACTGGCTAGCCATATGTAGAAAGCTGAAACTGGATCCCTTCCTCACACCTTATACAAAAATTAATTCAAGATGAATTAAAGACTTAAACGTTAGACCTAAAACCATAAAAACCCTAGAAGAAAACCTAGGCATTACCATTCAGGACATAGACATGGACAAGGACTTCATGTCTAAAACACCAAAAACAATGGCAACGAAAGCCAAAATTGACAAATGAGATCTAATTAAACTAAAGAGCTTCTGCACAGCAAAAGAAACTACCATCAGAGTGAACAGGCAACCTACAAAATGGGAGAAAATTTTCGCAACCTACTCATCTGACAAAGGGCTAATATCCAGAATCTACAATGAACGCAAACAAATTTAGAAGAAAAAAACGAACAACCCCATCAAAAAGTGGGCGAAGGATATGAACAGACACTTCTCAAAAGAAGACATTTATGCAGCCAAAAAACACATGAAAAAATGCTCACCATCACTGGCCATCAGAGGAATGCAAATCAAAACCACAATGAGATACCATATGACACCAGTTAGAATGGCAATCATTAAAAAGTCAGGAAACAACAGGTGCTGGAGAGGTTGTGGAGAAATATGAACACTTTTACACTGTTGGTGGGACTGTAAACTAGTTCAAACACTGTGGAAGTCAGTGTGGCGATTCCTCAGGGATCTAGAACGAGAAATACCATTTGACCCAGCCATCCCATTACTGGGTATATGCCCAAAGGAGTATAAATCATGCTGCTATAAAGACACATGCACAAGTATGTTTATTGCGGTATTATTCACAATAGCAAAGACTTGGAACCAACCCAAATGTCCAACAATGATAGACTGAATTAAGAAACTGTGGCACATATACACCTTGGAATACTATGCAGCCATAAAAAATGATGAGTTCATGTCATTTGTAGGGACATGGATGAAATTGGAAATCATCATTCTCAGTAAACTATCGTAAGAACAAAAAACCAAACACTGCATATTCTCACTCATAGGTGGGAACTGAACAATGAGAACACATGGACACAGGAAGGGGAAGATCACACTCTGGGGACTGTTGTGGGTTGGGGGGAGGGGGGAGGGATAGCATTGGGAGATATACCTAATGCTAGATGAAAAGTTAGTGGGTGCAGCACACCAGCATGGCAAATGTATTTATATGTAACTAACCTGCACATTGTGCACATGTACCCTAAAACTTAAAGTATAATAATAATAAATAAATAAATTTATAAAAAGAAAATTGTTGTTTAAAATAAGTAAAAAAAATTGATTTTTTTCACCATATAGATTTATCTTTCATTTGACCTTTATTTAATTACAAGTTTTAGTTAATACATTTTATTTTACCTTTATGATAGAAATATCAGATTCTTAAACTCAAAGCATTAATGATGCCTACCCAAGTGTAGTTTTTATTGCCAATTAACTTTCTACTATGATGCAAATTTGTGTGTCCTTCTAAAAACTCATTTGTAAAAATTTAGTCCCTGATGTGATAGTTTTAAAACATGTAGCCTTTTTGGAAGTGACTAACTCAGGAGGGCTTCATCCTCATGAATGTAATTAATACCCTGTAATAGAGGTTGAAGGGAGCACCCTTGTCCCTTCTGCCATTGAAGACACAGCAACAAGGCATCATTTATGAGAAATGGGACCCTCCCCAGACACTAAATTTGCTGGTGCTTTGATCTTGAACTTTCCAGCTTCCAGAACTGTGACCAACGCATTTCTGTTATTTATACATGACCCAGTCTAATGTATTTTGTTTTAGCAATCTGAACAAATGAAGACACTTTCTGATGCACTGTGGTTTATTTTTGAATTTATAGTTCCACTGAGCTATCTATATATTCAAAAATCAACATGTCTCACAGGGTGGGACAGCCACTCTAATTATTTTTTCAGAGTTTTCTTAGCTGTTCTTATTTGTGTTTTCATCTATAGGAGTTCTCCAATACAATGCCTGCTTCCACTACCAAATGGTATCTATATTGGGACAAAATTAAATTTATTAATTACTGCTAAAAAAATTGATGATTGAGTAATAATGAGTTTTTCTGCTTTAGAACATGATGTGATTTTCTATTTGTTTATGCTGACTTTCCTATATTTCGAAGACTTTTTATGTTCTTTGTCATACATTTTACAAATTCTTGTTAGATCTATGTATAGCTAGTTCATTTTATTTTGTCCTGTTGAAAAGTAAACTGTAGCACAATACAAATTATACAAGTTTTCTTGGCAGGGAATGATGATGCATATCTGTGGTTCCAGCACTTTGAGAGGCCAAAGTGAGAGGACTACTTGACAAGCCAAAGTGAGAGGGGTTGAGGCCAGCCTGGGAAACATAGTAAGACCCTGGCTCTACAAAACAGAAGAAGAAATTAGCTGGGTACAGTGGTGCATGCCTGTATTTCCAGCTACTCATGAGGCTAAGGCAGGAGGATGGCTTAAGCTCAGGATGTAAGGCTGCAGAGAGCTTTGATTCTATCTATGCACTCTAGCACGGGCGACAGAGCAAGAACCTGTTTCAAAAAACATTTTTTTCTTGAGTAACAAGCAACTAATGAATTGTGGAACACCGGACCAAAAGAGGTTTACCATTTTAGTGGCAAAGTGTCAGAGGTATTGAAGAAATGCGGGAGCAAAATATTAAAATTATTTGATTCATTGCAGGTATAAAATTGTCTTATTTGGTTTACCTTATAGACATATATTACTATAAGCTTTTTGAGTATTTCTGATAACTTAAGCTTAAATTCTGTTGTTGTTGTTTTTCTAATACAGGCATTCACAAAAAATAGCTCGCATTATGTTTTGCTTCTTTGCAAATCAACAAGATGATGTCACTGGGGAGGTCTAACTGATTCTGTCTGCTCAGGAATGTTTCCAAGGCTTGGTCTCCTTTTTAATTTACTTTATAAATCATTTTGTAATTTTTATCTCCCACACATTCTGTATCTTGTTAATTACTTTTATACATATGTAAATATATTTTATGTATGATTTCTAAGTATATCACTCATGAAAATTGACTGTGACACAGGCATACCTTATCTTATAGCACCTTATTGTGCTTCACAGATGTTGGATTTCTTACAAATTGAAGGGTTTTGGCAACCCTATATTGAATGACTCTATTAATACTATTTTTCCAACATCATGTCATCTTTGTGTGTGTGTATACCTCTGTCAGCATTTTTTAGCAATAAAGTACATTTTTTATTAAGGTATGTATATTTTTAATATAAACATGGGCTATTTCAATTTTATTCTACAGTATAGTGTAAACATAACTTTTATATGTTCTGGGAAGCAAGAAAAATTGTGTGACTCACATTATTGCAATATTTGTTTTATTGCACTGGTCTAGAGCAAAACCCATATATCTCAAAGGTACATCTATATATTTTTATTGAATTGGCCCCATTAACTGAAACGATAAATTGCTATTCTTTGACTAAACAAGAGCTGTGGAGTGTGGAGAGGTCAGTGTGAAAATGAAGTAGAAGTGAATATAAACAGTCTTCTAACTCACACAGGTAGTAATACAAATTAATTATGGATGAAATATAAAATTATCTAAAATTGAATATTCTCAGAAACATTAATGTTTATATCATTATGTATATGGACATTAAGAACATAATAAAAATAAATTTAGATGATGAAGGCTTTCATAATCTCAATGTAAAATGCAAGAATAAAAAATATAAAATTTATCAATGTATAAAATAAATGACAATATTTATATTATATTTAATATCCTGCAATACAGTACAATCAACTGTAATGTATAAAATAGAAGAAAGTTTAAATATGGAAAATTTAAAAGGAGGCAAATATGAGTCAGGTAAAGAATAAATAAGTATGATCAATTATATTTAAGATACACTGACCTGAGTTTTATGGAAAAATATTAATGGTAAACACCTTGTGGAGTGATTTCACCATAATTTTATTAAACTGTAAAAATATATTAACATTTTCCCACAGGGAGTACAATTAAAGATTTGTGGATATTAGTCCTCCATGGGCTCAGCGTGGGAAAGTTAGAGGCTACAGCCTTTTCTGAATTAAAAGAGAAACATATAACTTTTTATTTATTTTTCTACAATTTAAAATTTGCAAAGGCATATGAATGATTACATCCTAATATTTGTCTGATTATATAGAAATGCATGACTGTCACCAGACATCTGAAAGACATCAAATGTCTAACAAGAAACATAAAATTTGTTTATAATCTTAGCCCTCTGTGAAATGCAGGGTTCACCATTTTGAGTATATTGTTCAAGCTACTTTCCTATAGCAGGTTCTTGCTCTCATTCCAAGACCTGCAATTTCTGCTGAATGGGGTCAGGGTGCACCCAGCTCAAGCCTCATCTGACCCACTGACAGGCTCAGTTATCTCCTGCCCAGGCAAGGGATGGGCTTCTCTATCCAGGGCTGGATCCCCAGGGCCAGGCAATGTGGCTGAAACAAGCCAGTTCTTAGCAGGGAAGACATAACCTACCTGGGTGGCTATAAAATAGAAGGTCTGCACCTGAGCACATAGAGGCCGCCAGAACCGGGCAAGCTGAGTGAGCTGCTCCCAGGTCAGTGGAGAATGGACCTGCTGCACCGATACCCAGTATAGGTCTTGATAAATGGCCTTGACACAGCTTGTAAAGTCACCAAGCTTTTCTGAAATGACAGCCATTGAACTCCTAGGGTCTGAGACCTGTGCTGCTTGGTGCACCCAGTGTGAGTCATGAAAGGCCCTCTGTGGTGGGCATCACAGGTCTCCTTGAGTTTATTGCTGTGCAAAGTGGAGGACTTTAGTTTCTTTTTCAACATCAAGCTGTGCTCCTCTCCTGGACAGATCCCCGCAAAAGAAGCATGTGAGTGAGATACTCGCCAGCACAGTTCCCACCGACCCTCATTTCCAAAACCTCCCATGCACCTTCAGGTGAACATTTGAATCTTCCCCTCCATCCTGACCATATTAGTACTTAAATGAAGTGAAATTTAACACCTTCTGAGTCCCCAAATATTCTCTGAGTGCCAGGATCTCAAAAATTTTTTCAGTCACCTTGCTGCTCAAACCCTCTATAAAAGTCAACTGCTTATTTTCCCTTTGGGGGAAAAAGGCAAAATTCTACCAGCTCTGTCTTGGCAGCTGTCCTTGGAACCGATTTTCCTTTTCTTGGAGTTTCCCTCATGTGAGCTCGACTCTGGTTCTGTTGATAAAATAAGAGTTTGAGTAAGTGTCTCCAACCAAACACCCTAGAAGCCTTAGTTCATCCTGGACACAAAGGAGCTGAAGTAGCTATCAAACCCAGCTCTCCTCTGTTCTCCAGAATCCATGTCTATATGGCCCTGGCTGCCAAAGAGCTCCCAGTTTCCTTGCCAGGGGAGACTGTGTTGCAGCCCTTTCTCTTTTTACCTTGAAAGAGTCAAATTTTACCTAATCTAGCAGTGCTGTTTCTAGCTTTGGGCTTAGTTTTCTCAGAATTCTTCTCTTCATTTAGATTGGGCTCTGATCCTAGTGCAACATGGAATTTAGGTGACTCACCTCTCTCAGACACAGAGTCTCATAGTCTATCTCTGACAAATATTTGTGGATCAGTCCTTTAAGTGAAGCTCTTCTGCCAGTGTCATAAGTGAAGATGTTTCTCAAAGTCTCCCCAGGGCTCTAAGCCATCTTCCATCCCCAATTTCAAAATAAAACCCTACCCAGAGACACACAGCTCAGTATCCCTGATTCCAACACTCCTTCCAGCCTCCATAGGAACAGCCCAAGGCATTACCCTGTCTTTGCCTGTGCTTCTCACTGGAATGGGAGGAGGGGGTCTCGGCTTTTTGTTTGAATTGTCTCTTCTTATCTGAGCCCTTTTCTGTAAAGGAGATCTGTTGGAAAGAAGGCTGGTCAGTGGGGCATTGGATGGAGGAGCAGTGGAGAATTAGGGTATTCATTTCCCTTTCCCTTGTTTAAGCTCAAGTGAAAGGTGCTCTCTCTTACACATCCAGATTCAGACTGTGTGTTATTCTGCTGGACCTGCCTTTTACATGTCCTTGGCTGGACGTGGCATACTCCTATTGACTGAACAGTTTCCTTTTTCTTGCCACTCATTAGGGCCTCATAAGAAAAGTTTCTTGCTGTAGTTTTACTAGGGACCTAGACACAGTTAAAGAGGGACATTTTCTGGGTCTTGTCATAGTGTAAAAAAACCCTAAACAAACAAAAAACAAAGCCAGGGGCACAGGAATCAGAAAATAGGGGAATCATTTTTCTAATTTCTGTCCCAATTCCACCTGGAAGTATTTATGATACTGTTTATTTTTCAACATGCAGAATTAAACATACCTATATTGAAATGTGTCATACATTTGGCAAAGGAAGAGAATTACACATAGTGTTAAAATCATGTACATAGATATTATAATTTTTCAAATGCTTGGAAATGTCAAATTAAAATTATGGTTGATTGTATTAAATAGATACATATATGATAACATAAAAATATGAAGAAAAAGTAAATACCAAATAAAATGGCTCAAATAATTAGAGATTAGACAATTAATTAGACAATAATTAGATCAAATACAATCAACTCGAATTTATTTAATTAGAGCAGATGCTAACTTAATCAGCGCCTGATTCCTGAGGTAGCAAAAAGTCTAGGTGGAGAGAGAAACTTACCCCTTTTCTTACCCTTCCTCGGTCATCCTGGGAGCTCCACTTTCCTCTGTAGAATTTATTCAGCCTCCTTAGTAAACATGGACTTGGTCCCAAACAGGTAACCCAACTGACCACAAGAAAAGCAGCCTAGATCCTGAGCATTCAGCTCCTGTCTTCACACAACAGACACCACCTCAGTCCCATCAAAGCCTGTGAAGTTTCCCTACATCCACCATTGAGACATATTCCAGAGCAGCCTCTCAAAATTGCCTTAACAGGATGGGACACGATATGGTGGAGCTCCTGGCTCAGGACAGCTGCCTCACCCCTTCCTACTGAGAAGTCTGTATCTGCTGGTTAGAGCTATCAAACTGTAGAAGGCTTAGTGCCTGTCCCAGCAAGTGTCCCCTCAAAAGCCTTCTTGTTTTCTTTCCTTCTGAGAAAAGCATACAAGAATGAGACCTTCTATGTTAGAGAGAACTCAGCCTCCACTCTCAATTGACTTGGTTGACTGATGAATTGATGCCCTGAGGAGGGGATAGATTCAGGGAAGAGACTGTGCTGAATGAGTCTGTGTTTTCCTAGCTTTGCTGTCTGTGCAAATAGTGGAACCCAGAAAAATATCGGGTGGTAGACACACAGACACTCTAATTGTCTGAATTTAAATATTATTTAAATGGAACTTATAGTATCATTATATATTGATACCATAATATCACATAAAATTTGTTTGATATATAAACAAATATTGATATTTTATCATAATATCATAAAGCAGTTGTGCACACAATAGCAGATAATATTCTCCGGTTCTATAAAGTTTATATGTTAATGTTCTTACAAAATTTAACTCAGTTATTTTATAAAATTACCTAACAAAATTTTGTTACTGTGCTATCATAATAATACATAAAACTATGAAATCATAATATATTGTAATATAATACATATGAATTATGATGTCATAATGTATTATATCACAATACATATGAATTATGCCATAATATATTATGTCACAATACATACAAATTATGTCATAATATAGTGTGACATCATGATGCATGTGAATTATGATGTCATAACATACTGTGATGCCACAATACATACAAATTATATCATAATATAATGTGATGTCATAATATATTCATTTATTATATTTATGATTTTATAATAACATGAAATCTTGTCAGTTAATTTTATAAGAAAATTGAGTTAAATTTTGTAACAACATTAACATATGTAGAAGCTTACAATCATGGTGAAAGATGAAAGATGAGCAGGCATCTCACATGGTAGGAGTGGGAACAGGAAAGTTGGGATAAGGATACGCCTCATTTTTAAACCACCGGATCTCATGAATACTCACCATGACAAGAACAGCACAGAGCCATGAGGAATCCATCCCCATGATTCAAACACCTCCCACCAGGCCCCACTTGTAACATTAGGGATTAAAATACAATATGAGATTTGGAACAAATATCTAAACTATATCGTATGACCATTGGAAAAACAGATGAAACATTCATGGTTTCTACTGTCCAGATACTTTCATTCCAGAGCAAATGGCTAAATGATTGCATTCAACATTCTGAGGTCAGAAGAGAGAAGGGAGGTGTACAGGGGACTTTGGCTGCATTTGTTCCACTTCCCATATGCTGTTGTTGTGAGTTCTAACATTATCACCAGAAAGGCTATTCATGGACAGAAGAATTATTGCTATTGTTGTGATTATTTCTATTTCTTTTACATTAGTAAAAATAATTTTTTTAGCTTCTCATATAATTTTCCTAAAAAAGCCCTAAGAGTTTTCGTTAAATTCCTTGTTATTGTGTGTCATAAAAATTGACAGGGAAATGGCTAAAATAGATTAAAATTACACAAACTCTAGGAGTCAATTCTATCAGGCAGGCTTAGGAAAGACAGAACTGGAAATACTCCACCAGCAGAACACGAGATGCATAGGGCCCACTTTCTGTCCCTGCTGTCCCCAGGTCCACCCTCTTCTAAGGCCTCCTCCAGGTCTGGCTTCACCCTAGAATCTCCTCTCACAGAACTAATTAAAGGAGATCAGAAATTTGAGTGGTGACTCCTGCTGCCTCTCCTGCGCTGGTGCCCCCAATTTCCTGCAAATAAAAAGCAGATAAATGGGAGCAAATAGTTATCTATTTGTGGGCCACAATTTCTTTTTCATTGAAGCCATAGAGACATCCCATCTAGCAACCTGTTTTTTATTTTTGCATATCCAGTAGTTGCTCTACAAGGCACAAGAAAGTCAATATAAATACCAAAAAATCCCTCTGAACAGTTCATCCTTTCTTTCTGTATCCCTTTCATCTGTCTATACAGCTTTTATTCCATACATTTTCTTTTTAAGGTAAATAAATTTAAAAAGTGAAAGAAAAAATAGAAATGCTGGGCCCTTCTTCTAAATCCTAGAAATTATGGAACACAGCACCCACTTCCCAGGGTGTTATGAGGATTCACTCACATCATGTAAAGTTTCCAGCACAGTGGTCTGTAACAGACTTCTGAACACATAGTACATGCTTAATAAGCATTGTATTAACTCATGTGTACATGTTTTTTTTTTTTAATCCAGACTTACTCAAATGTTGATGCCTTCTCTAGCCTCTGTAATCTTTAAAGAACTGGCAAAAAATGACATGTTTGTAAATGGTGATTGGTGGTGTCCACGTTGAGCCAAAACTCTCTGTGCTGTGGTAAGAGTGTTGGGTATCAGGAATTCTGTGTGCTGTGCCTACTTTCTCTAGATGATTGCTACTACCACGGATGTAGTGGGAGAAACATCAGCATTAAGAGGAGAATTTTTAGAGAAGCTATTTCACGGACCCCTTCCAAAACTGCAAAATCACATCACTAAGAAAAAGGCCTGGAATCAGAAATGATTTATATGTGCATTGAAAATTGAGGGGCAATACTTCTCTAGGTGGCTCTCAGAATAGGCTTTCAACTATAATCACATGACCCCTTTAAAGACCTACCATAACCTGTACCCTCACCACAGATCCTGTCTGTTGATCTTGGTGGGAGCATCCATATGGTTTTAATTAGGAAGTCAAATTGTCCCTCTTTGATGATTACATAATATTATATCTAGAAAAATCTAAAGACCACCAAAAACCTTTTAGATTGGATAAATGAAATTTAATAATGTTTCAGGATTATTAAAAATCAATGTAGAAAAATTAGTAGCATTTTTATACACTAATAATGATCAAGCTGAGAACCAAATTAAAAAGTCAATTCCTTTTACAATAGCTACAAAAGTACCTGGAAATACAATTAATCAAACAGGTGAAAGATATCTACAAGGAAAACTACAAAACATTGATGAAAAAAATTGTACATAATACAAACAAATGAGAAAAACATCCCTGCTAATGGATTGGAAGAATTATCATTAAAATGACCATATTGCCCTCCAAAAATCTACATATTAAATGCAATTCCTACCAAAATGCCAATGTTATTTTTCATAGAATTAGCAAAAGAATTAAATTTATTTGTAACCATAGCAAAGTCTGAATAGCCAAAGCACATTTAAGCAAAGAGAACAAAGTTGGAGATATTACACTACCTGACTTAAAATTATACTAGAAAGCTTGAATAACCAACACAACATGGTACTGATACAAATAGACACCCAGATCAATGTAAGAGAATAGAGAACCTAGAAATAAAGCCACGTACTGATCATTTACAAAATCAATAAAAGCATACATGGAAAAATGACATTCTATTCAACATGTTGTGCTTGAAAAATTATATTACCACATGCAGAAGTATGAAATGGAACCCGTGACTCTCACCATGTAAAAAAATCAACTCAACATGGATTAAAAGACTAAAATGTTAGACCTGAAATGATAAAAATTCTAGAAGAAACCCAATGATAAATGCTTCTGGACATTGGCCTGGGCAAATAATTCATGACCAAGATCTCAAAAGCAGATGTAGCAATAACAAAAATAGACAAATGGAACTTAATTAAACTAAAAAGTTCCTGAAAAGGAGCTTTTAATTAGCAGGTGAGCAGACAACCCATGAAATGAGAAAAATGTTTGTGAACTATACATGTGACAAAGAACTAATGTCTACAATATACAAGGAAATCAAACAACAAGAATAAAACAAGTAACCTCACTATAAAGCAGGCAAAGAATGAGAACAGATATTTTTCAAATAGAAGACAATGATTGCCAAGAAGCATGTAAAAAATGTTAAACATTGCCAATGATCAGAGAAATTCCAATTAAAAATCGCAATGAAGTACCATTTTATACCATTCATAATGGCTAATTATTAAAAAGCAGAAAAATGACAGATACTGGCAAGGATACAGAGAAAAGAGAACACTTATTCATTGTTCGAGGGAGTGTAAATTTCTACAACCTCTATGGCAAACAGTATAAAGATTTTTCAGAAAAACTAAAAATGGAATTTCCATTTGATCCTGCACTTCCTCTACTGGGTATCTACCCGAAGGAAAATAATTCATTACATAAAGAAGATACCCACACTCATATGTTTATTGCAGCACTATTCACAATAGCAACGATATGGAGTCAGTTTAAATTTATCAGTCAATGATTGGATAAAGAAAATGTACTATACATTTATTCCATGGAAAACTACTCAGCCATAAAGAATAAAATCATGTCTTTTGCAGCAACATGAATGCAACTGGAGGCCATTATTGTAAGTGAAATAATTCAGAAACAGAACATAAAGCACTACATTTTCTTACTTACAAGTGGGAGCTCAATAATGCATACACTTGGACATAGAGATTGGAAAAATAGACACTGGAGACTCACAAATATGGGAGGTTGGTAGAGGGGTTAGGAATGAGAAAATACCTAACTGGGAAAATGAGCACCGTTCAGATGATTGTTGCACAGAAGCCCACACTTCATCCCTATGCAACATGTCCCTGTAATGAAGCTACATTTATACCCTCTAGTGTATTAATAAAGAGAAAAAAACTGACTTTTTTTCAGTTTTGACAAGAGGGCAACTGACAAGAGGGCAGACTGAATAGACTTTATAATTTTCATAAATATTTATATTAGAAAAATAACTTTAATAAAAATAAAAAATAATATTGTATTTTTAAGAATGGTATAAAAAGATAATTTGATGAATTGGAATAGTTAGGACTTAGCACATACAATATGTTAAGCAAGATTCTAAGCCATTAGACATTTGTAGACAGAATATCTAACAGTATAAAATAAATAACACAAATATTCATTGGCAATGACAAATTGACATATTTTCAATCCTATTAGATGATATTAAAACCATTACAAAATTTACTGTTTTGTTTCATAATAAAAATCGTAATGTTAAATAATTTCATTTAAAAGTTTGACTAATTAGGCATATAGAGAAATGGGCAGTATGTTGACCAGTAAACAGGATACAAATTATTTTCGAAAAGCAAACAACATTTTTATATTTTATTTATTTATTTATTTTTCTGGTCGGAGGAGCTGCTTTATTGTCTGAGGACATAGTACGGTCCTCTCCCTGGGAGGTGGGGTCTTCCACCGGTCACCCGAGGCAGTGTTCCAGGAGGCTCCATGCAACTCACTGCTGGGCTCAGCTGGGGGCTGGGCCTTGGAGAAGGCGAACTGTGCAGGGAAGCAGTAGCTGTGGGTCCTCACCGCCCGCTCTGCTTTGCTGCACTGGGTCCCTGGTGCTCCTCGAAGTCCCACTGAGCCTGCGTCTCTATAGGACGGTGACCATCCAGCCCAGAATCTTCTAGTCAGAGCACAGTTTGACCAGGCCAGGCATTTCCGCTTCCTCTCCTTGGGCTGGACTTTGCACTTGGGTTTCTTCCAGTCCTTCTTCTGCCGCCTGTCTGCCAGAGCTTAAATTCCAGCCTCACAAATGTTCCAGCTAGAAAAGGCGTGTCCGCGGCGCCTCGCACACTGGTCTCTTGGAAGGCACGGGCGGGTGGATTCCTCCAGGGCCACCTGCAGGTCCGGGTGCTGGGCCCTGTGAGCTCGACCCCACCCCTGCCCCCCGAGCCCATCCACTGAGCCAACGGTATCCTCAGCCTTCACTTGCTTCCACCATCACACCGCCCTACAAAGCGGGTGTGCGCTCCTCAGCTCTCCCTGCATGCCAGGAGCCGCCTCCTCCCCTACCCTGGCCCTGGGGTCCATGCCCACAGAACGCTGGGCAGAGGTGAAGGAACTGGGAAATACCCCTTTCTCAAATGACTTTGGGGTCCGCCTGGTCTTCTCTACTCCCTCCCACCCTACCTGCACTGTTCCCTGGGGCCTGCAGTTTTAGCAAAGTTCCCTGCCCCCCACCCGTGTCAGGAAGCAGTCCTGATGCCCACTCCCACCCTTTCCCCTCTTCTGGCCCATTCTCTCTCCCCACTGGGTCACTGACAGGAATCCCTCTCCTCCCTGCTGTCCCTGGAGCCTGTCTGCTTTCCGCGCTCAGCCTCCTCCCTGACCGCTTCTCCCTCCTTATCCTGAATCTCCCGACTCCCGTGGGGTGGCCCCCCCACCCATCCCGGGGCCCAGGCAAAACCGACAAAATTATTTCAAATGGGAAGATCTGAATTCCACTGAAGTCATGACAACAGAAACCCTTGTGGTCATATTTTAAAGAATGATAGTAGCAACTATCCATGTAAAGTATAACTAGCCTTAAAAATACCCACCACTTTGCCAAAAACAACAACAAAACCATGTTATAGCTGAAAAACAAATTCAATAAACTTACAGGATACAATATTAACATGAAAATCAGTTGCATTTTTGTACAGTAACAACAAAGTATCTGAGAAAGGAATAAAGAAAACAATTCCATTTACAATATTATCAAATAGAATTAAATACTTAAGTCATTAAATAGAATGAGTTTAACGAAGAATAGTAAAGATCTGCATACTGAAAACTATAAAATGATGATAAAAAATTGAAGAATACAAAATGGAAAATATATCCTGTGTTCATCGATTCTAAAAATTAACATTGTTAAAATATCTATACTACATAAAGTTATCTACAGTTAAATAAATTTCTATCAAAATTTTAATGCCATTAAAATAAATGTAAAACAAACATTTGTAAAATTAGTATGGAGCCACAAAAGACCCCAAATAGCCAAATATTGAGAAGAATAAAAAGGCTGAAAGCCTCAAACTTCTTGATTTCAAACAATATTACAAAGCTATACTCATCAAGAAAGTATAGTACCTACATAGAAACAAATGGAATAGAATAGAGGACCCAGAAATAAATTCACACATATACAGTAAACTGATCCCACCAAATTAGGAAAAGATAGACACATCAAGAAATGGTGTTAGAAAAAACTAGCTATGCACACACAAAAAAGTAAAGCCTTCTCTTATCACAAAAATGAGTTTAAAATAAAGACATAAACATTAGAACTGAAATAATGAATCCTCTAAAAAAAAAAACAGGGAGAAAGCTCCTTGACACTGGTGGTGGCAACGATGTTTTGGCTTTGACAGAAAGAACACAAGCAACTAATGCAAAAATAAAAAAGTGGAGCTATATCAAAGTAAAAACTTTCTCCACAATAAAGAAAACAATCAACAAAATATAAAGACAATATATGGGATGGAAGAAAATATTTGTAAACCATATGTAGGATAAGATGTTGCTATCCAAAATATACATAACACTAGTCAATGTGGAAAAAAAAACTCACAGCAGAACAAAACAAAAACCAATTTCCTGATAAACTGGGCAAAATATCTGAATAGATGTTTTCCCAAAGACATACAAGTGGCCAGCAGGTATATAAAAAGATTCTCAACATTGCTAATTATCAAAGTAATGAAAATCAAAATCACAATGAGATATCACCTCATCGTGGTGTTAGCACAGCTATTATCAAAAATTCAAAATACAAAAAGTGTTAGGGTGCAGAGAAAGGAGAATATTTGTCCACCATTGCTGAACATGCTCACTGGTGCAGCCATTATAAACAAAAAAACAACACAAAAAAACAAACAAGAAAACCAGTAGGGAGGTTCCTTAAAATTTTTAAACTAGAAGTATCTTTAATCCCAATTTGGAGTATACAGCCAATAGACATAAAATTAGTATCACCAAGCGTACCTGCACTCCTCTGATACAAATAAATAGGTAAACTGTGAGAAAGAGATAATTTCAGCTTTAATAAAGAATGAAATTGTTTCATTTACAACAATGTTGATGAACCTTGAAGACATTATGCTAAGTGAAATAAGCGAAATACAGAAAGACAAATACTGCTTGATCTCATTTTAATGTGAAATCTTAAAGAAAGAAAGAAAAAGAAAGAAAGAAAGAAAAAATGAAACAGAGACTAGAATGGTAGTTACCATGGGCTAAGAATTGGGGAAAAGTGGGGAGATACCCATCGAAGGGTGCATACCTTCAGTTACATAATAAAAAACTTCTGGGGACCTTATGTGCAGAATGGTGACTATAGCTAATAATAACCTGTACTTGAAATTTGTTTACAAAAGTAGATCTCAGGTGCCCTCACCACATACACAGAAACGTATAAGGTAACTATGTGTGGGGATAGATATGTTAACCAGCTTGAGGTAATTTAAAGATATATACACATCTAAAAGCACTCTATTGTACACCCTAAACATACATACTTTTCAATATGTAAATCATAGCTCAATAAATGTGGCGAAAAAATTAAGAGTAATCAGTAGGTCATATTTAGCCACAGGTACACTTTATTTAAAACTCTCTTGTGAACTGTTTCTGGCTGAACCTGGGAACGCCCCCAGTACTTCTGACCCCTTGACTTCTCCAACACTACTTCTATTCTTCCTGTAGCTGGGGAAGATGTGATAGTTCCCAAGAGTTTTATGGTTTCCAGGCCATGCAGATCTGGGAGGGCCATCAGCCGTCCCCTTGCTCATTGCGCACAGCTCCAGGCAACCCATGTCAGGGCATCGCATCCCGGCGAGGGCCACAGCAGATAGCAGGGGCGAGGTAGCTCTTGGCTGCCTGCAATCCAATGGCCTCTGGCTCCACAGGCGTCCTTCAAGGCCCTACCACAGCCCCTCCTCTCATGACCAGTGAAGGCAATGTAACTGCAGAAGACACTGAGGAGGCAAGTAAGAAAAAATCTTGGCCCCCGTGTATTAATTATCATTAGATCACCCTTGTTGTATACAGGATCACTCTTTATCATTACTGCTGTAAAACCTGCTACAATTGGAAGAGAAAATGATCTGGAGCATACTCTTTGAATTCCTGAAGTTGCTGTCAGTAAGTTTCAGCAAAAATTTATTCTGACCATGATTTACAAAGTTATGTCCTTGTATATCAAGGCAGTCAAAATGAAACAATTGTTAATGGAAAACGGATTGTTCGGCTGACAACTAAATGTGAGCCTTATGTACCTAAGCATAGACATGAAATGAAAATTGGAGAGACTAGGTTACCCTTTCACATTCACCCTGGCAGTGATACTTGTGATGGCTGTGAACCACAGCAGGTTGGAACTCACTTTCACCTTGATAAGAGAGAGAATTGTTTATTGAATTAATTGTTTACAGCTAAGTAGGGGAAAAAAGAGTTGGAAATAAGAAAATAATTTTTAAAATGTGAGTAAAGTATGTTTTACATTATACAGACTATGAAGATGAATAGACATTGAAGAACCTGAAACATAAAGATACAGCTGGAAAAAGTAAGGAGCCTATTGGAAGTGAAGAACACTTCCAAAGAGTTGATGCACCTGCATCTGTTCATTCTGAAATTACTGACAGCAACAAAAGTCAGAAGATGTTTGAGGAGGTGGGTTGGAAAAAAGAAGAGGGCCTGGGGAAGGATGGTGGAGGAATGAAAACTCCAATTTTGCTTTAGCTTTAGCAGACACACGTAGGCTTGAGGACAGGCAATTCCTCCTCAATTGAAGATGTTCACCTTCTCCAAAACAAAAACAAACTGGGACAAAGCATGAGATAGGTTTTCTGAAAATTTCCCAGAAACTAAACCTTGAAAAGATGACCTAGGGACTAGGCCTTGGGTAAAAAGGGGCTGTCGAGTGAGGGTTAGTCATAGAAGAAAACTCAAGTTTTTTAAAAAATAGAGTTTGGAAACTCTTATTTATTTTATTTTATTTTTTGCAGAACTTTTCTCCCAAAAAGAGTCTGTGGCACAGTTTACCCCTTCCTGATTCAGAAATGTGTAATAAAGTTTGGTTTGCAACTTTTCAATGCCATTTTTTTAAACTAATAAATAGTGATTGAATCAAGTTATGCAGTAAGTGGACTAAAGTTTACAGGGCACAGATGAGTTTGTCAAACTTCATTATTTTATCGTGTCATTTATGACATCCATGTAAGCAAAAAGCCATATAAGCAAAATTCATATAACCACTAATGACTTAAATATACATTTGTCTTTGTCTCCATATATTCACAGTAAGACCCACAGCAAAAGAAATATCAAAAGTTTATAAAAATAAATCTGGCTATATGCATTCTTGTTTATGCCCTTTAGAACCTAGATAAAAGGACCTTTATAATAAAGGTCTAAATAATACCATTTAAAGCCTAAATAATACTATTTAGGCTAAATAAATAAATAAAGGTCCAAATAATACTATTTAAAGCCTAAATAATACTATCGAAGAACTAACGAACAGGTGACATACTATAGAAAAGTAGTCTTTTACTGTTTTCTTCTGTAAAGAATCTGTTGTTTTGTGCTATATATTCAGCATTTATATTTCATTTGTTTCATAGCTAATGAAATATTTAGATATGAACAACTGAGTACAGTACTGAAATAGTGCACTGGCATTTGTAATTTTTATAAATATTATTGCAGGCAGTGGAGTTGTGCCAGAGAAATCTGATTTCTAGTACAAAAGGAATACTTAGCTAGGGCCTGAAGTTTAAGATATTTATTGAACATGTCCTCAATTGCAATATAAACATTATAACATTTTTTAAAAATTCTTTTTAATACATTCTGAATTAAACAAAAATTTCAAATCATACCTTTTATGAAGTTAGGGAAGTGCTAATGAGGTAGAATGGCAGTTGAAGCCAAAACATCTGAATTTATGTAAATAATTTTACCCACATTAGTTTTTTGTTAAAGGAAACAATAATTCTCACCATATACTATTTACTGCAGTGAAGTATTTCAGAAACGTGTGCATAATACATAATTAATTTTCTAATGGTAATACATTCTACAAATTATTACAATTGTGGTTTCTTGAAGAGAGCAGTATTTCAAATGAAGAAACTTGGAATTTCTCATGAGGGGATGATCATGAGGATGATCATGAGGGGATGTCAAATCCATGTGGGTTGTTCAGTTTCTAACAAGACAAATGGAATAAACATAGATGAACTGACTGCAGGCATCCCCAGTGTGCTGTCTTCCATATGTGAGAACAAAATTATAAATTATGTTACACAAAAGGAGATAAGTTACTAGTGTGAAGCGTTAGATAAATTATATGGCACATAAAACTGAGATATGAGGTTTGTATTTACATGATTGACAATATAATAAAAAAAGAAACAAAAATAATGTGGAAAAGAACTACGAGATTGTAAAATCATATTTGGAAAAGAGGCAAATGGAAAGTAAACTATTGAAAATGTAGTAAAACTACTGTACAGCATACAAATTACACATTAAAATAGGCTGAGCTGATGAGAGGACTAATAAACTGAAACGCTGAGCACAATTAATGTAGTCATATACTTTTTAGAAGGCAAATTAATACAAAATACAAATATATTTATTTATATATGAAGATTAGCTGGGAAGAAATGAAAAATAATTTGTTTTACTAGACTATATAAACAGGAAGGTAATATTCAAAAAATCAGTGACTCATAAGTTTCAGAAATTGGAAACACATGAATCCTATCAAAGAAATAATGGTTTTGGTTATTGTGAATACTGCTTCAATAAACATGGGAGTGCAATTGTCTCTTTGACATACTGATTTTATTTCCTTTTGATATATACCCAGTGGTGAGATTGCTGGGTCGTATATATGGTAGTTCTATTTATAATGTCTTGAAAAATTTCCATGCTGCTTTTCCTACCTGGCCGGGGCTCCGACAGCTGGGCATCCGGCCGCAGTCCCTCTCTCAGGATCCCTCCACCCTCCGCCTCCCAACAGTTCGGGCTTTTGTGTACGCTGTGGCTGCTGCTTCTGCTGCCGAAGCTTGGCATTGGAGACACCTCGTCCTCCTCTCAGGACAGATCCATGAACCCATCGGCAGCGGCGGTGAGCGATGCCTTCCCTCTGCCACAAGGCGCCGCCTGCAGAGCCTGCCGCGTCCGCCACGCCCAGAGCGTACCCGCAGCTCAGCGCCGAGTTACTCCTGCTGGCGGTGGCCAGGGAGTGACTGGAGTCGCCGGACACCCCTGGGGAGCAGGCGAAGGAGGAGCTGCAGCCACCACGTCCTCTCTTTCCCCAGGGATGTGCAGAATTACCATGAAATTATGACTCCTCATCCTAAGAATTACCAATGGGAAAATTGGAGTCTAGAAAATGTTGCCATCATTTTAGCCCACCGGTTCCCCAATAGCTGTATTTAGGTGATAAAGTGCTCTCGAATGCATTGCACAGACTCAGTTGCCATGACGATTTTGTGAAAAGTAACATGTTTGGTTCCCCAGAACACAATACTGACTCTGGAGCTTTTAAGCACCTTTGTATTATTAGTTAATGCTTTTAAGTCATAATAGTTTATCAAAGAAAAATTTGAACGGTTGGAATAAGGACTCCACGCATGTAATTGCAGTCCAGTTTCCTGATATTACAAATCGTTTCCAGGGAGAAAAAGAGAGGACCTGTGAAAAACCTGATGAGTTGGCTATGAGTTTTTATCCACCATCACTAAATGATGCATCTTTTAATTTGACTGGATTCAATAAAGATTGTGTTGTTTTGAATCAGTTTCTTTTTGAATTGAAAGAAGCCAAGAAACGCAAAGACATAGATACTTCCATTAAAAGCATAAGAACAATATATTGGCTGGAGGGTGGTCATTCCGTAGGAAGTAATACCTGGGTTACTTATCCACAAGTCTTGAAAGAATTTGTACAGTGAGAGATTATTGTTCACACCCATGTAACACTTCACCAAGTACATGATCCAAAGAGATCTTGGATTGGAAAAGAGCAAAATAAATTTGCTTAGATACTTGGGGATATTGGTATGCAGGTGACTAGCTGAATTCATTTCATGAAGGAAGCTCCCTGTATAGAGAATCCCTTTAGAGTTCATGAAGTAGTTTGAGGCTACAAATATATTGATGTACTTGTTCAGTGGAAGAGCATAAGCACTTTGAGTGTTATGAATTCAGATAATGGAATGTAATTCATAGGTGCATTGTCAGTATGGGGGAAACACACGTTCCTGAAATATGAGTGAAATATGCAATAGTATTTCTTCCTTGGGAATGTGAGCAGTTTTTAATTTGTGTTGAGTTAGAATTAGTTAATTTAAAATCTAACAAGGTGGTTTGTGATAATACTGAGGAGATATAAGACCCTTAAAAGGAAAGTTACAACATAGTACTTCTAGAATATAACTAAAATTGTTTCTGTTGGAAATAGTGATTCTCTGAGTAATGTTACTAATCGTGGTGATATTTTAACAGTAATTAGCTATTTTGGCACTTAAAACTTGAATGGAAACAGTTTATTTCTCTTCAAACAAAAGCAAAGGCACAATGTTGTTTCCTATCATTTTGGAATAACTGTACCCTGCCTCTTGTGTTTTGTAAACTCATTCACTCATTCTTTAATGTGCCACCAAGTACTTTTTTCTTGAGAGTCAAAATATATTTGTTTCACAATGTCCAAAAATGTGCAAGAATGTAAAGCTGGTTTTTAAAAACATAGCCATGTGATGGCATGTGCCGTTAGTCCCAGCTACTCAGGAGGCTAAGGCAGAAGGATCCTTTGAGTCCAGGCTATAACGCACCATGATTGTGTTTGTGACTAGCTACTGCACTCCAGCCTAAGCAACATAGTGAGACCTCATCTCAAAAAAAAAAAAAAAGAAAAAGAAAAGAAGAAAAAAAAGAAAAACAGAACAAATTAGACTTAAGTACCATCACTTAATTTTTAGTTGACAGTCTTTAGTTGATTGTTTTGGATAAGACATTCTGGGGCTTCTTGAATCTTGGCCAAAAACCAGTTGTTTTTGAAAACTGTTTTAAATTAAGCATATTTATGTATTTTGGATAAAAATCAACTACAAAGAAAATTTTATTTTTTTCATTATATTAGTCTTTTTGAAAGAGAACAACTTAGGGAAGATAAATATATAATGCTCTATTTGTCAATGCTGTATTAAAAAGGAAACAGATTTCATAAATCTAAATCAATGTTTCTCCACAATCATGACTTTGTCTCAAAAAAAAAGTTATTTTTGGCCAAAATGCAAAATTATATTGCTGTGACAAAAGTCACAAGGAATCGCTTAAACATCATCCAGCCTGAGGCCAGATCAACATATGACAGTCACAATTTCAACTCTGAACTGCATCCATGTGTGAGATTTAGAGTCTCATTAGTGGACTCTGCCCATGTATGAGGTTGACAATCCTAATTGTTTTCTACATGTGTCTATGAGTGTCACAAGGTCACTGTTTGCTGGGCCCTGTTATGTAACTCTCTCTAAACCCCAAGGGGTTTATAAAATACATGTGAGTGTCATAATCTTCTGTGGCCATTTTAGAATTAGTAGACCAAGGACCTTAGTTGTTGCCGTAAGCCTAGCTATTAAAGTCAAAATTACTCCTCCTGGCTGGGTCCATGTAAGAAAGCTATCATCATGACTGTGGCCTGGGCCTAGGTATACGTCACACCCCACCTGTGAGCAGAAACAGGGAGGAAAACCACATCATCTGAATGCTGGGACAGGGAAATGTCAATATTGCTCAATTGGTAGGACCCACACAGGAAAGTCACATCACCTTTGTGCTAGGCTCAGTGATATGTCACAATGCCCACTGTAGACAGAACCTTGTCAAAAGAGTCATATCACCTAGGTGCTGAGCCCAGCAATATGTCACAATCCCCCTTGTTAACAGGGCCCAGTCATGAGAGGAGAGTCCTATCACCTAGATGATATGCCCAGATTTCTGTTACAAACCTTACTGGAGGCAGGGCACAGGCAGGAAAGTAGAGTATCATCACTCAGGTGATGGGCTCACAGGCACATTACAATGTCCCTTGTGGGTATGATCCAGACAGGACAGTCACATCAGCTCAGTGTTTGGGTCAGTTGTATGTAATAATCCCAACTGTTGGCAGGGCTCATGCAAGGGAGTAAAGTCAATCAAGTGGTGAGAAAAAAATTGTATTTCAAAGTCACACCTACAGGAAAGTCCAGGGATGAGATTCACAGTCCCACACATTTTCTGACTCCTAGGATAAGAGACAACAGCTTCTTTGAATTTTGTTAAAGTACACAAATCACAATCTCAATGGTGGACAGAATTCATGCATGAAAGCTCCAAACACACCTGCAAACACTGTCTAATTAGAGCAGCCACGATCTCACAGGTGTGCTGAATTTTGATATATAAGTCACCATTCTACCTGTGAACTGTATCCATGTATGAGAGTCACAATGTGAACTTTCAACTGATCTGGGTATGATATTCAGAACCTCAACAATGGTCTATGTCCCTATAGGAAGATGACATTCCTCTCTGTATGTCGTGTGTGCTTGGAAGAGTCAAAATGTCACCTGTGTGCTGGGCCTTTATTAGTCACCTTCTGTGCCACTTAATGGCTTCATATGGTCTGCATGAGAATGAAAACCTGCTCTAAGATTTCATGATGGCATAAACCCATGATCCTACATGTTGCCCTAAGTTGAGGCATGAGAGTCAAAACCTGTCTTATTTGCTGGCTCCATGTATGAGAGTCATCAGTGTGCCTGTGAACTGGGTTCAGAAATGAGCCACCATCCCATTTGTGGATGGATCCAGATATGACAGTCACAATTCCAACTGGGAAATGTTTCTGTAAGTGAGATCCAGGGCCTCGTGAGTGGGTTCTGTTCACATCTGTAATCTTTATACAATTAGGAGATGCAGAACCTTACTGATTGTTCTATGAGAGTAAAAATATCTTCTACTGGCTGGGCCCTCATATGAGAGTCTTCATTATTCCTGTGACCTGAACCTAGGGATATGTCACAATCTTACCTGTGAGTAGAACCAGGCAGGAGAGTCTCATCAGCTGAATACTGAGCCAGGGATATATTAGTGTTCCCCCTGTGGTTGAGTGCTGGTAGGATATTCACATCACTATGGTGCTGGGACAAGTGATGTGTCACAATGTCCCCTGTGGGCAGAACCCAGGCTAAGCATTACATCACACGAGTGCTGGGCTCATCAATATGTCACAATACCCTTTGGGAATGGGGCCCAGGCAGGAGAGTACAATAACATCATCTGGAAATGGGATGAAAGGAATATCACAAAGCCACCTGTGAGAAGGGACTAGGCAGGAGGGCTGCATTACTGAGGTTATTGGCTTAGGATATGTCACAATCCAAACTGTGGGCTTTATAGAGACAATATATTCAAATCAGTTAATTTCTGGCTGGACAAAAGTATATGTCAGTCACACATGTGGGAAGGTCTAGGAATAAAAGTTACATTCCTGCAGATGTTCTGGGTCCAGGTATAAAAGTATGCACCTCATAAACTTTTACACACCTCATTTGCCCAAGTTTGCAAGTCATGATATCAACAGTAAATTGGATCCATACATGAAAGACTCAACCTCAAACAACACACATTAGAAGAGTTAGAGCCTAACATATTTGCTGAATCTTAGTCAGAGACTCATCATCTCACCTGAAGGCTGGACCCACATATAAGAGTAATAATACCACCTTTGGACTGCCTTTGGGTGTGAAATTCAGAAATTCAATGGTGGGCTGTGTCCATGTGGGAGTGTGAAAAACTTTACTGTCAGGAGTGTATGCAATGAGAGTCAAACCTTCAACACTGTACTGGGCCTTGTTTTATTATTCTTTGCACCATCTGTGGGTTTTTATACTACGTGTGAGACTTGCAATCCACTCTGAAGCATTTGTCCTTGTATAAACCCATGATCTTACTGTTAGCTAAGTGTGCAGACAAGAGTCACAATTTTGTTTGTGTTATGGACCCTGTTATGAAACTCTCTTTACCACCTGAGAGCAATGTGCAATATGCTTGAGTGTTGTAGGGCTCTGTGACTTTTGTACAATTAAGAAACCCAGAACACTACCTGTTGCCCTAAGCCTAGTTACTAAAGCAAACATCTATTTTATTGGCTGGGTCCAGGTATGAGAGTCATTACTGGACCTGTGAGCTGGGTCCAGAAATGAGTCACCATACCACCTGTGGCCAGATTTACATATAGCAGTCACAATTCCAACTGTGGACTTCATCTGCATGTGAGATTCAGGAGCTCACCACTGGGCTCCCTTCATGCATGAGGGTGACAATTCTAAATTTCAGCAGGATGTGGCTACAAGAGTCACAACATCACCTGTGCTCTGGTTTGTATTATGAAACTCTCTGTACCACCCAAAGGCTTCATAATATACGTGTGTGTGTCAGAATCTCCTGTAACGTTTTACAAGTAGGAGACTCAGGACCTTACCCTTTGCCCTAAATCTATCTATAAGAGTCAAAATATCTTCTATCAGATGGATCCACATCTGAAAGGCATCATGATTCCTGTGTGCTGGGCCTAGTAAAGGTCACAATCTTAGCTGTGGGTGAACAGAAGGCAAGAGAGTCACATCACCTGGGTGACGGGCAAGAGATATATTACAATCCCTTCTGTTGACAGGTCCCAAACAAGGAGTTACATCACCTGGATGCTTGGCTCTGTGATATGTCACATTGCCCAGTGCAGGCAGGGCACAGGCAGGAGAGTCACATTACCTGGGTGCTTGGCCCAGTGCTATGTCACATTCCCTTACTTAGGGAGGGCACAGGTAGCTAAAGGGAGTCATATTACCTAGGTACTGGGCTAGAGCTATCAGTCTGTTGGTCATTCAGGGTGAGGGTTATGATCTCTTTAGACATCCATGTAACAGAGCCCCAACTCGTTCATCCTCAGAAGCAAAGGCCAGTGGAGACCAAATAAGGCTTGAAAGTTAAGTCCTCTAAAAAGGCAGAATGTCCTAGGCTTTGGCCTCTCCTCTTTAAGCACAACCAGATCATAACCTCTCTTTTGACTTCTCACTATGCCGCTCACTGGAACAAGGCTCCTGACTCCACACCCTCGTCTTTTCACCCCTGTACATTTATTGGGCAGACCAAAGACCCGGAGACCTGAACTCTGGGACAGTCTGGGGAGAAGCGAATCCAAAAAGGGTTGGGGCAGCAACGGCTGAGCTCCCACAGATGCCCCGGCCCAAAACTGCAGGCCCAGGCTGTGGTCCATGTGGCACTCAGTGCAGGTTCTGCAATGCCACTGGAAGGCCTAGAAAATCCACTTCAGCTGCTGCTTCTTCCTTTTCTTAAGCGCTGAAAGGTATACACTTTCCCAAGCTTTTCAGATACGGCCAGGCACCCCCAACTGAAAAGGGGGATAATCGCATTCTTCATCATGGTTTATCACCTCACCCAAGCACCAGCCAGCCCCAGCCTCGCCAATCCAGCTGCCCCAGGCTGGAGGAGATCCTGTCAAGCCTCCTCTCTGAAACTCCACTCCTCCTCTTTTTTTTCTTCCTCAACCACTGGCATACTTTTGGTCATCCTACTTTTCATCCCAATGGGGCACCTGATACCATAAAGACCTGGGAACCCCACTGATCACAGGTCCTACAGGGGTCAGGCAAACATACAGGAAGTCCAGAAGGACAGTCATCTGCCACCTCCAGTATGAGAAGAACAAAACCCCCGCACTCCATGAAGAAGTCAGGAACCCAGTGAAGGCTGCAGGTCCAGCCCACAACAACCTATGTATGTGGGGTGCTCCATGGCTCATACGTGTGTCCTGCAGGCTGGAGCCCAAGCGAGGGTTCGCAGTCTTTGTTCCAGATGGGGAACTACTACTTCAGCTTATTACCCAGGCTCCCTGATGGGGAAAGGAAGGAAATGGCGAGAATCTTCAGCACAGCAAATCCCATCGTCCTGGCAGAGACAACTCCTGCCTGCATGCCACACCAGCAGCCGCAGGCTAGAGGCAGTCACATCAGGCCTCCCTCTTACAACATTTTGTTTTGTTTTGTTTTTCGAAAGGCCCTAATCACCTACTTTCGGTCATCCTCCTTGTCACAATAGGGCACCTGACGCCATAGAGACTCGAGAAATGTACAGATCTGGGGTCCTGAAGCGTCCAGGCGAAGGTGCTGGGAGTCAGGGAGGAAAGTCCTTTGAAGCCTCCAGAAGCAATGTAACAAGACCCAGCACTGCAGGAAGAAGTGGGGCACCCAGTGGCAAATGCAGGCCTACGTGCAAGGTGCTCCCTGTCCCTCGCCTGCTCCCTGGAACCTGGAGCCGCACCTAGGATGGGGGGTCTCCATTCCAGACCCAGAATAAGCTCTTGGCTACCTCACCCAGCACCTGGTCATGCCAGACAGAATCTTGGCTGGGGCTTTCTCATGGTCTGCAGTGCCTTCCACTTTGGGCCACCGTAATAACACTTCTCCCACAGGGACTCTGCAGTGTCCGGCTCACCAGCCTGGAGTTTCTCATCACCCAGTGATTCCAAAAGAAACAATCTACAATGGCATGACCAAGTGCCAGAAACAAACAAACAAAATATCTGAGGTAAGTCCATTGGTTACTTCGATTTTTCAAAGGTAACATTTGTCCCTCCTTGAAATCCTAAGAGTGCATGAACAGGCTATTCTAATGGACGTGAAATTCACATTAAAACTGATTGACAGATGAATTCTGATTCCAAGGTACTTTGTATTCTCAAATTGCATCTGCTTACCCTGCCCCCCTCAAAATGGAAGAGTGATGACTATTTGTCATCTTAGCACTGTGGGGATGCAGAGCCTTAGATGGAAGTGTGTTAAAAACAACATTCCATAAAGGGCTGTCACTTCCAATTTTCAAGCAAGGTGGGAAACCAACCGTGATGTATGAAACACTGCTGGCCAATGTGCACAATTAGTGATACAAAATTGAATAATATAAACTATTGTAAATATGTGTGGACATTGTGGCAATTTGGACACCAAATAACACTGCCAAATTCAGGAAGAGAAAGCTGTAACCTCATGGTTGTTATGAAGCTTAACTTCTGGGTACTAGAACCTATCAAAATTTCTCCATGCCAATCTGTCCAAACAAACATTGAGATGTTTATTTCTATAAAATTCCTATAGAATCTTCCTGGGCATGACCCTTCTAGCCCCATCCTCACAGCACTGGTGCCAGAGGAACTGCACTTGCTCCTGCCTCCCCCTATATTTTTAGGAGTGGAAATATTTAGTGACAGGATGGATTGGGAGGGTACTGAGGCCTCCTGGGTGGGTGGGTCAGATCTACTGCAGCCCAAGCCTTTTTATAATAAATAACTTATAGGTAAATTAGAAAAGAATAAAAAATGGAACTCATTCTCTTTCTTTGCTCACCACAAAGAGAAACACAGCATCTAGAGATGCTGTTGGAGCCAGGCTTGTCCTGGGAAAGTAAGAAGTGCTTATCAGGAGCCCTGGGATTGAGGGCAGGTGAGATGGGTTCCCAGGAAGATACAGCCAGGGTCAGGTCTGGCCCACTCACACTGGAAGGGGCCTTCTGAAGGCCAGGAAAAATGGTCCAGGTCACTGAAACTCAAGCGGCCCATCTGAGCCAAAGATCTGTCCAGGTCGCAGTGAATCTCATCAGCACTGCCAATAGGGGGTCTGATCAGCCCTGAAGAGCTCCATCAATGGAGGCAGATGGCTGGTGGATGGGTCAGGAGAGCTGCCTACTGCCAATGTGGGAGTCCACTCGGTGTGGGTTTACTGCGCCTCTCAGTGGCCTGGATAACCTGCTGAGGCTGCAGCTTCTTCCCGTTTTTGAGCAAACGGGGACATGTATCATTCCCGAAGGTTTTCAGATAATCCCTGGTGACCCCTGGCAGGGGATGGTTATCTTGGCGATCCCCAGCCAGGCTTATTGACTTGCCCCCAGGCAACACCCAGCAATCCCGCGCCCACCCAGGCACTTAAGCATTTGTGGTAAGCCTCTTTCTGGAAGCTCGCCTTCTGCTTGCCCTTTGTCTTCCCCACCCCAGTACTTCTGGCCATTCTCATTGTCATCACAATGAGACAACTGGCTCCTGGAGACTCAGAAACTGCCATGCAGACCTTGAGTTTTTCCTAGGCCCGGCCAACAGGGTGGAGAATCTTCCATCTCCTAAAGGAGCAGAACAGACCAGGCATGTAGGAGTTGTGCCCCTGTGCAGGCTGCAGGAGCAGCTCACAACAAGGCCTGAACATGGGGTGCTCCCTTGTTTGTCCTTTTTTCCTGGAGGCTTGGGCTTGCCTGGCCAAGGTTGCCCTTCAGGACAGGGAATCAGAGCTTTTTGTGGCTGCCTTACCCAGCCAGGGCAGCACCAGAGAGAATCGTGGCTGAGGCTTTCCTGTGGGCTGCAGTGCCTGCCCCTTTAGGGTTTCCACAAAAACACCTTCCCTGCAAGTAATCCACTGTGTCCTGATTACCAGACGAGGCTTCCTCATCATTTGGTGATTCCAAAGAAAATAATCTACAGCGGAATGACCAAGTTCTAAAACAGGAGCACACAAATAATCTGTGGAAAGTCTGTTTGTCATCTAGATGTTTCGAATATACACATTTTCCCTTCTTGTTATATTCAGTCGTGCATGAAACTGATATTATAATAGATGTGCAATACACTAAAGCTGATTAAAGGGTGAATTCTTATTCTAAGGTACTTTGTGGTCTCAAATTTGTCTGTTCCCACCCCCAGGACTCCCTTAAAACAGAATAGTTATCACTGAGAGCAGAGGTAGAAAGAAACTAGCTAGGCAGATAGAGCAAAGAGTACTCAGCGTAACATCCCTTCTAATGAAAAGCAGCCCAAAAAATCACATCTCTTTAACAAAGAGCAACCTGTAAGTTCGGGCTGCAATCATAGATAAGTAAGATGGAAGCTTGTATGGGCAGGGATGGCTGCAGCTTCATGGATAGAAATGTCCAGCTTGGGCTAGATACATCCAACATGGGGGCTCCACTCCTCTTTGTAGCACACGCACCATAGGAAAGAGATAAGCAACTTGGAGTAGCTCAAAAGTCACGGAGCCTCAGTGTCCCTTCTGTGGAGCCCAGAACCTGATGCAGGTCTAAGTCCTGTTGTATGAACATGTCCTGACCCTGGCGGCCCTGGTGGTGGTGCAGCATAGGAAGTATAAGGGATGAGGTCTAGTCATGGGCCATGGAGCCTTTCTCATTAATCTTGGCTGTCTGCCTTCTAGGGAATATAATCAACACTAATAAAGGAGGAAGGTGAGCAGCTGGCGCTGTCGCTTTGAGGGAGGATGGCGATGTGAAAGTCAGTGACCACCGTGGGGAGGACACTCCCTGGCTCCATCCTCTGCATCTTAGATTTATTGGGACAGTTTGATACACAGAGAAGGAGGAGACCCATCCCAATGGAGGGTTTGATTAGATGAATATAATCAATGATAAATTCCTAGAGGAGGGACTTTTTATAATCAACTCTGAGAACAGGTTGGAGCTACATGGGATTGGAGGGGAGGGTGGAGCCCCTTAAAAGAAAAGCCCCAGAGACTGCCCCTGCCCTCTCTCTCCCCCACAAGTTCCATTTATTATCTTCCACCCAGGAGCTGTCAGAATCCTGCCCTTCCGTCTCCAGATCAAAGTCCTTCAGGAAATGCAACTACTTCAGTGACAAGAGATAATTATCATCTTCTGACAGAGGAGGAATTTGGGGTTTGGTCCCAGTCCATGAAGTGGCACAGTCAGAATAAAAGGTGAGAGCTTAGGAGATTAGCGGAGGGTAGAAGAACACTCTGTCTTGTGACCAGCTTCAGAGAGCCTGGGGCCATGGCTTCCTGGTCAACATTAGGCCCTGCTGCATGGTGACCCCTGGGCAGGCAGTGGGAAGCCTGAGGTGTGGCTCCTGGTGGCCTCACAACTGCCACTCTTTCCTGAAGCTCCTATTTGTTCTGTCAGCTAAGCCCCCATCCCAGTAGGCCAGCAACACACTCAAGACCAAGAACAGGCCATGGTGAATCTCAGGGCCACTGAGTGCCTGGGCTGGCAGGGGCAGAGTTCCTCAGGGCTCAGTGACATTTGGACTGAGCATGGGCTTTGGAGTCATACAGCTACACTGAGCTCCCAGCTTCACCGTGATCAGCCCTGTGTCTGGGACAGGGGCCTCACTGTTCTGGAACTTGAGACGCCATAGTCATAAATTTAACACACACTTCTAACTGCTTTTTCTTTTTTATCTGTCTTTCTCTATAATCACCATGTACTACTGGTCTCTTGTGTTTATTTAAATTAATAAACATGTTACACAGTGTGTATTATTCTTCCTCATGAGTTCTTTACTATATTCTATGATTCCACCCATATGAGGTACTTATGTAATTTCATTCATAGAAACTCAAAGTAGAAAAGCAGTTAGTTCTTAGAGGACAAAAGGAAGGTAAAGGGGGATTGTTGTTTAACAGGAACAGAGTTTGAGTTTTGCAAAATGAATAAAATTCCCTGTGAATGTGGATGATGGTTGCAGAACAATGTGTGATTAATTCCTCTGACCTGCACTTTTAAAAATTGTTAAAATGGTTAATTTTATGTATATTTTACCACAATGTTAAAAAGGACTTTTTAAAATGAACGGACTATAGATATCTGCAACAGCATAAATAAATATCACAAATATAATCTTACATTTAAAAATTGATGTAAAAGTATCCATACTCTGTAATTTCTTGTATTTAAATCCAAAAATCAAAACTGAGGTTCTGGCTTCCACTAATGATGAAGTAGCTAGTTTAACTAACAATCTCACAGAGAAAAATGATGAATCCCAGGTAAAACATTATATGTTATTATAGAAACACTTCTATATATAATAGATATATGAAATATGTGTGTATAAAAACTGAATGCATATTTCAGCTGTGCCCTCCATAGAAGAGAGAAGTATTGAAGTTAGAAGCCAGCCCAATTAACACCCTCTTTAAAGACAACACTCTTCAAACGGACAAAACAGAATCCAGAGTCTCTTTAACTCTTCTATACAGTCTCTAGTGCACAATTTTCCAATTCAGGAGATGCGTGAAAACACATGAAAATATAATACATACACAAGATAAAAAGCAGGCAGTAGACATCTCCAAGATGTCCAAGACATAATCAGCAGACAAGAATTTGAAGGCAGCTATTATAAGCATGCTCATGGGGGCAAAGGAAAATATTCTCATAAATGAACAGATGTGGAACATCAGCAGAGAAATGAAAAATGACCACATAGAAAAATAATAAAAATAATTGTGAGCTTTTCTATATATCAGAAACAGAAGACATAGCAATATAATTTAACCAATCTGAGGATAGAAGTAAAAATAGTTTAAAAGAAAATGAACAGAGCCTTAGACCTATCTGTGGGATGATTGATTCTGAGAAGAAGAGAGAGACAGAAAAAATTAAATGGGGTAGAAAAGCAAATCAACAAAATTTAAAGAAAATAAACCGAGGCTTAGAGACCCATGGAATCATTCAGTCTGAGAAGGAGAGGAGAGAGTCAGAAGAATTAAAAGGGTTACAAAAATAAATCAACAACTAATATCTGAAAACTTTCAAAAATTGTTCAAAAACCTAATTCTTTTTTAATCTAAAGATCCACAAACCCCCCACAAAAATACAAATAAAACCATACCAAGGCCATATTGTGATTTAAGAAACTAGCAGACAGGACTTTCAATTGACTTGATATGATTTATTATTTTTACTACTTATAAGAATGGAAATAAGTTCTCCTTAGTTTTTTTCTTGGAGAAAGTCTGACATGTGAGGCACAGATGAGTTATTAAAGGCAGATGACTTTCCAGCCTTGTCTTAAATGTTCCATTCTTTACCTTAGAAATTATTTAAATTTGTGTCTTCCAAATACTGTAGTAATATTGATGCTCCAAAGAGATGTCCCACGGAGATTCTGCTCTTGTGTGTCCACCCTGCAGGGAGCTGAGGCAGTTTCTTATGACAGTTTCAGAAGCGAGTAGTCGTGCAGTACTTAATCTAAAAAACTTAATGGAAACATGAATTAAGAGAATGATCACTGTTTAGTTCTATCAGCAAACTATTAAAAGTGATCCAAAGGAGGTATTTATAAAGAGATATTAAAAGATTTTTCAAGGGAGCCTTATTCAGGGCAGAAACGCAGACACTATCGCTGACCTCACCACAGAAAATACCCTCATGGGTTGGGAGGGACCAAGGGACGCTCTGGTCCTGCTGACCTGCATTAATCACAGCCAGGAGGTCCACACTAGTACCATGAGGCCTGGGAAGCAGCCTGCGTGGGGTCAGAGAAGTGGTGGATGTGGCTCCCAAAGTGGCTTACGGGGTCCCTTCCCTGTGGCTGTTTCCTTACTGGATGCAGCAGGGTCAGGCCCTTCCCCTGTGACGTTTTCTCCTCTTTATCACAGTGGCGGGAGCGTCCCCGTGAGAGGCCCGACCCAGGTGTGGGCCACGCTGCGAGCCCGAGGACCAAGCGGCACTCCTGGGATGCAGAGGAGGATTTGTGACAGCTTAGGGAACAGAAAAAATGGTTTCGAAAAGGCTAATGGCAGGTGACTAAGGACACGATGTTTTCATTACTGGCAGTGAACTGACGGTTTCATACACTAACAAGGGGGCTTCTCGAGGGGATCCCAAGGAGCCCAAGAACTGCCAGGTCGCCCACCATTACCCTACGCCTAAGGACAGGCTGCACTGAGCATGTCTGAAACGGTAGGCCCGTTAGCCCCACCCCTAGGAACGGGTGCACTCCGCATGTGTAAAAGGGCAGGACCTTTACCCCACCGCTAGGGACGGGCTGCACTACGCATGTCTGAAAGGGCGTGACAAGAGGGAGGAGCAAGAAGGGGCGGGGTGGAGGGGGAGGGGGGCAAGAAAAGGGGCGGGGTGCGCCCAACATCCGGCGGAGAAGTATTACCATGGCAACCCTCCCGCGCAGGCCATAAGAGGCAAATGAACCTTTGTTGGTTGGCGGGAAATCGAGACCCTGGCAAGGGGGCTTCTCCCTTGGAGAAGCCTGAGAACTGCCAGGTCCGCGGCCGTTAACCCGCCTCTAGGGACGGCCGCACTGCGCATGTCTGAAAGGGAACTAGAAAGGGAGGAGCGAGAGAGGGTGGGGCTGAGGAGGAGGCTGTGTGAGAAAAGGGGCGGGGCGCGCCCAAAGTCTGGCGGAAGAGCGTTACCCTGGCAACCCTCCCGCGGAGGCCGAGAGAGGCCACCGGCCCTTTGTTGATCTGCGAGAAATCAAACTACGAACACGACAAGCATTAGCCTGCAGCTCGAGGAGACAAGGTGTCACAATTACAAGGGGAAACTAGCCGCCCTAGCTCCACTGTCTCCCCAGCACGAGAGATTTGAGAACAGAAAGGCTTCCCTCCGCAGGGCGAAACTGCTGGGCTGCCTGGAAGGGCGAGGCAGGGAGCGGAACCGTCTTCAGGAAATTTCGGGAGTTCCGGGGTCAGGTCCACTCCCCGGCTGTTGTTGTGTTGTTGGCAGGGCAGAGGGTCTAGGATGCCAGCCTGCTCCGGGCTGCGCTGTGCGCCTAGCCCAGGGCGGGGGGATGCGGGGCGACACCCGCCTCCCGGTGCATCCAGGAGTTGTAGTCTCTTCACCGGTTCCCCACTGTGGGTGGTGGGGCTGCAGGAGGACAATTCAAATTGAGATAGGAGCGGAGGCGGAGCGCGGCCGTGCAGGGAGGGGCAGGGCGGTGTAGGCGGCTTCATTTACCAAGCTTTGCTGGCCATTGTTTCCATGCCAAACCCTTGCCAAGGGGATTGTCAGGAGAGGAACTTGAAGGGGAGGCGTGGGCTGGCCAGTGAGGAGGGTGTGTTTTTGCGAAGTGCGCCCCGTCTTTGCCGAAATTAGGAGTGTCTGGTCCTCACTCACGCGGCTCTCTGCTGCTCAGGTCGATTTTCTCTCCCACCCTCACCCAGGCTCTTTCCACAGCATCACCCCTGCCCCAGCCCCTGGAGCCACCTGCTTTCCTAAGTGGTTTTGGAAACTGGGCTGAGGTCCCAAAGGGTGTCCACTGTGCTGTTGCTCTCCGCTCTGTCCAAGCAAAGCACAAGCTCAGCCGACTTTGAAAGACACCCACCGCCTGGCCTGGGAATGCACAAGTTCAGAGCTTTGCAAGAAGTGATCATGGGCTATGGCTTTGTGAAAATGTCACCCTCACCAGTGCCTTTTTCGCGGACGTGGACGTGGAGGAATGAGGGAGGGTAATCACTGGGCTACCAAGGTACTGCTAAGAGCAGAAGAGAAAATCCCAGTTTTCAGCCATGTGTCTGGTTTGACATTTCACCAACCCATTTAAGTGTGCAGGCCCCCAAATATCTACCTAAAGATTATGATAGTTTAGGCATTTTACACTTGAAATTATTGACCTCATATCCACTGAAGCCTGACTGGCCAGTGTCTCAAAGACACAGATGATGACCTGATCCCTCAGGAACAGCTGGTGCTCCAGCTTTGTGGAGGTGAATTTCAAGGTATGGATTACTTGGGGGGTCGTTGAAACCTGTCAGGCTCAGGAACAGATGGTGCTCCAGCTTTGTGGAGATGAATTTCAAGGTATGGAGCACTTGGGGGGTCTTTGAAACCTGTCAGGTTTCATATCTCTGCTTTGTGTGAAAAGATCATCACCTACAGTAGTCAGGGATGTGCCTTTACTTACTGGTGCTCATCTGTTGAAACTTTATATCTAGACAATGGAAACATTGAGGAGCATTTCTGCTTTCATGTAGCCTCTTAATAATTGACGCCCTAAAGCCCTGTGTCCTCAGGGAGAGTTCCTTTGATTCCTGGGTGGTACCAGGTTTCATGCTGTTAAATCTGTAAAAACCTGCGCGTTAATCTCCATGAATATAAGACCTTGTTCTTTCTTAAATGCCCCAATTTTTTCTTCTCTTGTCTTATATTCTGAGCAGGATTTCAAATACTGTATGTAAGGAAGTAGTGAGAGTGGGCATCTTTATCTTAAAATAAATCTTAGAAAAGATTTCAACATTTCACCACTGACAATGTTAGCTATGGGCTTGTCCTATAGCTAATAAAGAACGCATCTCTTTATTTTGAGGTATATTCTTTCTATACCTAATTTGCTATAAATTTTGTTAGGAATGGATTTTAAATTTTGTCAAAATAATTTTAGGCATGCATAAAAAGTCATGATTTTTAATCTTTTTGTTGTGTAAATAAGGTGTATAGCATTTATTGATTTCCACATATTAAAATATTATTGCATCCCAGGAATAAATCCAACTTGATCATAACATCCAACTGTGTTGCCCAGGCTAGTCTCAAACTCCTGGATTCAAGAGCCCCTCTCCTCTCAGCCTACGAAAGTGCTGGGATTAAAGGTGAGATCCACTATGCCTGGCCATATATATATATAATTTGTAAATAAAAATAACCTTATATACAAGGATAAATTCAAATGTCCACGGTGAGGTCTGGGCTTCAGCATAAGGAGGAAGTCTTGCCTGAAAAGGGCTGCAGCTTGGAACTTTTTACCCTGTCGTCATGTGGCTATGAGTTGGTTCACATCTTCTGTCATTCAGGACCCGAAGGGGTGGGACCTGGGGCCCTATTATCACTGGTGCTGGGGTAAAAACTGTCTTAAAACTATCATTTTAATGCTTAGCAATGTTAATTTTTAGTGAGAAACAAGATTACTTAATTTAATATAACCAGATTTTAAGTTACTAAAAAAAAACCCTAAAATTATGACACAGGTATTTCCTCTAATGTTTTTTTGGGGGGTTTCAAGTACCTATGTCATATACTGAAACCTACTGTTCTGTAAGCCCTACCCTTAAAACAATCTTGTTGTTATTGTGAACAGTTACTTAGTGTAAATCCTACCCTTAGGCAAATTTATATGGTGATTTCAATTGTCCTTCACATTCCTTTCCTGTGTTAAGTGTCTGGGTTTAGGGGTTAACAGTGGGAGGATCCACCATCTTCAGCCATCTGAGACATAGCTTCTATTCATAAGTCCATCTTAAATGTTCCTTTCTGAGAAACTTGATTTGTCAGCCTCATTCTTCAACCTTTCAACTCCCTTGGCTTTTAAAGGCAGGTTTACATATACCTACTCACAACAAAACACCCTCATATATATGGTCTGTCAATTTCTAGAACATTTTTATGTGGTTCAAGACTGTAATGTGTAGCACATGTAGTTTTGTATATGGATAGTATATTTTATATAGTATATTTTATATAGCTACTTTATATTACACATCACTAAAATACATGTTCAGTAAGTGCTCACTTAACGTCATTGATAGGTCCTTAGAAACTGACTTTAAGTAAAACAAAATACTGTATGCCATGGAAAATTAACTTGTTTATATCAATTAGCCAATGGTAAAATTGGTTTTATTATATAGTATATTGTTTTACTTAAAGTCACAGTTTCCCAGAATCTATCAAAAAAGTGAGAACATACTGTCATTAGTATTATGTAGTACATTACAGAATTACACTGTTATGGTATGTTATTGTAGTCTTAGCAGTTGGTAGTATAATGTGTTTCAGTTTCCCCCAAGGTCACAGAATTATCCAGGCCAACCAATAACACCTCCTGTGGGAACCAGGAGCATCTCACCCTCTTGATACTACAAAGCCTTCCCCGACACCTCCTGTTTGTTCTCTCTGCTCCCAGGTGCAATGGCTGTGTGGGTCTGTATACCTTACATAGCTTTCTCCTTCCATGATTATATGTAATGAATAACTGCTGTCAATCTCATCTGTCCAGTGATTGGTGCCATGGTTTTAACTATTCCAGTAGCATTAGGGTGGTAATTTCTCCCTCACCAATGGGGTAAAGGGGAGGCTAATCAAACAATTCACAACACTAACTGGATTAATCACCCATGACGGAGGACATCTGCTCAACTTTAACTGCTTTTGGCCTACTGGTTTCATGATACATTAAAAGTCATCTCTGTCAGAGCCATCAGTTTGTGGTGGGCTTTTGCTTTGGTCTAAATAACAATTTGTGGCCTTTATCATGATTTGCCTTCCCTGCCCACACTAAAGCACACATTACCTAGACATAAATATTCAATGGACTCTTCTCCCGCGTGACGTGTCATCATGTTTAGCCTGTGTTTGGCAGGCAGTTTGCAAGACACTTGCGTGTCAAGGCAGTGAAAACACAGCACCTTAATCAGTCAGCACTTCAGTCCTGATTACCAGGAGTCCGGCCATATCCCTGTGGTCGCTTCATCTGGTCTGCTTACTATTACTAAATGCCTGGGTAGTCATCTGAACGTTGTTTATTATTGCACACTCTCAGGACAGACCCAGGGATGGTCTTCTGTAAAATTGCAAAAACAAAAGGGACTTTTACTTTGGAGAGAATTATGCTTGTCATTCAGTTGCTCTAAGAAGTGCTACTGTCATGCAAGCAAGAACAGTGGCCTTGTCTTTTCTGAGCTGCTGCTTCCTTTGCTGCTGTCACGTGCAATCTCATGATGAGGTGTGCATTCCTTGTGCCTTATGGCTTAGGCACTGATGAGTCATAAAAAGGAGAAAGAGAATTTAATATTAGTCCCTCCCAAAACATTTGGGGTAATTCTCTCACTGTAAAACCCCTACTCATCATGTGAACTTTTAGCACTGCTGCTTACCAGTATGCCAATGGTGCAATCTTAGGATCAGAAGTTTGATGGACTCAAAAAAAAAAAAAAGTACCATAACGAATATGGGTGCTAATCCCAGTGAGATGGAGAGGCAGTAAACACCTTCTTCCAAAGAGAAGACAGATTGCAAATAAACAAATAATGATATAACTCAAGAAACTAGAAGAGGGAGAACTTATCCCAAAGTTAGCAGATGATGAAATTAATTAAAAAAACAGAGCAGAAATAAATACAATGAACACTAGAAAAAAAAAACAGAAAATGTAGAAAAAATGTAAGAACTTGTTTTTTTTTTGAAAACATAAAATCTTCCTATCTTTAGCTAGGCTAAGAAATAAATGCTCAAATAAATAAAATTAGAATTAAATGGAAGATATTACAACTGGCAAAACAGACATACAAAAGGTCATAAGATTGCTGTGTACATAGACTCCTATTTACAATGATATCCAAACAAATTGTGTAAGGGAGAAGACATGAATAAATTTCTAGACATGTACCACCTACCAAGACTGAGCCATAAAGAAATAGAAAACATGAATAGATCAGTAATGAGTAAAGAGTTTAGATCTGATGACTTTACTCCTGAATTTTACCAAACATTTAAAAAGAACCAAATCTTTGAAAAAAAATTGAAGAAACAGGAATACTTCCAAACTCATTTTACGAAGCCAGCATTACCCTGATACAAAAACCAGAGATAGACATTACAAAAAAAAAAATTACACGCCAATATCCCTGATGAACATAGATGCAAAATCATCCACAACATAGTTGCAAATGAAATTCAAAAGCACTTTAAAAGGATAATTTATTTGATGTGGGTGCCCCCCATCCCACCTTTTCTTAAAAAATGAAAAAAAAATAGCATGGCATGGTCATACATGTCTGTGGTCCTACCTACTTGGGAGGCAGAGGTGGGAGGGACACTTGATCCTGGGAGGTAGAGGTTGCTGTGAGCTGAGATCAGGCCACTGCACTGCAGCCTGGGTGACAGAACAAGATCCTCTCTCTCTTTCCCCCACTTTGTGTGTGTGTGTTGCACACACAAAGGGGAGGGGTGAGGGTGTGGATGTGTGTGTATTATTCAAAATGAAAACAATGACAATTATTTTTGTGTACATTTATATTTTTTGGAGAAAGAGTATCACTCTGTCACCCAGGCTCAAGTACAGTGGTGTGATCTTGGCTCACGGCAACCTGTGCCCCCTAGGTTTAAGCGATTCTTCTGCCTCAGCCTCCCAAGTAGCTGGGATACAGGTGCCCACCATCTTGCCAAGCTAATTTTTGTATTTTTAGTACAGACATTGTTTCGCCATGTTGGCCAGGCTGGTTTTAAACTCCTGAGCTCAAGTGATCACCCACTTCAGCCTCCCAAAGTGCTGGGATAACAGGCGTGAGCCACCGTGCCTGACCAATGACAATTATTTTTAAATTTTAGATTTTACAATCTTTCTCTCCTCTTGAATTTGAGGCAGCCTGAGCTTTGAAAACTGGCAATCTTCTATTGCAGCAATGTGCAGTAGAAATAAAATGTGAGCCACGTGTGTCAAAGTTTTCTAGTAGCAGCATAAAGAAAAAGAAATATGAGTGAAATTGATTTTAATAACTTAGCCCAATATATCCAAAATATTTTAACATATAATTAGAATGAAATCATTACATATATATAGATAGATATAGATATAGATATATATGTAACTAAATCTCTAAAATACTTTCTGATATTTTTCCCTAGCATATCTCAGTACATACTGTGTACAATTTGGGTGCTCAGTAGCCTGTTGTGGCCAGTGGCTGCCACATTGCAGGTGCATCTCTGAGGGCTCTTGACTTTTCTGACCTTCGGGAGGTAAAGGGCCTGAATTTTCCTTTTCTGCCAGATAGGAGTGAATGCCTCTTCTCTGCCAATATCACTCCTGTTTCAAGGGTAAGAGAGGTGGTGCACTGAGAGACAGGAGGGACCTACAGGAAACAAGTGTCCACAGATAGACCACTGCTGTCCGCTGCTGCTTGGTGTGGACTCATCACTCTTCCAGAAATCAGACAGAAGTCCAAAAAATGGGGACCCAGAAGGGGGAAACCTCATGTTTTTAGATCTGTCCATAGCCTTAATCTCCAGAATTTAGATGTCAAGAGACTAGATTAAAGGCAAACCTTTTATCTTGCAATTTGGCTTTGGCAAATTAAAATAGAAATAGAAATGTGTCACTATAAAAATCAATTATATACAAAGGAAGGCAATAAGAGCAGAAAAGAGGAGAAAATACCTACGAGAAACAAATAGAACTATTAACAAAAAGGAAATATTCCATTCTTTTCAGAATTAAAATGAATATATACATGGAGTGAAATATACACTGGAAATATGTAAATTGGCTAAAGAGATTTTAAAAAAACAAGATTTATTTTCTGTTGTCTATAAGAAACTCAATTTACATCTAAGCACACAGATAGGCTAAAAGTGCCAGTATGAAAAATACCTTCTAGGAAAACTGCAATCAAATGACAGCAACGTGGATCATAATTATGCAAAATACACATTAAGTCAGAACTGAAACAACAGACAAAGAAAGATGTTGTATAATGATAAAACTGTCAATTCACTGGGGAAGCTGTGTTAATAATAAATATGTGCACACTTCACATCAGGGTTCCCAAATGTATAAAGTTAACATTGACACAAATGAAGAAGGAAATGGCTATGCAAAAATAGTAAGAGACATAATTACCCCACTACCCACTATCAGTAATGAATAATAAAGCCAGACAGAAAGTTAACTTGAGAACAGAGAATTTGAATAACACTGCAAACTCTAAACCTAACAGACATATAGAAAACACTAGTCACAGTGAATAGAAGTGAAAAAACAAAAGAAACAAACACTCCACACAGCAATATCAGAATATACAATTTTTTCAATAGGTCATGAAACATTCTCCTGGGTTGATGACCTACTAGGACACAAAACAAGTTTTGCTAAATTTTAAAATGGTAAAATATGGGCCAGGGATGGTGGCTCATGTCTATCATTCCAGCATGTTGGGAGGCTGAATTGGGAGGATTGAGTGAGTTTAGGAGTTCATGGCCAGCCTGGGCAACATAAGGAGACCTTGTCTTTACAAAATATAAAATTAAAAAATTAACTGGGCATGATTACACGTGCCTGTGTGTCCAGCCACTCAGCAGGCTGAGGTGGGAGGATTGCTTGAGCCTGGGAGATCAAGGCTGTGGTTAGCCATAATTGAGTCACTGTGCTTCAGCCTGAGTAACATAGCAAATCTCTGTCCCAAAAGAGATTAAAATATTACAAACTATCATTTTTGATTAAAAGGGAATACAATGAGAAATCAATAGCAGAAAAAATACTGGAAAATCTACAAATATGTGGAAATTAAACAACCCACTCTTCAGCATGCTCTCGTTAAGGGTCGGAAGACAATATTGTGAAGATGTTCACACTACCCAAAATTATCTACAGATTCAATGTGATCGCTGTCAAATTTTAACTGTCATTTCATTTGCAGAAATACAAAAAAAATTCTAAAGCTTATATGGAATCTAAAGTGAGTATCAAGAGCCAAACAACTTTCTAAAAGCATAATATTGGAGCTATGACACTCCTTGACTTCCTAATGTATTACAAAACTACAGTAACCAAACTATTTGGTACTGACATAAAGGCAGACAGACAGACCAATGGAACAGAATAGATCACAGGAATAAACTGTCATATATATGGCCAAATGAGGAGTTATTTTTATATCCATATTCATTGCAGCATTATTCACAACAGCTGATAGGTGGAAGGAACCCAAATGTCCCTCAGTGAATGAGTGGATAAAGGCAATTTGGAATATACAAATAATGGAATATTATTCAGTTTTTTAAAAGCAGGAGATCTGATTATTTTTACACTAAGAATAAATCTTGAGGACATTATGTAAATGAAATAAACCAGTCACAAAAGGACAGACACTGTTTGACTCCAGTTAAATAAAATATCTAATGTAGTTAAACTCTTAGAAACAGAAAGTAGAATAGTATCAGTCAGAGCCTTAGGGGTGGAAATAAAAGGGTAGTTGTTGTTTCATAGGTATTGAATTTTAGTTTTACAACATAAAATCATTTTAGCGATATGTTGCATAGCAATGTGAATATATTTAATATTATTTAACTATGTACTTAATATATTTAAGATGGTACATTTTATGTGTTTTGAGTACATTAAAAATGAAAAACTTTCTAAAGAGATACATATTTATAACCTTTTTCAAAAATTACCTCCAAATCATAAAAATGTCAGAAAAACAATAAAGAGGCCAGGTGCAGTGGCTCATCCATGTAATTGAAATACAACAGGAGGCTGAGGATGGAGAATAGCTTGAGGCCAAAAGTTGGAGACCAGCCTGGGCAACATAATAAGACCTCATCTACAAATCACAAGCAAAAGGAAACTGGCAAATTAAAAAATATGTGAGACTTAAAACAGCAGACTCTTGACGGCTCAAAAAATTTAATATTATTAAGATGTCAATACTACTCACAGTGAAACACAAATTCAAAGTATTTTCTATCAAAATCCCAATGTTACGATTTTTTTAGAAATATTATTTTAAGTCCTAAAATTCTTACGGAATATCAAGGGACAATGAGTAGCCAAAGAAGCTTTAGAGAACGAAGTTAGAGGTGTCACACTTCCTGATTTCCAAACAGATTACAAAGCTATAGAAATACAACCAGAAAGACAAATAGATGATGGAACAGAATAGAGAACCCAGATATAGACCATCATGAATATCATCAGATAATCTTCAAACAAGTTGCCATTACCAAACAACAGGGAAATAACAGACCCTTTAACAAATAGTGTTCTAAAAGTGAACATCAAAATGGAAGAAAATGAAATTGGACTTCTGACTTGAACCATATACAAAAATATCTTAAATAAATTAAACAAATGTAAGTAAGATAGCTATAAAACTCTTAAAATATGAGGTAAAAATCATGACATTTGTCTTGGTAATTTTTTAAAATATGACATTAAAAGCAGAAGTAACAAGAAAAAAAGCAGAAAAATGGGACTACCTCAAATGTAGTAAGCTTTCTGGACATAAAGGAAACATTTAATGTCACGTAAGAAATGAGAAAAAAATTACAAATGATATATTTGATAGAAGTTAATAACCAGAATGTATAAACAACTTTAAAACTCAACAAAAAAAACTGAACAACCCTATTTAAAAATGGGCAAAACTCTCAACAGATGTTTCTACAAAAGAGATATACAAATGGCCAAGAGGAATTTGAAAGGATGGTCAAATTCACGAATCTTTAGAGAAATGAAAAGCAAAATCCCAATGAGATATTACTTCACACTCATTAGGATGGCCACTATCAAACGAGAGAAAATAATAAATATTTTCAAGGATGTAGATAAATTGATATACTTGTGCACTGAGTGGTGGAAAAATAATAATGCAGCCATTATGAAAAATAGTACAGAGGTTCCTCAGATATTAAAAATGGAATTATTGTACTATCTTGTTGGAGGTCAAAAGAATGAGTGTTGTGACCAACTCATTATACCACTGGAGGCTATATGAGCAAACAGCAAACTGTTCTCATGAATGCAGGATGTTGGCAAGCTGACAACTGCATCTGCAACCAGAAGGAATGCTGAGGGCAGTCATGCCCCAGGCACAGTGTTTCTTGTGGTTATCTATAGGAACATCTGGAGCCTGTTGTACAAAGAAACCAATTATGTGAGCCTGTGATAAATCAGGCAGCTGACTAACCATTACCTCTTCCTCCCTGTTGATTCTACCTAATGAATACAAAGGGCTGTATAAGCTCAGGGCCCTTGTTCCCTAGAAGCAAGGAGCCCCCTGACCCCTTCTTTAAAACAGATCTTTTTGTCTTTGTCTTCATTTCTGCGTTTGTCCTTCTTCTTCAGTCCTGAACTGACAGCCACAAGTGGCACCTGAACAGGGACTTGAACAAAGAAGGTCTGCTGGAGCAGAAAAAGTGAAACTGACCAGATGAATGAGAAACCCTGGGATGAGTCTGCCTGCAGAGGATATAAGGTCAGTGTCCTAAAGAGGTACTGGGAGTGGGAAGTTTCTGAATCAGGGTAACGTGGGGGCAGAGTTTGTCTGTTGAGGAGCAGCATTACGTGCAGTTGCTTAAAGTTTTACGTAAACAATCTGGTGCTCAGGTTAGTTCTCAAACGCTGACTAAGCTGCTGCAGGAGGTTATCATGCATAACCCCTCGTTTCCGCAGACAGGCGCTCTTGATGTGGAAAATTGGAACTGAGTAGGGGAAGGATTAAAATGGGCTCATCAAAAAGGTCTTAAAGTTTATCCTTCCTTTTTTTTCTGTTTGGAGTTTAGTCCATACTGTCCTCCTGCCATTATCTCATTCTTATTCTGCCAAACCGCAGGAGCCATGTTCTGAATCTCAAATTTTGAAAGAATCTTTTGTCCCACCCACAACACCCAAAGAAAATAATAAACAGGAGAGGGAGGATGAAAATTGGCGTCTACCACCCCCTCCAGTAGCAGAAACACCTGTACCATCTCCTTCAGTAACAGAAATAGAGACCCCACTGCAAAGAATTCTATGCTCTGCTACCATAGCTGGAGAGCCCTTAGGACATTGCACTTTCACTATTTCTGTAAGGCCTGATCCAAATAATCCACAGCAGTTTATTTATGAACATGCCTCACTAGAGTTTAAGTTGTTGAAGGAATTAAAAGCTAGTGTAGTGAATAATGGAGTACAGAGCCCATTTACTTTAGGATTGTTAGAATCTGTATTTTGAACTATGTGTCTTCCATCCTTTGATGTAAAGCATTTGGCTCACACTTGTTTGTCTGCTAGTGCATATCTGAAATGGAATTTAAATTGGCAAGAACTGTGTGCACACCAGGCTAGACAGAATTGTGCTGCCGGACACAGGGACATTACAGAGGATATGCTGTTGGGTAATGGCCCTTATTCAGACCTGGAATATCAAATGACACTCCCAGACGCTGCTTATAAGCAGCGTGCACTGGCTGCTAAATGCACCTGGGCCACAATTCCAGAGGAAGGGGTCCCAATACAATCCTTTTTACATGGCATGCAAGGGTCAAAGGAGCACTATGCACATTTTCTTGCATGATTACAAGAGGCAGTGAGGCATCAGATTCCTCATACCACTGCTGCAGAAATGCTAACCTTAACTTTAGCTTTTGAGAATGCAAACACGGATTATAAATGTGCACTGGCTCCTGTGAGATGTACTAAAAACTTAGGACATTTTCTCAAAACTTGTCAAGATGTGAGAACTGAGCTTCATTGCTCTACAATGTTAGCTCAAGCAATGGCTAATTTAGTAGTTAACAAATCTAAAAAGGGCTAAGGGTCAAACCCTAAAATGGGAAAATCTTATAATTGTGGAAAAATCGGACATTTCAAAAAGGAATGCCATCAGACCTTGGGCAAAAGGGATCTTATAATGCAATACCCAACCTTCAGCAGAAAAAATTCCAGAAATTTGCCCTTGTTGCAATAAAGGAAATCATTGGACTAATCAATGCAGTTCAAAATTTCATCAGAATGGCACCCCTCTGTCGGGAACCAAGAAGGGAGCCTGGACCCGGTCCCCTCAAACAATGAGGGCATTTCCTGTCCAGGCCACAACCCCATTTCAGGGAGGAGTCTATGGAGGAACATTGATTCCCTTTCCCCAGGAACACCCAGAAGCACAGGAATAGATCTCCCTGTCAGAGAATGGGTTACATTAGTTGGAGGAAACAAACCCACTAAAATTCCCACTGGTATTTGGAGACCTTTGCCAACAGGATATATGGGATTAATTTTGGGTAAAATCCATCTCAACTTACAGGACATTACTGTAGTCCCAGGAGTTGTTGACTGTGATTATGAAGGAGAAATTCAAGTAGTGGTAATATCACAAGATTTGTTAGTTTTTGAACCTGGAGAATATGTAACTCAACTACTGCTTATTCCCTGGGAGTTGTTTCCTTCTCCACATAAGGAGAAATGAGAGAATCAAGGATTTGGGAGTACAGCTAGGAGGAAAATTTATTTATCACAACCCATAGCATCTAATAGACCCACCTGTACAGTGCAAATTAAAGGAAAAAAATTTCTATGGGCTTATGGATATGGGAGCTGATGTGTCAGTAATATCTAAAAACAATTGGCCCCCATCCTGGCCCCTGCAATTAACTCCTACATCGCTAGTGGGAATAGGAACAGCTCAAAGTGTTCAACAGAGTGCTGAAATTTTACCCTGTCTCAAACCAGATGGACAGTCATGTACTTTTAAAATTTATTTTGCAAATGTAACTGTTAACCTATGGGGCCAAGATTTACTTACAGCATGGGATATAAGACTTGCAAATGAAACTATTGACAATCCAGGGTTCAAAATGTTAAAGAAAATGGGATGTCAGGCAGAAAAGGCTTAGAAAAGTCCCTACAGGGAAACACTGATCCTATATCAATAGCTGGGCAAACAGATAGAAAAGGGCTAGGTCATCAGAATTTCTGATGGGAGTCACTGATATTTCTCCCCCATCTACTGTTTTACCGCTGGAGTGGCTGACTAAAAAACCTGTATGGGTGGATCAGTGGCCCCTATCACAGGAGAAACTAACACAATTCCATCCGCTAGTAAAAGAGCAAATGGATGCAGGACATATTGAAGAGTCAGTTAGCACCTGGAATTCATCAGTATTTGTAATTCCTAAAAAGTCAGGAAAATGATGACTGCTACATGATTTGAGAGCTATTAATGCACACATTAAACCAATGGGTGCATTACAGCAAGGTCTGCCATCCCCGGCAGCCTTTCCAGGAGGCTGGCCTCTCAAAGTAATATATCTTAAAGATTTTTTATTTATTTTTTTATTTTACTGTTACATGAGCAGGATAAGCATCGATTTGCCTTTTATGTGCTTTCTGTTAATCAAAAAGAGCCTGTCTCTCATTATCAATGGAAAGTCTTACCCCAAGGCATGCTTAACAGCATTATATCAGCATGTTGTAGGATAGGCATTAAAGGTGCCTCTGAATATGTTTCCCACAGCCTACATCCGTCATTATATGGATGATATTCTTTCTGCCCCTCCTACAGATCAAATTTTATATCAGTTATTCAGATAAATAAAATGAGCTTTGACTTAAATGGAATCTCAAAATAGCTCCAGAAAAGGTGCAAACAACCTCCTGATACCAGTACTTAGGCACTATTGTTACTGAAAGAAGTGTTTGGCCTCAGAAAGTAGTCCTCCATAGGGACAGATTACAAACTTTGAATGATTTCCAAAAATTATTAGGGGACATTAACTGGCTGTGCCCAATGCTAGGTATTCCTGCTTATCAACTCAAACACCTTTATCAGACCCTTCAAGGAGATTCTCCATTAGACTCTCCTCAGCAACTTACTAAGGAGGCAAAAGCTAAGTTACAACTTGTAGAGCTGATGTTTTGGCAACGACATGCCTCCTGGCTACAGCCACAAAAGGCTTTGCTTCTGTTTATTCTTCCTACCCCCCATTCAGCAACAAGACTTTTAGGCCAATTCATAGTCAAATCTGTAGTAGTATTAGAATGCTTTTTTTAAATCCAATCAGACAGTGAAATCTTTGCAAGTTTATCTTTCTTTAATTACTCAACTTATAACAATAGGTAGGCATAGATCAAAAATGCTTATGGGATATGATCCAGACAAAATTATTGTTCCCTTGGATTCCCAACAACACACTGCAGCATGGGAAATGTTGACTGCATGGCAAATTGCTCTTGCAGATTTCATAGGAATAATAGATAACCATTATCCATCAGACAAAATTTTGCAATTTTATAAAGTTCACCCTTTTATTCTCCCTGTAATCACTCATCACAAGCCTATTCCAGGTGAACAGACCTATTTTACTGATGGTTCTGCCAAAGGACACGCAGCTATTTATGGACCTAACATACTTAGACAATAAAGACCTCTGGAGCTTCAGCTCAATGCTCAGAATTAATGATAGTTATTCAGGTTTTACAGCTCACCACTTCATCTCCTAATAACATTGTTTGTGATTCAGCCTATGTTGTAAATGTAGCCAGTCGTGCTGAAACTGCCACTATTAAGAGCACCCTAGAACCAGAGCTGCTTAACTTGTTTCTAAGACTTCAACAAGCTGTTCGCTCTCATGCTACTCCTTTTCATATTTCTCATATTCACTCTCACACGCAACTTCCTGGACCACTATCTCTAGGTAATGATAAAGCAGATAAACTAATCGGTTCTGTATTTCAACAAGCCCAAGCTTCTCATGCATTACTGCATCAAAACACCTCTGCCCTTACTCGTATGTTTCATCTGCCTCATGGACAGGCTGCAGCTATTGTGCAAACCTGCCCCACTTGCCAGCATGTTCCTGGTGTTGCACTTGTGGAAGGATGTAACCCACGAGGCTTGGCACCAAATGAAATCTGGCAGATGGATGTTACACATATAGCAGCCTTTGGGAAACTCAGCTGTGTTCGTGTGACTATAGACACTCCCATATGCTACATGTCACATGCCAAACAGGAAACAGCTGGCCATGTCCAACAACATTGTTTGTCATCATTCGCCCATATGGGGGTCCCTAAACAATTAAAAACTGACAATGGACCTGCTTGTGTTAGTCATGCTTTTCAAAATTTTTTACAGTTGTGGGCAATCACTCATAACACAGGAATTTCTTACAATTCTCGAGGACAAGGCATTATAGAGTGGGCACATCAAACACTACAGTGTATGTTGTAAAAACAAAAAGGGGGAATAGGAGACAAGCTACCACCTCAAACAAAATTACATTTATCCTTATTTACTTTTAATTTTTTACTTTTGATATGGATAGTAAGACTCTGGCCAAACAACATTGGCAAATGTTAGAGGGAAAGAGGAAAGTTTACCCAAAGGTACTATGGAAATCCCCAGAAGAAGGACAATGGAAAGGCCTGGTGGATTTACTGACGTGGGGATGAGGGTATGCTTGTGTTTTTACAGGAGATGGATAAACCGTGTGAGTGCCCTCAAGTTGTGTGCGACCATGGAATGGGAGACTGGAGGGATACATGGATCCCAACTACAGGCCCAGCTCCTCCAGTATGAGCCATGAGCCAGTTGAATCTGAATGTGAAGATGGAATGAAGACCGACGAGAGTCACACTGACGTCAACCCTCATAACATGGGGTCAGATCAAGAAAACCACACCAGAAGCTGAGAAACTGGTGTAGTGCCAGGGTCAGGCAAAAACCCCTGACTCCATGTTTATGGCCATGCTAGCTGTAATATCCTGTGCAGTATGATTTTTCTGTGCAGAAGCAAAAACATATTGGGCATATTTTCCTAACCCACCGGTAGTGTGATCATACTCTGAAGCAGCACTCCTCCTGAGATATATCATGATCAAGGAGCATCAGTACCAGGACCTCTAACTCCCCCTGACACAGAGCAATTAGACTCTCATAACAATGGTATCAATTATACCACTCCATTGGAGGGACTTCCTTTATGTGTCACCCAGGATACATTGCTCAACTGCAGTTGCCTTGCAGTTTGATCCCAAGCATGGTTGAGTTACCATTAAAAAATTATGTACCTATTAGACCTTAGCTTTATTAATATTACTTGTGTAGTTACTAATCACTCCTGGCCCCATCACCCAAATTGTACTGATTATACAGAATGGGCTCCCTTTGATAATTCTCACCCCCCTCCTTGGGCCCACTGTCTTGGCCCCTTAGCTAGACAATAGTCCATGTTAATGGGAGACATTATTGACTGGGGTCCCTGTGGTCATTAAGATGGGAGAGATGAGAATCAGACCACATGGCATAAACTTCACTGGCACTGGTGGCGAAACTTTAACATCTCTTCACTTCAACACACTGGGATTCAATCCCAATCTGCCATGCAACTTGCTTGGCATGGAACGGGCTTTAGCCCACCTTTGCCTCAATGGCATTATCAAGGAAAGAGAGGTCCAATTCAGGAGTCTATGTGGAAGGCAGCACTCCCATATATGAATGGCAGCATTTGGGTTGGGACACTATCCAATAATAGTAATAGTGCTCAATACAGTTTAATGTTACCTTTGTAAAAAATGTTTGAAATTTGTGTTTTTAATCCCTATGTTTTTCTAGCAGCAAAAAAGGACCAACTCCAGGTAAACAATGCCCAATTGAATTGTGATTCCTGTCAACTCTATCATTGCCTTAATCATAGCACAATACAAACACACAGCATATCCACCCTAATAATTCTAGGTCGCATTCCTGGATTATGGATTCCTGTAAATCTATCTGAGCCTTGGGCAGCCACCCCCACTTTACATTTTGTAAAACTTCTTACTCAGCTTACTCATGGCACTCGTAGAGCCTTAGGCATGATAATTTTTACTATAGTCTCCTTAATTACATTAATACCCTCTGTTGTGGTGTCCTCAGTAGCACTGGACAGCTCCACTCAAACAGCTCAATATGCAGAAAATTGGATGCATACAGCTGACCAGGCATGGATGTTTCAAAATAAAACTAACACTGAGATACAAACAGAAGTGGCAATGTTAAAGACTACTGTTCTGTGGCTAGAAGAACAAGTACAAAGCTTGCAGTTGCAGTAGCAATTGCGTTGTCATTTTAACCATACTCATATTTGTGTAACCAATTAGGAATATAATCAAAGTGAATATCCATGGAACCTTGTAAAGGCCCATTTACAGGGAGCTGTTACATCCAATGTTACTTTTGATATTAATGATTTACAAAGTAAAATTCTAACAGCACCTCAATATCTTTTTCATAATTATTGGAATAATGTTACTATGTTTCTGTTTTTTGTTCATAGTCTGTAAAATCAACTGGAACACCAACCAGCAATTGAGAGCTGAACAGCCTGCAATTACCTTTATTCAATTAAATCAAAAGCAGAAAGGGGGAGATGTTGGAGGCTGAAAGAATGAGGGTCATGACCAACTCAGTATACCACTGGAGGCTATGTGAGCAAACAGCAAACTGTTCTCATGAATACAGGATATTGGCAAGCTGACAGCTGCATCTGCCACCAGAAGGAATGCTGAGGACAGTCATGCATCAGGCACAGTGTTCCTTGTAGTTATCTATAGGAACATCTGGACCCTGTTGTATAAAGAAAGCAATTATTTGAGCCTGTGATAAATCAAGCAGCTGACTAAAACTGTTACCTCTTCCTCCCTGTTGATTCTACCTAATACATGTGAAGGGCTGTATAAGCTCAGGGCCCTTGTTCCCTAGAAGCAAGGAGCCCCCTGACCCCTTCTTTACAACAAATCTTTTTGTTTTTGTCTTCATTTCTGCATTCATCCTCCTTCGTTCAGTCCCGAACCGACAGCCACATGATCTGGCAATCCCATTTCTGGATATCTATATAAATGTTCAAAGCAGGACCTGAAAGAAACATTTCACACCCCTGTTTATAAGAGATTTATTCTAAAAATCCAAAAGGTAGAAGCTACTTGAATGTCCCTTGACAGATAAATAAAATAAAATAAAATATGATATATACATATAATATGATTTAAAAAGAAAATCTTGGGCTGGGTGTGGTGGCTCATGCCTGTAATTCTAGCACTTTGGGAGGCCGAGGTGGGCAGATCACGAGGTCAGGAGATTGAGACCATCCTGGCTAACACGGTGAAACCCCATCTCTACTAAAAATACAAAAAATTAGCCAGGCATGGTGGCAGGTGCCTGTGGTCCCAGCTACTCAGGAGGCTGAGGCAGGAGAATGATGTGAACCCAGGAGGTGGAGCTTGCAGTAACCGGAGATTGCACAACTGCACTCCAGCCTGGGCGACAGAGTGAGACTGTCTCAAAAAAAAATAAATAAAATAAATAAATAAATAAATCACACACTGCAATGACAGTAAACCTTTAGGACATAATGTTAAGTGAAATGTGCCAGGAAACAAAGTGACAGTGAGTGTATGATTCCTCTTATGATATATCTTAAGTAGTCCAACTCACAGAAACAGAAAGTAGAATGTCAAAGGCTCAGGAGAGGGTAAAATGGTCGGTTGACGTTTATGGCTATTGAGTTTTAGTTTTGCAATGGAAAAGCTCTAGAAGCCTGTTGCATAACAATGTGGATATATGTAACACTACTAAATTATGCAATTACAAAGGTATAGACTGGTAAATTTTGTTGTGCTTTATTACAATTAAAATATTGTAAAGTGATACATAAAAGAGATACAGAGTTATAAACTTTTCAGAAAATTACCTTCAAATTATAAGCGTGTTTTTCTCACACAAAGATAATATAGATTCATCAAAAAATACATGGGCAAATTAAGACTATTTACATGACTACTCTCCTGAACAAGTTAAAACAAACTTTTGACATCAGCCAAGAAGAGAAATATGCAAGATAAGAATAAATGGAGTATATTTATAGAGGCAAACAAACACATGATTTTATTGGTGGTAGATATGACTGATTCATATTTTAATTAAACCCCACATCGACTCGATGTGTACATAGAGTTGCAGATTTACATCCAAAATCATAATATGTAGGTAAAACCAAATTCACAAAACACAAATGTCAAAGAAGCTACCCCAAAAAAGAAGCACAGTAATATGAAATTTCAAAACAAGAATGAGAGAAACATTAACAACAACAACAACAACAAAAACACTTCTATATAAAACATAGATGTACAATTAAGAAAGAATCCGCTTAGATAATTACAATTTCCCGCTGTGACCTTGCACTGGTGGTGAGCACAGATTTTGAATCATGACTATGTTAGGGAGACGCCCAAGGAGACAGACAGTGCCACCTCCAGAGAAGCCATTGCTTCTCCTCCTGCCGCTGCTGCTGCTGCCCCCACCGTCCGCTGCGCCTGCAGCCCCCACTGAGCGTCGGACTCCTTCCTGGAGTAGGGAGGTCCTGTTCCTTCTGGAGCGACAGACACCCTTTCTCCTGGCCTTCTCGCTTACTAGCCCGGCAGGTGCTGGACAGGAGATCTGAGCTGGTCCTGCGTCTCTGAGGAGCTAGGAGCCCGGCTGGGAGAACAAGGAGACGAACTGTGGGGAGAAGGGGCGACAGGAACGCCAGGCTCATGGGACCGCTGGCAGCGGCCTGGGTATGGCTGGCGGCTGAATGGTCAGAGATACGAGAGGTGGCCACTGTCCCCACCTTTGGCCCCCTAGCCGGCATTCGTACATTCTGTGCTCAACAAACGGAAGCGGCAGCTGGAGCTGCTGCTCCGGGAGGTGGAGTGGCCTGGCAGAGGGCACATGGCTGCCACCTGCTGCAAGGTGAGCTGGTCTGCAGCCTGGGCCCACAAAAGGCCGCTCTTGTGCAGGACACACCGCTGCCCTTGACCCTCTTGCTCCCCCGCCTGCTGTGCAAAATGCTCAGGTCCCTGATCTCGGGCTTTCCTGGCAAGTGCACTGTGGTGGGGAGGCAGCAGGGAGGAGGGCTTTTCCAGGAGCCCTGAACAGAGGATCTTGGCATAAAGAGGAGAGAGAGGTGGCTGACTGGTTCCACTTGTAGGTAGGGGGGCAACAAACCCCATGGGACCCTGTTTTTTCAGGGAGATTTCAGTTCACTTCTTATCTTTTCTCCACCCACTTGAGCCTCTGAGAATAGAGGAGACGAGGCTGTTTTAAATTGGCCTAACCATAATGGTCTGGACCCTTGCCCCAGGGCAGACCTAATTTTGGGGCTCTTTGCAGCATGGAGGCTCACGCCTGTCCACCCCAGGTGTCTTCAATATAGGGTCTAGTTAGGCCTGGCTGGCAGTGATGCTGAGACGCAGCACGACCTGGCCAGATCTTCGCCTGTTACAGGACATTATAGCCTTCAGTGCCCTGTGCCATTTATCTCGCCTCCAGAAGCCCCTGTGAGCCTCAGTGTTGCCGGTGCCCAGGCCCTGGCTGCCTCTCTATTAGGGTCCCATCTTATGCCTCCTAAATGCACCGGGGTCTCACTCTGCCTTTCTCCCTTTCCCAGAACAGGCCCCTTCAACTCCAACAGAACATGCCTGGACCATGTGCATCCCTCTTCAGTGTTAAAACAAAGAAAATTTATTTTTTTTCCACTGAACATGTAACTGATTTAACATATAAGGAGGTCAGCTTTATGCATAGATCTATGCATGTAAATATATACAAAAATTCTAACGCTGTGGGAAAATTAACATCCTTACACTTTGTTCAGTTATTTTATAGTTTTCTCTCTCTCACTCAATTGCTTTTTTTTTTTTTTTTTTGAGACAGAGTCTTGCACTGTTGCCCAGGCTAGAGTACAGTGGCAAAATCTCAGCACACTGCAGCCTTTGCCTCCTGGATTCAGGAGATTCTCATGCTTCAGCCACCTGAGTAGCTGGAATTACAGGCATGGGTCACCATGCCCAGCTGTTTCATGTGTTTTTTTTTAGTCGAGACCGGGTTTTGCCATATTGCCCAGGCTGGTCTCGAACTCCTGGTCTCAACTGATCTACCCTCCTTGGCCTTGCAAAATGCTGGGATTACTGGCATGAGCCACCATGCCCAGCCTACCTGTCACTATCTCTATGTTTATTTGTTCAACAGGAAAATTCTCAGTGAAGACTCCTCAGTATGAAGGAGATAAGCCTGCACAATCAGTCACTGATAGATGCTTAGTGGAAAAACTTCCAATTCCCATTTACAGCTCTCAGAGCTAGGATTAAAAACTCCTGGTCATAAACTCATGTGATGAGAAGTTATAGCACGCCCTCATTTTCTACATATCCACTTGCATTTATGGTTGGCTTTTGAACTTGCTAGAAGGGAAAGAAGTGCAAATGTGTCCTCCTTAGAGCTACTCTCCTCCCCTTGGTGGGTTTCCAGTTTGTGCATTGTCCAGATGGCCCAGGAGCTGACGATCAAAGGGAAGAAGTCATGTTTGTCATGAGAATGCTTTGCTGCATCAGGATTCAGTGAAGCTGTTCACCGCCTGGAGCCCATGCAGCCTCAAGAGGCAGGATGGAGCTCAGAAACCATCACTGAGGTTAGAAAGTGAGCACCAAAGTTGAGGGAAGCCCACAGGAGTGAGCCGAAGTGCTCCCTTTGGATTTCCAAGTGGTTGCTGCTGCTTCTTCCATCAGCCTTGCTTCTGACCACAATGTGTTCCTGGTGCCTTCTTCTTGGCATTTTGCTGTTTGTGTCCAAGGAAAATAGTCCTGCATGGCAGTGGTGAGAAGGATGGCTGCCTGCTGAAGCTGATTTGCTGGTAAGCTTTGCAGCCTGTTAAGCAGAGCCTGAAATTCTTTCTCACTGAGTGGTGATTCAAACCTTGGAGGGTCCTCCCCTTGTGGATCGGCATTCAGAAAAGATTGTGCCTTTTCCTGAAACTCTGGGGATTATAGGAGATCATGCAGATGGCTGGTGTGGTTGCTCCAGCAGGTGGATGTCTCCTTCGTGGCTTGTGTCTGTTTCTGTCACAGGGGAGACTCAGTGTGCATGGGCTGCTAAGGTGCTCCTGCTTCAGGTTGAATCATGACATCCTAGGACCCCTTGCCCCGGCTCCACCACTGCTGGGATTTGGCCTGTTGACCCAAACTCTAAAATTGTGGCTAAGAATGACCAGGCTGAGGCTGTCCTTTAAGGCAGAACTTCCAGGTTAGTGTCTCATTTTTCTTATCCTGAAATTTTCCTTTCGACAGAGGCCAGAAGCAAGTCTGTGTATGGGAGAGCCTCCCTCCTAGAGCTGGTACCATTGACACATGACTCCTGAGTGCCAGAAGAGGTTGAGAGAACTCTCCCATCTGCACAGCCTGTCTCATGCAGAATGCAGATGGATCCAAAAAATCACAGGATGTGGGAGGTGAAGGAAGAGCTTGTAAAAATGAAAAGTGGCTGGTGAAAGAGTAGGAGGCATGAAGAGGATGAGACCTGCCTGGGGCAGTGCACATGTTTTGTTCCAGCCAAACAATCAGATGAGGTCTTGGTCTTGGACCTGGTGCCAGGGAATTCATAAGCCCCCTTTTGCTGTGGCCTGGGAGCTGAGGTCTTTGGTTCTGAAACCAAATGTAAATTTTGGACTCTGGAATACCTGTCTGTTTAACCAGTTTCTCTCTACTGGTGATCGCAGGAAATGAATTATCCTGTAAAATTTTGTGGATTCTTCTCAAAGGCTTCAATGAGTACACTGATTTGTGGTTCAGTGATGGATGTCCCTTTCCTCCTGCCTTCTTATTTGACTTACACCATCAATATTAACTATGGCAGTTATGGTAATATCATTCTTTACAACAGAGGAAACTTCAAGTCATTCATTGATGATATCAAAGCCTCATTCTCCTACATTAAACATTCTCCTACATTTAGCTTCTTGAATCTTCTATGTCCACTGTCTAGAAAACCTAAACACATGAAGTACCACAAACTAGAAATAAATACCTCAATAGGCACCAATCATAAAAGTAAATCCAAGAAGGAACAGAATATATGAATACATATATAACAAGTAAAGGGATTCAATTAATTAAAAATCATCACACACAAAAAAGCCCAGAGTCATGTGGCTTAACTGATAAATTCTACTAAACATTTAGTGAAGAATTAATGCCAACTCTTCACAAGGCCTTCCAGAAAATAGAAGACAGTTATTGGGAACACTTCCCAATTTGTTCTATCAGGCCAGTATTACCCTGATACTAAAGCCAGACAAAAGCATCACAAGTAAATATGAACATAGATGAATTTCCCTGATAAATACACAAACAGAAAATCTCAAAAAAGAGTGAAATGAATCAAGAATAAATCAAAATGACTGTACACCATGACCAAATGGAATTATTTCACAAATGCAATATTGATCTATCCAATAATCAATCAATGCATTACACAAAGTAATAGGATAAAGGAAATTAACAGAAAGGTCCTTTCAACAGACACAGGGAGCATTTAACCAATCCAATATTCATTCACGATCTCCCTGGAAAAGAGGAGTACAAGAAACTTCCTAGATCTGCTAAAAGGCGTCAATGTAAAACTTACAGCTAACCCCATAATAATAAAATACTGGTTGTTGTGTCTTGACATTTGAGAACAAGACAAAAATGTTAACATCCAAATAAATTACATAAGAAAAATAAACAAAATCATCAATGTGGGAAAATAAGAGGTTAGAACTCTCTATCATTGCAGAGGACATAATGTGAATATAAAAGTTTATAAGAAATTCATTAAAACTCACTACAACCAATAAGTGAGTTCAGCAACATCACAAGATACAAAACCAATATACAAAGTTCAATCGTACTTTTATGTACTAACAATGATCAACCTGAAAATAAAATTAAGAAAACAATTCCATTTGTGTATGTATGAAAAGGAAAAAAAATATTTAGGAGTAGATTTAATCAATTGCAATTTTACAGTAAAAAGAAAAACTGTTAAATAACTTTTAAAAACTGAAAAAAATAGGCATCAAGGTTTATTTAGTTAATATTATTCCATTATTCAGTGTATCCATTTAAACTCCATACAATAAAATAAAGTATATTTTAGCATTATTTTTAGTGTAATAAATACAGGTTGGTAGAAAACTCATAAATATAAAAGGAACTAATACTACATGTGCAGAGTAGCCCATTCTAGTTTTTCTATTTTACATCTACTGTAAATCAAACAGATTTTCTTCCATATTTTATAGTGGATCTTAATATAAAATCCAAATTGTTAAATATGTGAGATTGATTATAAGCTTGCCAAGGAGGTTTTTACTCAGTGTGGGAATTTGGAGAGCATAAAGCTGCAAAGACAGAAGCAAATGTTTTTGAATGAATTATGAGGGACAATACTCACAGGAGTGATTCCCACTTTTATCAGTTGACTCATGTGATCTTACTTTAGGAGAAACTGACTCTCATTTTAGACATTGGTTCATCACAGATGCTAAATGAACCAGCACCAAGTTTATATCCAGGAGAACTGCTCACTGTAGAGGATTTTGTCTCCTAGCTGATGACATGTTCTGTCTTTCATAGGCTACTCCAAAACTTTTATAATGATGGTAGAGTTCTGTAAAGTGGAGCCTCAGGCCTGCTATCCCCATGCTCCTGGCCAGCAGCAGCATCTCCCCTGAGCATGGTGACATAGGGCATGCCATTGACACCCAATTTGCTGGTGTTCACCTCCACATACTAAGTTGCTAGAGAATTTGCAGTGGATTTCCATTTTGCTGCATCTGGCTGTCCAGAAGCCCTGCAAGTAGAATGGGATGGTCAGGAGAAAACATTGAAAGAATAGATGGGAGTTCAGAGGCTGCCCACCCTCCTGCCCTCTGCCCACGGGCCACAGCCCTCACCCAGCTGTCCAGTGTGTATGTCTGCTAAAGGCTGCTGCACTTGTTCTCCATCACAGAGGTGGGGTGACAGCAGTCTGTGGGCACCACACTCCATGATCAGCCTCTACTGTTGGTGCCACAGCTCCAGGTAGAAAGGCAGGTGAGCCAAAGACAGGTCCCACCTTCCACATCCAGCCCACATTCCCACCAACTTCCAGGCCCACCTCCATATGCTGATGTGATGCTCTCCTTAGAGCTCTTGTGGTTCTTCAGCCAGGAGATGGAGAGAGTGGGGTTTCAAGAGTAAGGCAGTGAAAGTTGGTTTGGGTGGCCACCATGGTTGGTGGTTTCCTGTCCATCCACTCGGTCCAAGTCCAGTAAGGGGCCTCTGCTGGTGGAAGCACACATGAAGGCCATAGCTGGGGTGAGGAGCAGAGACTTATCTCACCAGACCCCCAATTCAAGGTTGCCGCTGCCCACCCACACCCTCTCTTTTCCCTCCTGTGTAGGGAGATTGTTGGCCTTTCAAACCCCTCTTCCTGGGCTGAATAAGGATTCCAGGAGCTTCAACATAATGTCCCCACCCAGTCATGCTCAGAGCTGGGCCATGTGTCCCCTCCCATTCCCTTCACTTCCCACAAGTGGCTGCTCCTGCTGAGAGGTTGGGGTGCTTCATCCTGGCCTAAAAACCTCAAAGAATAATGGAGTCTCCAAAGGAGCCCCCACCCACCCAGGGAGGCTGACAGGGAGGGTCCACCAGGAAGGGAGCCCAGCAGGTAGCCCAGCTAAGTGAATGAGCCAGGGTAGGCATTGGGAGCAGTTTACCAGGAGAAGAAACTCAGCCCCTTGCAGAGCGGGGAGCCTCAGAAGCAGCAGAGAAGCCTTGCCCCACAAGACTCTGAGTCCCTAAGCCACCCCCTGTAGAGCTCCAGGGCACTGGTGAGGATGGCCTCCTGGAGGCCTCAGCTCTTTTTTGTGCTAATGTCCAGGGCTGTCACCATTCCGCCCCCGCCCCCCTCACAGCTGAACTATTTTTCTTCTTTCTGGGGCTGGGGTGGGGCTGCCTTCCTGCCTGGATTCATGGGTAGGCTGGATTGCCTTACCCCCAGGAGAGAGGCACCAGGGGCCCAGAAAAGAGGAAGGAGGCAGCCCCTTCCCCACAGTGACCTCCTCGCAATTCACATGCAGCAACAGGCCCACCTCTCAGAGTAAGATGCTGAGGCACAGGTAGGAGCTGTGTAGAGAGACACTGGGAAGAGGCACCTCTCACAGCTCTGAGCTGACCTCCAGCCCTCCAGGGATGGGGGAAGGTAGACCCATTGGTGATGAAGACAGCTCAGTGAGCTGTGGCAGAGGAAGTTCCCAGGACTGGGAGACGACAGTGACTCAACGCTGCTCATTTCTAGACTGTGCTTTCTGAAAGTGGCCCTTCAGTTACCCCCACAGCTTGAGGCCACACAAGCCTGGGATGGCCAGTTAGGCAGACGCAAGCAGGGATTCAGGGGGAGTGCACTAGGGTGTGTGGGCAGGGGCAGAGGCCATTGAGGCAGGTGAGGAGAAATTTTCATCCTCTTCCTGGTCTGCCCCTCTCCTGGGGTCTAATTTCCTCTATTCCGTCTGCCTCTGGCTCCCTGGCTGGCTCCTCTTCACTCTCTTGCCTGCTCACCCCAGAGGTCCCAGGGGCTCAGCCCACCACAAATGGTCCCCAAGTTGTAGCTGACCCTTCCATGTCCATCCCATGAGGACCCTCATCTGCCTGAGTATATCTCTGGGCTCCTCTGAAACCAGAAGTCCCACCTCACTGACTGCTCCATGGCTAGGCAGCATCCACCTGCCACTGTTCCAGGCCAGAATGACTGGGCATTGTCCCCCTGCCTGCTCCCTCACACCTACAGCTCATGCCCCCAAAATGCTGTTGGCATCCTTCATACAACCCTCACAGCCACCCTGCCCCCTGCTGGGCTGTAGGTTTGGTCTCCTGGTGCCTTAACCCCTTTGTCCATCTGCCCCTGGGCAGCCACCTGAGCCCCTGAGCACTGCTGTGCTCACATGTGCAGTAGCCCCCTCACCCAGAGCCAGCATCGAAGTCTCCACAGGCCAATTCTGGCCTCATCACTGCTCCTGGAACCCCAGGGCCCTGTGCCCCAATCTCCCCATCTGCAGCATGGGTGTCTCTTCCTACCCCAAGCCTGCCCCCCAGAGCTCAAGACATCCAGAGCCATCTAATACATATGTAATACATACAAATTACATAACAATTTGTAATATGTTGTACTACATACACATTTTCATATGAATTCATCATAATACGTACAAATTATGATGTCATAATATATTGTGATGTGACAATACACATGAATTATCATGTCATAATACATTGTGATGTCATAACACATACTAATTATGATGTCATGATATATTGTGATGTTATAATGCATATGAATTATGGTGTCACAATACATATGAATTATGATGTCATGATACATTGTGACGTAATAAGAATTGTGACATCATAATATATCATGATGTCATATGCATGCAACTTATGATGTCATGATATACTGCAATGCCTTAATACAAACCAATTATGATACAGTAATATGTTGTGATGTCATAATATCATATTTATTTATCATATTTATCATATAACATTTTGTCAGATATTTTTATAAGAAAATTGAGTGAAATTTTGTAACATTAACATATAAAGAAGCTTACAATCATGATGAAAGATGAAAGAGGAGCAGGCATCTCACGTGGTAGGAGTGGGAACAGGAAAGATGGGGGAGAGATACGCCTCACTTTTAAACCACCAGATCTTGTGTGTACTCACTGTGACAATGACAGCACAGAGCCATGAGAAATCCATCTCTATAATTCATCCACCTCTCACCAGGCCCCACCTGTAACATCAGGGATTAAAATTCAATATGAGATTTGGAGGGGAAATCTAAACTATATCATATGACGATTAGAAAAACAGATGAGGTCCTTCACGTCTCTTTGAAGCAATTGTGAATGGGAGTTCACTCATGATTTGGCTCTCTGTCTGTTATTGGTGCATAAGAATGCTTGTGATTTTTGTACATTGATTTTGTATCCTGAGACTTTGCTGAAGTTGCTTATCAGCTTAAGGAGATTTTGGGCTGAGACAGTGGGGTTTTCTAGATATACAATCATGTCATCTGCAAACAGGGACAATTTTACTTCCTCTTTTCCTAATTGAATACCCTTTATTTCCTTCTCCTGCCTAATTGCCCTGGCCAGAACTTCCAACACTAGGTTGAATAGGAGTGGTGAGAGAGGGCATCCCTGTCTTGTGCCCGTTTTCAAAGGGAATGCTTCCAGTTTTTGCCCATTCAGTATGATATTGGCTGTGGGTTTGTCATAGATAGCTCTTATTATTTTGAGATACGTCCCATCAATACCTAATTTATTGAGAGTTTTTAGCATGAAGGGTTGTTGAATTTTGTCAAAGGCCTTTTCTGCATCTATTGAGATAATGATGTGGTTTTTGTCTTTGGTTCTGTTTATATGCTGGATTACATTTATTGATTTGCGTATATTGAACCAGCCTTGCATCCCAGGGATGAAGCCCACTTGATCATGGTGGATAAGCTTCTTGATGTGCTGCTGGATTCGGTTTGCCAGTATTTTATTGAGGATTTTTGCATCAATGTTCATCAAGGATATTGGTCTAAAATTCTCTTTTTTTGTTGTGTCTCTGCCCAGTTTTGGTATCAGGATGATGCTGGCCTCATAAAATGAGTTAGGGAGGATTCCTTCTTTTTCTATTGATTGGAATAGTTTCAGAAGGAATGGTACCAATTCCTCCTTCTACCTCTGGTAGAATTCGGCTGTGAATCCATCTGGTCCCGGACTCTTTTTGGTTGGTAAGCTATTGATTATTGCCGCAATTTCAGAGCCTGTTATTGGTCTATTCAGAGATTCAACTTCTTCCTGGTTTAGTCTTGGGAGGGTGTATGTGTCGAGGAATTTATCCATTTCTTTTAGATTTTCTAGTTTATTTGCGTAGAGGTGTTTGTAATATTCTCTGATGGTAGTTTGTATTTCTGTGGGATCAGTGGTGATGTCCCCTTTATCATTTTTTATTGCGTCTATTTGATTCTTCTCTCTTTTCCTCCTTATTAGTCTTGCTAGTGGTCTATCAATTTTGTTGATCCTTTCAAAAAACCAGCTCCTGGATTCGTTAATTTTTTGAAGGGTTTTTTGTGTCTCTATTTCCTTCAGTTCTGCTCTGATTTTAGTTATTTCTTGCCTTCTGCTAGCTTTTGAATGTGTTTGCTCTTGCTTTTCTAGTTCTTTTAATTGTGATGTTAGGGTGTCAATTTTAGATCTTTCCTGCTTTCTCTTGTGGGCATTTAGTGCTATAAATTTCCCTCTACACACTGCTTTGACTGTGTCCCAGAGATTCTGGTATGTTGTGTCTTTGTTCTCGTTGGTTTCAAAGAACATCTTTATTTCTGCCTTCATTTCGTTTTGTACCCAGTAGTCATTCAGGAGCAGCTTGTTCAGTTTCCATGTAGTTAAGTGGTTTTGAGTGAGTTTCTTAATCCTGAGTTCAAGTTTGATTGCACTGTGGTCTGAGAGACAGTTTGTTATAATTTCTGTTCTTTTACATTTGCTGAGGAGAGCTTTACTTCCAACTATGTGGTCAATTTTGGAATAGGTGTGGTGTGGTGCTGAAAAAAATGTATATTCTGTTGATTTGGGGTGGAGAGTTCTGTAGATGTCTATTAGGTCTGCTTGGTGCAGAGCTGAGTTCAATTCCTGGGTATCCTTGTTAACTTTCTGTCTCGTTGATCTGTCTAATGTTGACAGTGGGGTGTTAAAGTCTCCTATTATTATTGTGTGGGAGTCTAAGTCTCTTTGTAGGTCACTCAGGACTTGCTTTATGAATCTGGGTGCTCCTGTATTGGGTGCATATATATTTAGGATAGTTAGCTCTTCTTGTTGAATTGATCCCTTTACCATTATGTAATGGCCTTCTTTGTCTCTTTTGATCTTTGTTGGTTTAAAGTCTGTTTTATCAGAGACCAGGGTTGCAACCCCTGCCTTTTTTTTGTTTTCCATTTGCTTGGTAGAACTTCCTCCATCCTTTTATTTTGAGCCTATGTGTGTCTCTGCACGTGAGATGGGTTTCCTGAATACAGCACACTGATGGGTCTTGACTCTTTATCCAATTTGCCAGTCTGTGTCTTTTAAGTGGAGCATTTAGTCCATTTACATTTAAAGTTAATATTGTTATGTGTGAATTTGATCCTGTCATTTTGATGTTAGCTGTTTATTTTGCTCGTTAGTTGATGCAGTTTCTTCCTAGCCTCGATGGTCTTTACAATTTGGCGTGATTTGGCAGCGGCTGGTACCAGTTATTCCTTTCCATGTTTAGCGCTTCCTTCAGGAGCTCTTTTAGGGCAGGCCTGGTGGTGACAAAATCTCTCAGAATTTGCTTGTCTGTAAAGTATTTTATTTCTCCTTCACTTATGAAGCTTAGTTTGGCTGGATATGAAATTCTGGGTTGAAAATTCTTTTCTTTAATAATGTTGAATATTGGCCCCCACTCTCTTCTGGCTTGTAGAGTTTCTGCCAAGAGATCCGCTGTTAGTGTGATGGGCTTCCCTTTGTGGGTAACCCGACCTTTCTCTCTGGCTGCCCTTAACATTTTTTCCTTCATTTCAACTTTGGTGAATCTGACAATTATGTGTCTTGGAGTTGCTCTTCTCGAGGAGTATCTTTGTGGCGTTCTCTGTATTTCCTGAATCTGAATGTTGGCCTGCCTTGCTAGATTGGGGAAGTTCTCCTGGATAATATCCTGCAGAGTGTTTTCCAACTTGGTTCCATTCTCCCCGTCACTTTCAGGTACACCAATCAGAAGTAGATTTGGTCTTTTCACATAGTCCCATATTTCTTGGAGGCTTTGTTTGTTTCTTTTTATTCTTTTTTCTCTAAACTTCCCTTCTCGCTTCATTTCATTCATTTGATCTTCCATCACTGATGCCCTTTCTTCCAGTTGATCGTATCAGCTCCTGAGGCTTGTGCTTTCTTCACGTAGTTCTCGAGCCTTGGCTTTCAGCTCCATCAGCTCCTTTAAGCACTTCTCTGTATTGGTTATTCTAGTTATACATTCCTCTAAGTTTTTTTCAAAGTTTTCAACTTCTTTGTCTTTGGTTTGAATTTCCTCCTGTAGCTCGGAGTAAGTAGTTTGATCATCTGAAGCCTTCTTCTCTCAACTCATCAAAGTCAGGAACACTTTTACACTGTTGGTGGGACTGTAAACTAGTTCAACCATTGTGGAAGTCAGTGTGGCAATTCCTCAGGGATCTAGAACTAGAAATATCATTTGACCCAGCCATCCCATTACTGGGTATATACCCAAAGGACTATAAATCATGCTGCTATAAAGACACATGCACACGTATGTTTATTGCGGCACTATTCACAACAGCAAAGACTTGGAACCAACCCAAATGTCCACCAGTGATAGACTGGATTAAGAAAATGTGGCACATATACACCATGGAATACTATGCAGCCATAAAAAATGATGAGTTCATGTCCTTTGTAGGGACATGGATGAAATTGGAAATAATCATTCTCGGTAAACTATTGCAAGAACAAAAAACCAAACACCGTATATTCTCACTCATAGGTGGGAATTGAACAATGAGAACACATGGACACAGGAAGGGGAACATCACACTCTGGGGACTGTTGTGGGGTGGGGGGAGGAGGGAGGGATAGCATTAGGAGATATACCTAATGCTAAATGATGAGTTAATGGGTGCAGCACACCAGCATGGCACATGTATACATATGTAACTAACCTGCACATTGTGCACATGTACCCTAAAACTTAAAGTATAATAATAATAAAAAAAAGAAAGAAAAACAGATGAGGCTGGGTGCAGTGGCTCACGCCTGTAAACTCAGCACCTTAGTAATCCGAGGTGGGCAGATCACAAGGTCAGGAGATTGAAGCCATCCAGTCTAACACGGTGAAACCACCCCCATCTCTACTAAAAATACAAAAAAATTAACTGGGTGTGGTGGCACTCAGCAGTAGTCCCAGCTACTTGGGAGGCTGAGGCAGGAGAATCGCTTAAACCCTAGAGACAGGTATTGCAGTGAGCTGAGGTCATACCACTGCACTCCAGCCTGGGCAAACAGAGTGAGAATCCATCTCAAAAAAAAAAAAAAAAAAAGAAAAACAAAAAAAGAAAAGAAAAACAGATGAAATAGTAATGGTTTCTACAGATACTTTCATTACAAAGCATATGGATAAATGATTTAATTCAACATTCTGTGGTCAGAAGAGAGAAGGGAGGTGTAAAGGGGACTTTGACTGCATTTGTTATACTTCCCTTATGCTGTTGTTATGAGTTTTGATGTCACCACCTGAAGGGGTATTCATGGACGGAAGAATTATTGCTATTGTTGTGATTATTCCTTTTTCTTTTGTATTAGTAAAATAAATCTTTTAGCTTCTCATATAATTTTCTTTAAAAGCCCTAAGAGTTTCGGTTAAATTCTTCGTTATTGTGTGTTATAAAAATTGACAGGGAAATGGCTAAAATAGGTTAAAATTACACAAACTCTAGGAGTCCAGTTTCTGTTAGACAGGCTTAGGAGAGACAGAACTGGAAACACTCCACCATCATAGACATCAGACACATGGGGCTCACTTTCTGTCCCAGCCCTGCCCAGATCCACCCTCTTCTAAGGCCTTATCCAGGCCTGGCCTCACCCTAGAATCTCCTCTCACAGAAGGAGATCAAAATTAAAGGAGATCAAAAATTTGAGTGGTGGCTCCTCCTGCCTCTCCTTAGCTGATGCCCACAATTTCCTGAAAATAAAAAGCAGATAAATGGGAGCAAATGATTATCTATTTGTGGGTCACAATTTCTTTTTCATTGAAGCCAGTGCTTGTAGAGACATCCCACCTAGCAAACTGTTTTTCTGCCGATCCGGTAGATGCTCTACAAAGCACAAGAAAGTCAATATAAATACCAAAAATCCCTCTGAACAGTTCACCCTTTCTGTATCCCTTCCATCTGTCTATATAGATTTTATTCTACACATTTTCTTTTTAAGGTAAGTAATTTTAAAAATGAAAGAAAAATAGAAATGCTGGGCCCTTCATTTAAAGCCTAGGAATTACAGAACACTTAGCAGCCAACTACCAGGGTTGAGGATTCACTCACATCAGGTGATGTTTGCAGCACAGTGCTGTGTAACAGACTTCTGAACACATAGTACACACTCAGTAAACATTGTATTAACTCATGGATACATGTTTTTCAAATGCAGACTTACTCAACCATTGATGCCTTCTCTAGGCTCTATAACCTTTAAAGAGCCAGCAGAGAATAACATGTTTGTATATAGTGATTGGTGGTTTCCACTTTGGGCCAAAAGGGTTTGTGTTGTGGTAAGAGTGTTGGGTGTCAGGAACTCTCTGTGCTGTTCCTACTTTCTCTGAGTGCTACTACAGTGGATATAGTGGGAGAATCAACAGTCTCCCCTTAAGGGGAGACTTTAAGAAGCCAATTCATGGACCCCTTCCAAACTTGCAGAATCACATTACTAAGACAGAGGCCTGGAATCAGAAATGATTTATATGTACATTGAAACTTGAGAGGCAATTCTTTGCTAAGTGGCTCTCAGCCTAGGTGTCCAATCATAATCACATGACCACTTTAAAGAAATACCATCACCTGTGCTCTCCCCACAGGTTCTGTCTGTTGAGCTTGGTGGGCTCATACATATAGTTTTAATTAGGAAGTCAAATTGTCCCTCTTTGTTGATTACATAATATTATATCTAGAAAAATCTAAAGACCACCAAAAACTTTTAGATTTGATAAATAAATTTAATAATGTTTCAGGATACAAAAATCAATGTAGAAAAAGTAGTAGCATTTTCATACACTAATAATGATCAAGCTGAGAACCAAATTAAAAGGTCAGTTTTTTTTACAATAGCTACAAAAAAGTAAAACACATAGAAATATAATTACTTAAGTAGGTGAAAGATCTCTACAAGGAAAACTACAAAACTCTGATGAAATAAATTGTATATGACACAAACAAATGAGAAAAACATCACATGTTCATTGATTGGAAGAAGTATTATCATTAAAATGACCATACTGCCCCAACAGTCTACATATTAAGTGTAATTCCTACAAAAATTCTAATGTTAGTTTTTATAGAATTAGAAAAAAATTATATTTATATGGAACCATAGAAAAGCCTCAATAGCCAAAGCAAATTTGATCAAAGACAACGAAGTTGGACATATTACATTACGTGACTTAAAATTATTCTAGAAGGCTTTAATAACCAAAACAGCATGGTAATGATGTAAACAGATGCACAGATCAATGGAGCAGTATAGAGAACCTAGAAATAAAGCCATATACCTACACACAACTGATCTTTTCCAAAGTCAACAAAAACACACACAGAAAAATGACATTTTATTCAACATATTGTGCTGGAAAAATTACGTTACTATATGCAGAAGTATGAAATGGAACCCCTAACTCTCACCATATACAAAAATCAACTCAATATGGATTAAAAGGCTAAAATGTAAGACCTGAAAAGATAAAAATTCTAGAAGAAACCCTATGATAAACTATTCTGGACATTGGCCTAGACAAATAATTCATGACTAAGATCTCAAAAGTAGATGCAACAATAACAAAAATAGACAAATGGAACTTAATTAAACTGAAAAGCTCCTGAAAAGAAGCTTTTATTTAATAGGTGAGCAGACAAGCTATGGAATACAAAAAAAATGTTTGCCAACTATGCATGTGACAAAGAACTAATGTCTAGAATATATAAAGAAATCAAACATCTCAACAAGAATAAAACAAGAAACTTCATTAAAAAGCAGGCACATAACGGGAAAAGATATTTTTCAAAAGAAGACAATGATGGCCAATAAGCATGTAAAAAATGCTCAACATTGCCAATGATCAGAGAAATGCCAATTAAAAACGACAGTGAAATACCATTTTACACCATTCATAATGGCTAATTATTAAAAAGCAGAAAAATGATAGATATTGGTAAGGATACCGAGAAAAGAGAATACTTATACATTGTTTGTGGGAATGTAACTTTCTACAGCCTCTATGGGAAACAGTATGGAGATTTCTCAAAAAACTAAAAAATAGAACTTCCATTTGATCCAGCTATCCCACTACTGCGTATCTACCCAAAGGAAAATAATTCACTACATAAAGAAGATACCCACACTCATATGTTTATTGCAGGATTATTCACAATAGCAAAGATATGGAGTCAATTTAAATTTATCTATCAATGATTGAATAAACAAAATTTGCTATACATTTATACCATGGAAAACTACTCAGACATAAAGAATAAAATTATGTCTTTTGCAGCACCATGAATGGAACTGGAGGCCATTATTGTAGGTGAAATAACTCAGAAACAGAAAATCAAATACTGCATTTTCTTACCTATATATGGAAGCTCAATAATGCATACACTTGGATATAGAGACTGGAAAAATAGACACTGGAGACTCAGAAAGATAGGAGGTTGGTAGAGGGGTTAGAAATGAGAAAAACACCTAACTGGGACATGAGCACCGTTCAGGTGATTGTTACACCGAAAGCACATACTTCATCACTCTGCAATATGTCCCTGTCATGAAACTTCATTTGTACTAACATATTAATAAAGAGAAAAAAACTGACTTTTATCAAGAGAGCAGAATGAATAGACCTTCTACTTTTCATAAATACTTAGGCAGAAAAATAATTTTAATAAAAATAAATAAAAAATGTATATTATATATATTTTACATAATTTATATATTGTAAATATATATCAATATTTTTATATATCAATATTTGTATATATAAAATATATATCAATATTTTATATATATAAATATATATCAATATTTTATATATATAAATATATATTATATATTATATATATAATATATTATATAAAATATATATAATATAAAATATATTATATATTATATATATTTATATATATAAAATATATATATATGGGGTCAGGGTCTCACTCTGTCACCCAGGCTGGAGTGCAGTGGCATGATTTCAGCTCACTGGAAACTCTGCCTCCCGGGTTAAAGTGATTCTCCGCCTGCCTCAGCCTCCCGAGTAGCTGGGATTACAGGCGCCCCCCACCATACCCAGCTAATTTTTGTGTTTATAGTAAAGACAGTGTTTCACCATGTTGGCCAGGCTGGTCTTAAACTCCTGACCTCAGGTGATCCATCTGACTCAGCCTCCCAAAGTCCTGGGATTACAGGCATGAGCCATCACACCTGGCCAATAATATTGCAATATAAGAATGGTATAAAAAGACACTTTGATGAGTTAGAGTAGTTCTTAGCGCAGACAATATGCAAGATTCTAAGCCATTAGACATTTGTAGACAGAATATCTAACAGTGTAAAATAAATAACACGAAGATTCATTGGCAATGAGAAATTGACTTTTTTCAATCATATTAGATGACATTAAAACCATTATAAAATTTACTGTTTTGTACATAATAAAGGATCATAATGTTAAACAACTTCATTAAAAGTTTGACAAATTAGGCATATAAATAGGCAGCATGTTGACCAGTAAACAGAAAATACACTTTTCAAAGACCAAACAAAATTATTTTTATTTATTTATTCATTTATTTATTTATTATTGGTGGATGAGCAGCTTTATTAGCTGGGGATATAGTGGGGTCCTCTCCCTGGGAGGTGGGGTCTTTCACTGGTCACTCCCGGCAGTGGTCCAGGAGGCGCCAGGCAGTTCAGTGCTGGGCTTAGCTGGGGGCTGAGCCTTGAAGAAGGCGAACCGTGCAGGGAAGTAGTAGCTGTGGGGTCTCACCTCCCGCTCCGCCCTGCTGCACTGGGTCTCCTGGTGCTCCTCAGGGTCCCGCCGAGCCTGAGTCTCTATAGGACAGTGGCCCATCCGGCCCGAAACCTTCTCCTCAGAGCCCAGTTTGACGCAGGCCAGGCATTTCCACTTCCTTCCCTTGGGATGGACTTCGCACTCGTGTTTCTTCCAGTCCTTCCGCCGGCCGCTTGTCTGCCTGAGCTTAAATTCCAGTTTCACAAATGTTCCAGCTGGGAAGGACGTATCCACCGCGCCGTCCACACCGTTCTCCCGGAAGGCCCATGCCGGGGAGGGTGCATTCCTCCAGGGCTACCTGCAGGCCCCGGCGCTGGGCCCCGGAGCTCGGACCCGCCTGCCTCCCCAGCGCCCCCCGCGCCCACCCACGGGGCCAGCAGCATCCGCAGCCGTGGCTTGCTTCTGCGGTCTCTCACTCTGGCCCTGCGAAGCTCCTGTGCACCGCTCAGCTCTCTGAGCCCGCTGGGAGGTGCCTCCTCCCCTGCTCTTCCCCTGGGTGGCTATGCCCACAGAACTCTGGGCAGAGGTCAAAGAGCCAGGAAATGTCTCTTTCTCCAAATTGACTTTGGTGTGCGCCTGGTTCTCTCCACTCCCTCCTGCCCTGTCCACACTGTTCCCTGGGGCCCGCAGGTTTAGCAAAGTTCCCTGCCCCCTGCCTGGGCCAGGAAGCAGTCCTGTTGCCCACTCCCACCCTTCAACCCTTTTATGGCCCATTCTCTCTCCCCACTGGGTCTCCCACACGACAACCCCTCCTCCCTACTGTCCCCGGAGCCCCTCTCTGGTTCTCGCGCTCAGCCTCTTCCCTGACTGCTTCTCCATCTCCATCCTGAATCTCCCAGCTCCAGTAGGGTGCCCCCCAATCCCAGGGCCCAGGCAAAACCAACAAAATTATTTAAAATGGGAATATTTGAATTCCACTGAATTCGTAAAAGCAGAAACCCATCTGGTTATATTTTAAAGAATTATGAATTAATAATAGCAACTATCAATTTAAAGTGTAACCAGGGTTAAGAATACCCACCATTTTAACAACAACAACAATGAAAGCGTGTTATAGCTAACAAACTAGTTCTGGAAAGTTGCAGGATACAATATTAACATGAAAATCAGTTGCATTTGTATACAGTAACAACAAAATATCTGAAAAAGGAATAAAGAAAACAATTCCATTTACAATATTATCAAATAGAATGAAATACTTAATTCATTAAATAGAATGAGTTTAACCAAGAAAATTAAAGATCTGCATACTGGGTCGGGCGCGGTGGCTCATCCGTGTAATCCCAGCACTTTGGGACACCAAGGCGGGCGGATCACGAGGTCAGGAGTTCGAGACCAGGCTGTCCACATGGGGAAACCCCGTCTCTACTAAAAATAAAAAAAAAATTAGTCGGTGGTGGTGATCTCCTGTAATCTCAGCTACTCAGGAGGCTGAGGCAGGAGAATCACTTGAACCCAGGAGGCACAGGTTTCAGTGAGCCAAGATTGGGCCACTGCACTCCAGCCTGGATGACATAGTGAGATTCCATCTCAAAAAAAAAAAAAAAAAAAAAAAAATCTGCATACTGAACACTATGAAATGTTGATGAAAGAAGTAGAAGAATAGGCCAGTTGCGGTGGCTCACGCCTGTAATCCCAGCACTTTGGGAGGCCGAGGTGGGTGGATCACGAGGTCAGGAGATTGAGACCATCCTGGCTAAAACGATGAAACCCCGTCTCTACTAAAAATACAAAAAATTAGCCAGGCGTGGTGGCACGCGCCTGTAGTCCCAGCTACTCGGGAGGCTGAGGCAGGAGAACTGCGTGAACCTGGGAGGTGGAGCTTGCAGTGAGCTGAGATGGCGCCATTGCACTCCAGCCTGGGTGACCGAGCGAGACTCCGTCTAAAAAAAAAAAAAAAAAAAAAAAAAAAAAAAGAAGCAAGCAAGCAAGCAAGCAAGCAAGAAAGAAGTACAAGAATACGAAATGTGAAATATATCCTGTGTTCATGGATTCTAAAAATTAATATTGTTAAAATATCTATACTGGACAAAGTCATCAACAAAGTTAAAGAAATTTCTATCAAAATTTTAATGCCTTTAAAATAAGTGTAGAACAAACAATTCTAAAATTAGTATAGAGCCATGAAAGACCCCAAATAGGCAAATACTGTGAAGAACAGAAAGGCTGAATGCCTCAAACTTCCTGATTTCAAACTGTATTACAAAGCTATAGTCATTAAAGTAGTATAGAACTTACATAGGAACCACTGAAACAGAATAGAGGACCTAGAAATAAATTCACCCATATGCAGTCAACTGGTCCTACAGAACCAGGAAAAGATAGGGACATCAAGAAGTGGTTTAGAAAAAACTAGATATGCACACACAAAAAGTGAAACTTTCTTATATCATCACAAAAAATGAGTTTAAAATTAAAGGCTTAAACATAATAACTGAAATCACGAGTCGTCTTTAAAAAATAGGGAAAAAGCTCCTTCACCCCGGTCGTGGCAATGATGTTTTGGATTCTACACAAAGAACACAGGCAACAAAAGCAAAAATTTAAAAAATGGAACTATATCAAAGTTTCTGCATGATAAAAGAAAGAATCAAGAAAATATAAAGACAATATATGGGATGGGAGAAAATTTTCGTAAACCATATGTAGGATAATATGTTGCTATTCAAAATATACAGAATACTAATCAATATGAAAAAAGCATCCACAGGAGAACAAAACAAAAACCAATTCCCTGATTAATTGGGCAAAATATTCATTTTTCCAAAGACATACAAATGGCCAGCAGGTATATGAAAAGTTTCTCAACATCACTAATTATCAGTGTAATTAAAATCAAAATCAAAATGAGAAATCACCGTATCATGGTGTTAGGATAACTATTATCAAAGTGTCAAAAGAACAAAGTGTTAGGGTGCACAGAAAAGACAATATTTGCACACAGTTGCAGAGCATGTCCTTTGGTGCAGCCATTACAAAAAAAAAATCCAGTATGGAGTTTCCTTAAAATTTTTAAACTTGAAGAACCATTAATCCCAATTTGGAGAATATAGCCAATGGACATAAAATTTAAGTATAGCCGAGGGCGTTTGCATGCCTCTGATACAAATAGATGGATAAACTGTAAGACAGAGATAATTTCAGCTTTAATAAGGAATGAAATTGTTTTAGTTACAAAAATATTGATGAACCTTGAAGACATGATGCTAAGTGAGATCAGCAAAATACAGAAAGGCAAATATTGCATGATCTCATTTGTATGTAGATATATTAAAAAAAAGAAAGAAAGCGGGAGAAGGGTAGTTTGCATGGGCTAGGAAATGGGGAAAGGAGGAGATATATCCATTGAAGGGTGCATACCTTCAGTTATATAATGAAAAACTGCTGGGGACCTAATGTGCAGAATGGTGACTATAGTTAATAATAACGTGTAGTTGAAATCTGTTACTAAAGTAGACCTGAGGTGGTTTCACTACACACACTGAAATGTATAAAGTAACTATGTGAGGTGTTAGATAGGTTAACCAGCTTCACTGAGATAATTTAAAGACGTATACACATCTCAAAGCACTCTATTGTATACCCTAAATAAATACACTTTTCAATGTGTAAATGTGGAAAAAAATTAACAGTAGTCAGCAGGTCACATCTAGCCACATGTAAACTTTATTTAAAATTGTTGGCCACCCTTTCTGGCTCAACCCGGGAACAACCGGAGCACTTCTGGCCCCTTGACTTTGACGCTCCTCCCACTGTTCCTGTACTGGGGAAGATATGATAGTTCCCAGGGGTGGGTGGGCGCAGTGGCTCACGCCTGTAATCCCAGCATTTTGGGAGGCCAAGGTGGGCGGATCACTTGAGGTCAGAGGTTGAAGTCCAGCTAGACCAACATAGTGAAACCCTGTCTCTACTAAAAATAGAAAAATTAGCTGGGTCTGGTAGCCTGCGCCTGTAATCCCAGCTACTCAAGAGGCTGAGGCAGGAGAATTGCTTGAACCTGGGAGGCAGAGGTTGCAGTAAGCCGAGATCACGTCACTGCACTCCAGCCTGGGCAACAGAGTGAGACTCTGCCTTAAAAAAAATATATATATATATATATATATAAAATACATTATATATATTATATATTATATATATTATATAAATATATTATATATTATATATATAATATATATAAAATATATATTATATATAATATATATTATATATAATATATAATATATAACATATATATTATATGTTATATATATATGTATGTATGTATTTCCCAGGGTTTTTTCACATCCCAGACTGTGCAGATCAGGGAGGGCCATCAGCAGTCCCTTTACTAGTTGCCCACAGACCCGTTTGGCTCCAGGCAATGCATATCAGGGCATCCAGGTGGGAGCCACAGCAGCCAGCAGGGAGGAGGCTGCCTTTGGCTGCCTGCAGTCTGGTGGCCTCTGGCTCCGCAGGTGTCTGTAAGGCCCCAGCGCAGCCCCTCCTCACATTGCCTGTGAAGGCAATGTAACTGCAGAACATACTGAGGAGGAAATTGAGGAAAAAAATGTCCCCCATATATTAGAATAATTGTCATTAGATCGCTTATGCTGCAGACAGGGTCACTGTTTATCATTACTGCTGTGAAACCCGCTACAATTGGAAGAGAAAATGATCTAGGGCATACCCTTTGATTCCCATAAGTTGGTGTCAGTAGGTTTCATGCAGAAATTTATTTTGACCATGATTTACAAAGTTACGTCCTTCTAGATCAAGGCAGTCAAAATTGAACAACTGTTCATGGAAAATGAATTGTTCAGCTGAAAACTAAATGAGACCCTTATGTACGTGAGCATAGACATAAATTTAAAATTGGAGAGACTGTGTCACCCTTTCACATTCACCCTGGCAGTGATAGCTGTGATGGCTGTGAACCATGGCAGGTTAGAACTCACTTTTGCTTTGATAAGAAAGATGAATCTTTTGTTGGTCTACCACTAAGTAAAGAGGAAAATGAGTTGGAAATAAGTAAACAATTAAAGAAAATATGACTAAAATGGGGTTTACAGAATATAGATTATGAACATGAATAGACACTGAATAATCTAAAATATAAAGATAGAGCTGGAAATCATAGTGAGCAGATTGGAAGTGAAGGAACATTCTAGAGAGATGTTGCTCCTGCATCTGTTCATTCTGAAATTACTGACAGTAACAAATGTCAGAAGATGTTGGAGAAGATGGGTTGGAAAAAAGGAGACGGCCTGGGGAAGGATGGTGGGTAATGAAATCTCCGATTTAGCTTCAGCTTCAGTGAACATATGGAGGCTTGGGGACAGGCAATCCATCCTCAATTGAAGACGTTCAGCTTCTCTGAAACAAAAAACAACCTGGGACAAAGCGTGAGAGAGGTTTGCTGAAAATTTCCCAGAAACCAAACCTTAAAAAGATGACCTAGGTACCAGGCCTTGGATAAAAGGAACTGTACAGTGAAGGTTAATCATAGAAGAAAACTCAAGCTTTTCAAAAAATAGAGTTTGGAAACTCTTATTTTATTATATATTTGCAGTACTTTTCTCCCCAAAAGAGTCTGTGGCACAGAGGAACAGTGTCACAGTTTACCCCTTCTTGATTCAGAAATGTGTAATAAAGTTTGGTTTGCAAATTTTAAAAAACATTTTTTAAACTAATAAATATTGACTCAAGTTATTCAGTAAGTGGACTAAAGTTTACAGCTTAAAGATGAGTTTATCAAACTTCCTTATTTTATCTTGTCATTTATGACATCCATATAAGCAAAAAGCCACATAAGCAAAACTCATAACCACTAATGACTTAAATGTACATTTGTCTGTGTGTCCATGTATTCACAGTAAGGTGCACAGCAAAAGAAACAACAAAAGTTTATAAAAATAAATCTGACTACATGCATCATTGTTTATGCCCTTTAGAAACTAGATAAAAGAACCTCTTATACTTGAAATAGCCTAAATATTATTGAAGAACAAATGAACAGCTGATATATTGTAGAAAATTAGTCAGTGTTTTCTTTTTTGAAGAATCCGTTTATTAGTACTATATCTTCAGTATTTATATTGGTTTGTTTCATAGCTAATGTGATATTTAGATATGAACAACTGAGTACAGTGTTGAAATAGTGTGCTGGCATTTGTAGTTTTCATAAATATTATTGCAGGCAGTGGTGTTGTGCCACAGAAATCTGATTTCTAGTACATAAGGATTACTTAGCCAGGGCCTCATGTTTAAGATATTTAATGAAAATGTCTTCAACTGCAATAAAAACATTGTAACATTAAAAATACTCTTTTCAATAAATTCTAAATTAAAAAATTCAAATGATACCTTTTATGGAGTTAGGGAAGTGCTAATAAGGTAAAATGGCAACTGAAGCCAAAAAATGTAAATTCAGGTAAATACTTTTACCCTTATTAGTTGTATGTTAAAGGAAACAATAATAAACAATAATTCTGACCATATACTATTTACTGCAGTAAAGTATTTGAGAAATTTGTGCATAATACATAATTAATTTTCTAATGGTATAAAAGTAATCACATTCTACAAATTATTACAACACGGTCTATTGAAGACAGCGGCATTTCAAGTGAAGAATCTTAGAGTTTCTCACGAGGCAGTGATATATGCCATATGAAATCTAGGTAAAATATTTTACTCATGTATGCAACAGTTGATATTTCTGCTTTCCAGGAAAATAACATGCTTTAAAAACTTAATGCAGGTAACTAAAATCACCAAGAAGTTATAAGAACTCACACAATGACTAATATAGTTGAAAGAAAATTATGAAAACTTCTCAGGACCAGAAGTAAATAAAGGGTATAATCCAGAGAAGTATAGACCTAAGAGGCCAGTGCTCCATTCAGATGCATCTGATCACAAGGACATCAGATCCACATGGGTTGTTCAGCTTCTGACAAAGCAAATGGAATAAACAAAGAGAAACTGCCTGCAGGCATCCAGAGTGTGATGTCTCCTATATGTGAGAGCTAAACTATAAATTATGTTGCACACAAGGAGAAGAGCTATTAGAGTGAAGCATTAAATTATATGGCACATAAAACTCAGATATGAGGATTATAATTACATGTTTGCCAATATAATGAAAACACAAGAAACCGAAATAATGTGGAAAAAACTATGAGCTTGTCAAGTCATATTTGGAAAAGAGGCGAATGGAAAGTAAACTTGAAAATTTGGTAAAACAACTTAATGTACAGCATACAAATTACACATTGAAATAGACTGAGATGGTGAGAGGACTAGTAAACTGGAATGCTGAGCACAATTAATGTAGTAATATACTTTTTAGAAGGCAAATTAATACAAAATACAAATATATATGAAAATTAGATGAGAAGAAATGAAAAACATTTAATTGCTTTACTATACTATATAAACAGGAGGGCAATATTCAAAAAAATCAGTGACTCATAATTTTCAGAAATTGGAAACCAGGCATGAATCCTATAAAAGTTTAGAGTGTGATGTGTCAGAAAAGATAAATTAAGAAATACTTAAAATAAATAATGATTTTGGTTATTGTGAATACTGCTTCAATAAACATGGGAGTGCAATTATCTTTTGGACATACTGATTTTATTTCCTTTTGATATATACCCAGTGGTGAGATTGCTGGGTCATATATATGGTAGTTTTATTTATAACTTCTTGAAAAACCTCCATGCTGTTTTTCCTAATGGTGGTACCAATTTAAATTCTCACCAACAGTGTATAAGTGCCTATTTACAGATGAATGAAGAAAATGTTATACATACACACAGGCACACATACACACACAGGAATAATGCTCAGTCATAGAACAGAATGAACTTCTGTCATTTATGTGAACATGGATGAACCTAGAGGACATTATGTTAAGTGAAATAAGCCCATCACAGAGAGAAAAAGACCACATGATGTCACTCATATGCAAAATCTAAAAAAGCAGATCTAATAGAAGTAAAGAGTAGAATGGTGGTTACTAGAGGCTAGGGAGAGTGATGGGATGAAGGAATGGGGAGAGGTTTGTCAAAGTTACAAAGTTACAGTCAGGGAGAATAAATTCTGATGTTCTATTACACAGTAGGGTGACTATAGCTAATATAATGTACTATTTATTATAACACAGCTAGAAGAGAGGTTTTTGAATTTTAATAGCACAAATAAATTATAAATGTTTACACTGCTAGATATGCAAATTACCCTCATTGGGTCATTTTACAGTGTAAACATGCACTGAAACATCACACTGTAGCCCATAAATATGTACAATTATTATGTGTCAATTATACATAAAATAAATCTTAAAAAATAATAATGATCGAATTGCATAAAATCAAAACGAAGAAAAACTCTTAAAAGTAGTGAGATAGAAGACAGCTAACCTGTGAAGCTGAGGGAAAACACTTACCTCTGTATCAAGTCAGAAAACAGAAAAATTAATATCAGTAAAATATTAAAAGCTTCTGGACAGCACAGAAATCTATTAATAGAATGAAAAGACAACATATAAAATGAAAAAAAATATGTGCATCTGGCAGGGAGTTAATATCCAAAATATATATATGACTCAACTCAACAGCAATAAAAATCAAAAACCCAACTAAAGAGTGAGCAAAAAACCTGAATAGACATTTTTCCAAAGAAGACACAAAGAAATGCTCAACATCACGAATCATCTGGAAAATGCAATCCAAAACCACATGAAATAGTACCTCACCCCATTTAGAATGGCCATTATCAAGAAGACAAACGATAACAAGGTTTGGATGAGGATGTGGAGAAAAGGGAACACTTATACACTGTTGGTGTGAATGTAAATTTAGTACCTTTTTAGATTCATTTATTTATTGATAAGAAACCTGCATGGAAAACTATGCAGGTTTCTCCAAACAAAAAACAAAAACCTAAAAATAGAACTACCATATAATCCAGCAATTCCATTATTGAGTATATATCAAAAGGAAATAAAATTAGTATATTGAAGAGATAGCTGCTCTCTCATGTTTATCATAGCTCTATTGACAACAGCCAAGATATGGAATCAATCTTGTGTCCATCAGGGATAAATGGATAAAGCGAATATGGTGTATACACATAATGGAATACGATTTAACCATAGGAAAAAAAAAATCCGCCCTTTGGGAGGCCGAGGCGGGCAAATCAGGAGGTCAAGAGATCGAGACCATCTTGGTCAAAATGGTGAAACCCCTTTTCTACTAAAAATACAATTAGTTGGGCGTGGTGGCACGCGCCTGTAGTCCCAGCTACTCAGGAGACTGAGGCAGGAGAATCGCTTGAACCCGGGAGACGGAGGTTGCAGTGAGCCAAGATCGCGTCACTGCACTCCAGCCTGGCGACAGACGTTCCGTTTCAAAAGAAAAAAATAATATTAATAAAAAGAATAAAATCCGGCGCTGCGCGGTGACATCAGTCTCTGTCGTTAATGCCTCGCGCCGGCTACCGTCCTGCGCAGTCTCTTTCTGAGGACCCCCCCCCCCACTCTCCGCCTTCCAATAAGGAGTTCAGGTTTTGCGGTCGCCGTGGTTGCTGTTCCTGCTGCCACAGGTTGGAACTGGAGATGCCTCTTCCTTCTCTCAGGACAGAACCATGAGCCTAGCGGCAGCGCCGGTTCGCGAAGCTCCCCCTCCGCCAACGGGCGCCTCCTCAGAGCCGTCCGTGCCCGCCCTGCCGGGAGCTGACCCGCAGCGCAGTGCAGAGTTGCTCCTGTTGGCGGTGACCAGGGAGGGACTGGAGCGGCGGATCATCTCCAGGAAGCGGGCTGAGTAGGAACTGCAGCCGCCACATCCTCTCTTTACCCGGGGATGTGCAGGATTACCGTGAAATCATGACTCGTCATCCTGCGAATTACCAATGGGAAAATTGGAGTCTAGAAATTATTGCCTCCATTTTAGCCCACCGGTTCCCCAGTAGCTGTATTGGGGTGATGAAGTGCTCCGGAACAAATGCGCTGCCATGATAGTTTTCTGAAAAGTAACATGTTTGGTTTCCCAGAACACAATACAGACTCTGGAGCTTTTAAGCACCTTTATATGTTATTAGTTAATGCTTTTAAGTCAGAGTAGTTTATCAAAGGAAAATTTGAATGATTGGAATAAGGACTCCACAGCATCTAATTGTAGATGTCCAATTCTTCTCATACTACAAATCATTTCCAGGAAGGAAAAGATAGGACCTTTGAAAAATCTGATGGATCGGCCATGTGTTTTTATCCACCATCACTAAATGATGCATCTTTTCCTTTGACTGGATTCAATAAATGTGTTGTTTTGAATCAGTTTCTTTGAATTGAAAGAAGCCAAGAAAGACAAAAACATAGATGCTTTCATTAAAAGCATAAGTACAATGTATTGGCTGGATGGTGTTCATTCCGGAGGAAGGAATACTGGAGTTACTTATCCACAAGTCTTGAAAGAATTTGCACAAACAAGAATTATTGTTCACACCCATGGAACACTTTACCAAGTATGTGATCTAATGAGATCTTGCATTGGAAAGGAGCAAAATAAATTTTTTAGATACTTGGGGATATTGGTATGCTGGTGAGTAGCTGAATTCATTTCACGAAGGAAGCTCCCTACATAGAGAATCCCTTTCAGAATTCATGAAGTGTTTGAGACTACAAGTATATTAATGTACTTGTTCAGCGGAAGAGCATAAGCACTTTGAGTGTTATAAATTCAGATAATGGAATGTACTTCATAGATGTATTGTCAGTTTGGGGGTATGGAGGGAAGCACACATTCCTGAAAAATGAGTGTAATGTGCGATAGTATTTTTTTTTTTTTTTTTGAGGCTGAGTCTCGCTCTTGTTGCCCAGGCTGAAGTTCAATGGCACTGTCTCAGCTCACCGCAACCTCTGCCTCCCGGGTTCAAGTGATTCTCCTGCCTCAGCCTCCCAAGTAGCTGGGATTACAGGCATGTGTCCCCACGCCCGGCTAATTTTTTTTTTTTTTTTTTTTTTTTTTTTTTTTTTTTAAGTGGAGACGGTGTTTCTCCATGTTGGTCAGGCTGGTCTTGAACTCCCGACCTCAGGTGATCCGCCCACCTCGGCCTCCCAAAGTGCTGGGATTACAGGCGTGAGCCACCACGCCTGGCCTGCAATAGTATTTCTTGCTTTGGAATGTGAGCAATTTTTAATTTGGGTTGGGTTAGAATTAGTTAATTTGAAATCTAACAAGGTGGTTTATGATAATACCCAGGAAATGTAAGACCTTTAGAAATGAAAGTTACAACGTAGTTTTTGTAAAAGGTAACTAAAATTGTTTCTGTTGGAGATAGTTGATTTTCTGAGTAATGTTACTAATTTTGGTGACATTTTAACAGTAATTAGCTATTTTGGCATTTAAAACTTGAGTGGAAACAGTTTATTTCTCTTCAAACAAAAGCAAAGGCACAATGTTGTTTCTTGTCATTTTGGAATAACTACCCTGCCTCTTGTGTTTTGTAAACTCATTCACTCATTGTTTAATGTGCCATGAAGTACTTTTTTCTTGAGAGTCAAAATCTGTTTGTTCCCAGTGTCCAAAAATGTGCAATAGTGTAAAAGTGGTTTTTAAAAACATAGCCGGGTGTGGTGACATGTCCCTTTAGTCCCAACGGCTCGGGAGGCTAAGTCAGGAGGACCCTTTGAGCCCAGGCTGTAATGCACCATGATTGTGTTTGTGACTAGCTACTGCACTCCAGCCTAAGCAACATAATGAGGCCTCATCCCTAAAACAAAGAAAACAAAACAAATTACACTTGAGCACTATCGCTTAATTTTTAGTTGACAGTCTTTTGTTGATTGTTTTGGGTAAGACATTCTGGGGCTTCTTGAATATTGGCAAAAGACAGTTGTTTTGGAAAACTGTTTTTTAAATTAAGCATATTTACGTATTTTGGATAAATTGAGACAATTTTCAATGTTTTATTATATTAATGTTTTTGAAAGAGAACAACTTAGGTAAGATAAATGTATAATGTTGTATTTGTTCATGCTCTATGAAAAAGGAAACAGATTCCATATGTCTAAATCAATGTTTCTCCACAATCATAACTTTGTCTGAAAAAAAAATTGTCCTTGGCCAAAATGGAAAATTACATTGCTGTAAGAAAAATTACAAGGGGAAGTTTAAACATCATCCAGCCTGAGGCCAGATCCTCATATAAAACAGTCACAATTTCAACTCTGAACTGCATCCTTGTGTGAGATTTAGAATCTCACTAGTGGACTCTGTCCATGTATGAAGGTGACAATCTTAATTGTTGGCTACATGTGTTTATGAGATTCACAAGCTCACTGTTTGCTGGGCCCTGTTATGTAACTTTCTATACACCCCAAGGCTTTATAAAATACATGTGAGTGTCATAATCTTCTGTGACATTTTTATAATTAGTAGACCAAGGACTTTAGTTGTTGCCCTAAGCCTATTAGGGTCAAAATTTCTCCTATTGGCTGGGTCCATGTAAGAAAGCCATTATTATGACTATGCCTGGGCCTAGATATAGGTCACAGTTTCACCTGTGAGCAGAACCAGGGAGGAAAGTCACATCACCTGAATGCTGGGGCAGGGAAATGTCAATATCTCTCCATAGTCAGGAACCATACAGAAAAGTCATGTCACCTTTGTGTTAGGCTCAGTGATATGTCACAATGCCCAATGCAGGTAGAACGCAGTCAAAAGAGTCATATCACCTAGGTGCTGGGCCTAGCAATATGTCATAATCCCCCTTGTTCACAGGGCCCACTCATGAGAGGAGAGTCATGTCACCTAGATAATATGCTCAGATTTATGTTAGTGGAGGCAGAGTACAGGTGGGAATGTAGAGTCTCATCACCTAGGTGACGTGCTCAGAGACACATTACAATGGCTCTTAGGGGCAGGATGCAGGCAGCATAGTCAAATCACCTAGGTGTTTGGGTGAGGTATATGTCATGATCCCAACTGTTGGCAGGGTTCATGCAAGGGAGTAAAGTCAATCAGGTGATGAGAAAATATTATATGTCAAAGTCACACCTGCAGGAAAGTCCATGGATGATATTCACAGTCCCACATATTTTCTAGCTCAAGGTGTAAGAGACAACACCTTCTGGGAATTGTGTTAAAGTACACAAATCACAATCTCAATGGCAAACAGAATTCATGCATGAACACTTCAACCTCATCTGCAAACACTGTCTAATTAGGGCAGTCACTGCCTCACAGGTGTGCTGAGTTTTGGTATAAAAGTCACCATTTCTCCTGTGAACTGGCTCCATGTATGAAAGTCACATTACCAACTTTCAACTGATCTGGGTGTGTTATTCAGAACCTCAACAATGGGCTGTGCCCATATGGGAAGATGACATTCCTCACTGTATGTTGTGTGTACATAGGAGTGTCACAATGTCACCTGTGTGTTGGGCTTTTATAAGACACCCTCAGTGCCACTTAAGGGCTTCGTATGGTATGCATGACAAACCTGTTCTGAGACCTTCATCATGGTATAAACCCATGATCCTGCATGTTGCCCTAAGTTCAGGCATGAGAGTCCACACCAGTCCTATTTGCTGGGTCCAGGTATGAGAGTCATTAGTGTGCCTGGGAGCTGGGTCCAAAAACGAGGCACCATCCCATTTGTGGATGGATCCAGATATGACAGTCACAATTCCAACTGTGAACTGTTTCTGTGAGTGAGATCCAGGACCTCATGAGTGGATTATGTTCACATTTAATTCTAACTGTGGACTGTGTGTGCATACAAGGGTCACAATCAGAATTTTGAGCTGGGCCCTGTTTTAACACTCTCTGTACAATCTTAGGGCATCATACAATATGCATGACAGTTGTAGTTCTCTGAGACCTCTGTAAAAGTGGGAAGCCCAGGATCTTATCTGTTGCCATAAGCCTAGATACAAGAGTCAACATCTCTTCTATTAGTTGGAACCAGGCTTGAGAGACAGTGACATGCCTATGAGCTGGGTTCAGAAATGAGTCACCTTTCCAACCTGTTGCCAGATCCACATATGACAGTTCTAATTCTAACCGTGGACTGTTTGGATATGTGAGAATCGGAACCTCACCTGTGGGCTTTGTCCATGTGTGAGAGTGGCAATCCCAGTTGTCGGATACTGTGCCTGTACGAGACAAAATTTTACCTCTGTAATGAACTCTGATAAGACCCAAGTATTTATACAATATTCATGAGTGTCATAATCATCTGTAGTCTTTATACAATCAGGAGACCCAGAACCTTACTGATTTTTCTAAGCTTAACTATAAGAGTCAAAGTCTCTTCTTTTGTCTGGGCTGTCATATGACAGTCATCATTATTCCTGTGACTTGAGTGTAGGCCTACGTCACAATCCTACCTGTAGGCAGAAGCAGGCAGGAGAGTCACATCACCTGAGTACTGAACCAAGGATATATGTGTATCCCCTCTGTGAGTTGAGTTCTGGTAGGAAACTGACATCACTATGGTGCTGGGACCAGTGATGTGTCACAATGTCCCCTGTGAGCAGAACCCAGGCTGAAGGATTACATCACAGGAGTGCTGGACTCATCAATATGTCAAAATCCCCTCTGGGAATGGGGCCTGGTATATCACAATGCCACCTGTGAGAAGGGGCTAGGCAGGAGGGCCACAATACCAAGGTTATTGGCTTAGGTATATGTCACAATCCAAACTGTGGGCTTTATTCAGGCGGTATATTCAAATTAGTCAAGTTCTGGCTGGGCAAAAGTATACGTCACATTCACACCTGTGGGAAGGTCCAGGGATGGAATTTACATTCCTGCACATGTTCTGGGTCCAGCTATAAAAGCATGCACCTCGTAAACTTTTACACACCTCATGTATCCAATATGCAAAGTCATGATTTCAACAGTAAATTGGATCCAGGCATGAAAGCCTCAACCTCAGAAAACACACATTAAGAGAGTTAGAGCCTAATATATTTGCCGAATCTTGGTCAGAGACTCGTTATCTCACCTAAAGGCTGGATCCACATATAAGAGTAATAATACCAACTTTTGACTGCCTTTGGATATGAAATTCAGAACTTCAACAGTGGGCTGTGTCCATATGGAAGTGTGAAAATCTTTACTGTTGACAGTGTATGCAATGAGAGTCAAATCTTCAACACTGTACTGGGCCTTGTTATATTATTCTTTGCAGCATCTGCGGCTTTTAATAATATCTTTGAGACTTGCAATCCACTCTGAAGCCTTTGTGCTTATATAAACCCATGATCTTACCTGTTGCTCCAAGCCTAAGGATGAGATTCAACATCTCTTCTATTGACTGGCTCAGATATGAGAGTCATTACCATGCCTGTGAGATAGCTCCAGCAATGAGTCACCATTTTACCTGTGGCCAGATCCACATATGACAGTCAAAATTCAAACTGCAGACTGTGTGTATGAGTGAGATTCAGGACCTTAACAGTGGGCTTTGTCCACGTGTGAGACTGCAAATTTTAACTGTTGGCTGTGTGGCCAGATCCACATAAGACAGTCAAAATTCCAACTGCGGACTGTGTCTATGAGTTTCAGGACCTTAACAGTGGGCTTTGTCCATGTGTGAGACCGCAAATTTTAACTGTTGGCTGTGTGCTGGGCCCTGTAATGACAGTCTCTGTACCACCAAAGAGCGTTACAGAATATGCATAAGTTTTCTAATACTTTGTGATCTTTCCAAAAGTAGGAGATGAAGACCTGATACATTGCCATAAGCCCAGGGAGAAGATTCAACATCTTTTCTATTGGTTGTGTTTGTGTATGATAGTCATCATTATGCCTGTGAACTGGACCTAGATATATATGACAATACCACCTGTGGGCAGGGATCAGGAAGGAGAGCCACATCACCTAAATCCTTACGCAGAGATATGTCAGTATCCATTTTGAGAGAAGAGCCCCAGTCACATCGCCTGGCTGTTGAGCCCACTGAAATGTCACAATGCCCTTTGTGGGCAGGGCCAAAATGAGAGAGTCAAATTGCCTGGGTATTGGGCCCAGCAATATGTCACAAATTACCCTATGGACAGAGCCCAGGAAAAAAAGAAGAGTCATATGACCTAGGGGATGGGCACAGAGATATGCCACAATGCCCTCTCAGGAGGGATTCAGGCAGGAGAGTTACATCACCTAGAAAATATGGCCCAGGTATATTTCACAATCCCAATTACAGGCATTGCTTAAACAGGAGAGCCACATCAGCTGGGTGCTTGGCCCATTGATTTGTCACACTCCCTTCTGTAGGGAGAGTCTAGGCAAAAAAAAAAAAGAACAGTAAAATCTACCAGGTGCTGTCCCCAGTAATACATTAAAATTCCCCAGGTAAGCAGGTCCAAGGCAAAAGAGGAGAGACGTATCACCTAGGAGATGGACCAAGGGATATGTCAAAATTTGAAATGGGGTGGGGCCCAGGCAGGAGAGAAGAGTCACGTCACCTAGCACATGGAACCAGTGATATGTCACAATGCCCTTTGTGGGCTGAGTCCAGGCCAGAGAGGAGAGTCACATCACCTAGCTGATTGGTGCATAAATATTTCAAAATCTCCTCTGAGAGAATAGCCCAGGCAAGAGAGTCATATCACCTATGTGCTTGGCCTAGGTATAGGTCATAATCCTGTGTTTAGACAGGACCAGCAGAAGTGTAAAAATAACCAGGTGCTGGTAAAGGGTATGCGTCAAAACCACACCTGCAGAAAGGTCCAGGGAATGAGATTCACAACACTGCATGTTTCCTGGCTCCAAATTTGAAAGTCAACACCTTTTTGAGTTCTGTCCAAGTACATGAGTCACAATGTCAACAGTGGACTGGATCTGTGCATGAGAGCCCCCATCTCATCTGAAAACAGTGTCCTAATAAAATAGACACAGCCTCACAGGGTGTTTAATCTTCATCCAAAAGTCACCATCCTACCTATGGTCCAGATCCATTTATGAGAGTCAGTTTCACCTTTCAGTTGCCTCCAGGTGTGAGATTTAGAAACTCAACAATGGGCTGTGAACATGTAGGTAGATGATAATCCTTACTGTTAGGTGAGTGTGCAGACAAGAGTCACAATTTCATCTGTGTGATGGACCCTGTTATGAAACTCTCTTTACCACTTGAGGGCGTTGTACAATAACTTGAGTTTTGTAGGGCTCTCTGACTTTTGTACAAGTAGGAAACCCAAGACATTACCTGTTGCCCTAAGCCTAGTTACTAGAGCAAACATCTATTTTGTAGGGAGTTGAAGGCCTGTGGATCATGACCAACTCAGCATTCCACTGGAGGCTATATGATCAAACAGCAAACTGTTTATCATGAATGCAGGATGTGGGCAAACTTGCGACTGCACCTGCCACCAGAAGGTTTGCTGGGGGCAATCACTCCCTGACGCCGTGCTCCTTGAGGTTATCTGTTGGAACATCTGGAGACTACTGTTCAGAGAATGCGGTCGTGCAGCCTGCACCAAGTCAAGCAGCTGACTGACAACCACCTCTTTCTCCCTATCTCCTTTACTCAATAAATACGAATGGAGCTAGAAGTACAGGGCCCTTGTTCACTAGAAGCAAGGAGCCCCCTGATCCCTTCTTTCAAATATACTCTTTTGTCTTTATTCCTGCGTTCGTCCTCCTTTGTTCAGTCCAACAGGGATTGGGGCCACATCACTACTTTATTGTCTGAGTTCAGGTATTACTGGGCCTGTGAGCTGGGTCCAGAAATGAGTCACCATGTCACCTGTGGCCAGATTTACATGTAACAGTCACAATTCCAACTGTGGACTTCATCTGCATGTGAGACTCAGGAGTTCACCAGTGGGTCTGTCCATATATGAGGATGACAATCCTAATTTTCAGTGGGGTGTGCTTATGAGAGTCACACTACTACCTGTGTACTGGTTTGTATTATGAAACTCTGTGTCACTCAAAGGCTTCATAATATATGTGTGTGTTAGAATATTCTATAATTTTTTTTACAAGTAAGAGACTCAGGACCTTCCTTTTTGCCCTAAATCTATCTATGTGAGTCAATATTTCTTCTATTTTGTGGTTCCACATCTGAGAGACATCATGATGCCTGGGCCTAGTAAAGTTCACAATCCTACCTGTGGGTGAACAGAAGCCAAGAGAGTCACATCACCTGGGTGATGGGCCAGAGATATGTCACAATCCCTTCTGTTGACATGTCCCAAAAAAGAAGTTACATCACCCAGGTGCTAGGCTCAGTGATATGTCACAATGCCCAGTGTAGGCAGGGTACAAGCAGGAGAGTCACATTACCTGGGTGCTTGGCCCAGTGGTATGTCACAATCCCTTATATAGGGAGGGCAGAGGTAGCAAAAGAGAGTCACATTACCTAGGTGCTGGACTCAGCTGTATGTCACTTTTGTTTTGGTTAGCAGGGTCTAGCAAACAGGAGAGTCATATCACACACTAGTGGGCTCAGTGATATGTCAAAATCCCCAAGGGAGGCAGGACATAGGCAGGAAATTAGAGTCACATCACTTTGGTGATGGGCCCAGAGACATGTCACAACGTATCCTGTGGGCAGAGCCCAGGCAGGAGAGTCACATCACCCAGGGGCTAGGACCAGGTATATTCCAGAATCTCAACTCCCAATTGTTTGTTAGGCTTCCACAAGAGAGTAAAATCAATCAATCAGGTGATGAGCAAAAGTATATGTTACTATCACACCTGCAGGAAAGTCAAGGAATGAGATTCATAATCCCACACACTACCAGGCTTCAGGTAGGAGAGTCACCACCTTCTGTGATTTGTGCCCAAGTGTGTGAGACGGAATCTCAATGGTGGACAAGATCCATAAATGACAGCCTCAACTCCACCTGTGAACAACGTCCTAGCAGGGCAGCCATATTCTCAATGTTGTGTTGAATCTTGGTTTGACAGTCACCATCCTACCTGTGGACCAGATCCACACATGAGAGTCACAATTTAACCTTTCACTTTCCTTCAGATGTGAAATTCAGAACCTCAGCAGTGGACTGTGTTTATGTGAGAGGGTGACAATCCTTACTGTTGGCTGGGTGTACATACAAGTGTAACAATCTCATCTGTGTGCTAGGCCCTGTTATTACACCCTTTGTACCACAGAAAGTTTAATAGAGTATTTGTGAGAGTTGCAATCTGCTCTGAGACTTTTGTGGTGGTATAATCCCATGATATTACCCTTTGCCTTAAGCCCAGGCACAAGAGTCAATATTTCTCCTATTGGCTGGGTTCAGGTATGAAAGTCATCATCTTGCCTGTAAGCTGGTTTCAGAAATGAGTCACCCTCTTATTTGTGGCTGAATCTATATATAATAGGCAAAATTCCAACTGTAGGCTGTGCCTACAGTAAGAATCAGGATCTCATCAGTGGGCTCTATTCATGTGTGAGGATGATAACCCTGTCAGCTGAGTGTGAGTAGGAGAGTAATAATCTCATCTCTTTGGGTTCTATTATGACACTCTCTGTACAACCCGAGCATTTCATGTGATATCTGTGAGTGTCATAATCTTCTGTAAACTTTGTACATGTAGGAGACCCTGTACTTACCCATTGTTTCAGGCTGAGCTACAAGAATAAAAATCTATCTTATTGTCTTGGCCCAGGTATGAGAGTCATTGCCTTACCTGTGTTTTGGGCCCAGATATGTGTTACAATTTGAGCTCTGGGCAGGACCCAGGAAGAAGAGTCACATCACCTAGGTGCTGAGTCCAGCAATATGTTAAGAACCTTTCCAGAGCAGGGCCACACCCCAGCAGGAATGTCACATCACCTAAGTCCTTGGCCACGGGACATGTAGCAATCCCATCTGTATGCATGCTAGGCTCACACATGAGAGTCAGATCACTCAGATGTTAGGCAAAGGTATGTGTCACAATCAAACCTTTGGGCAAATCCAAAAATGAGATTCACAATCCAGCACATGTCTCAGCTCCAGGTATGAAAGTCAACATCTCCTGCTAGTTGAGTTCAAATACATGAGTTACAATCTTAACAGTGGACTTGATTTGTGCATGAGAGCCCTAGTCACACCTACACAGTGTTTCTTGGTAGAAAAATCACAGCCTAACAGGTGTGCTTAATCCTGGTTTGTGGGTCACCATCCAACCTGTGGACTGCATTCACATATGAAAGTCACAGTTCTAAATTTTGACTGTCTCTAGTTTTGAGATTCAGAACATCAACAGTGGCCTGTGATCTTGTGGGAGATTGACAATCCTGTTAGCTGCCTATGCATATGAGGGTCACAATCACACCTGTGTGGTGGGCCCTGTTATGACATTCTCTGTACCACTGGAGGGCTTTATATAATGTGCATGAGAGTTGCAGTCAGCTCTGAGACTTTAATTCTGATATAGACCAATGATCTTACCTGATTCCCTATTTTAATGCACAGGAGTCAACATATTTGTTTTCTTTTTTCTTTTTCTTTTCTTTCTTTCTTTCTTTCTTTTTTTTTTTCATACAGAGTCTTGCTCTGTCACCCAGGCTAGAGTGCAGTGGGGTGATCACCGCTCACTGCAATCTCCGCCTCCCAGGTTCAAGCGATTCTCCTGCCTCAGCCTACCAAGTAGCTGGGATTCTGGGTACCCGCCACCGCATCTGGCTAATTTTTATTTTATTTTATTTTATTTCATATTTTATTTTATTTTATGTTATTTGTATTTTTGGGAGAGACGAGTTTTCACCATCTTAGCCAGGCTGGTCTCAAACTCCTGACCTCGTGATCCACCCGCCTCGGCCTCCCAAAGTGCTGGGGTTACAGGTGTGAGCCACCGTGCCTGGCCAGAGTCAACATTTTTTAACTGGCTAGGTCCAGGTATGAGAGTCATCACTGGGCCTGTAAACTGGATCCAAACATACCTGTGAGCAGTGACCAGGTAGGAGAGTCACATCACCTAGGTTCTGGGCCAGGAATATGTAACAATGCCCCCTGTGGAAAAAGTTCAGGTAGGAGAGTTACATAATCTTAGTGCTGAGATCAGCAATATGTGAAAATATCCCCTGAGGGTAGCAGGGCTCAGCCAAGAGTGTCACATCACCCAGGTGCTTGGTCCAGGCCTATGTCACAGTCCCTCCTGCCCGCAACACCTGGGCACAAGAAGAGTGTTACGACACCTGAGGGATGGGCCCAGAGATATGTCAGAGTGACTCTATGGGCAGGCCCCAGGCAGGAGGGTCACATCTCGTGGGTGCAGGACCCAGGGATATGTACAATCCTCACTGGGGGCAGGGCTCACGAAAAAGAGATGGGCCACATCACTACATGCTGGGCCTAGTTACATATTACAATCCCCTTTAAAGATAGCACCAAGGCAGAAGAGTTACCTCACCTAGGTTCTTGTGCCAGGTATATGTCACAATCCTATCTGTGGGATTAGCCCAGGCTAAAGAGGCAAATCACTCAGGTACTAGGAAAAGGTATAGGTCAAAATCACACCTGTGGGTGTGGACCAAAAGACATGTTACATCACCTGGGTGCCAAACCAGGGATATATCAAAAATTTTTTCTGTTGGCAGGGCCTACACAGAATAATATCACCTCAGTGCTGGGCTCAGTGATATGTCACAATTACCCTTGTAGGCTGGGTCTAGGTAGAAAGGAGAGTACATGACCTAGGTATTGAGTCCAGGGAAAGATCACGATTCTCCCTGTGGGCAGGGCCCAGTCAGGAGACTCACAGCACTTGGGTGCTGGGCTTAGAAATATGTCACAATGCCCTCTGTTGGCAGATACCAGACAGGAGAATCACACTACCTGAGTGTTGGGGCCAGTGATATGTCACAATTGCCCATGTCATCAGGGCCCAGGTCACATCACCTTGGTGCTGAGCCCATCAGTATGCCACAAGTCCCACTGCAAGCAGGACCCATGTAGAAAAGAAAAATAACATCACCTAGGTGCTGGGTTCAGTGTGATGTCACTATCCTTCTGAGAGCAGGGCCCAGGCATAGGAGGCATATCTCCTAGGTTCTTGGCCCAGGTATATGTCACAATTTTATTTGTGAACTGGGCCAGGTCTAGAGAGTCAAATCACTCATGTGTTGGACAAAGGTATATTTTACAATAACACTTGTGGAAAGGCCCAGTGATAAGATTCACCATCCCGCACATGTCTTGGCTCCAGGTACAAGAGTCACCATTGTGCTTGTGATTTGGTTCTGGGTATACAACACAATGCTACCTGTGGGCAGAGAGAGGGCAGGAAAGGCACATCACCTGGATGCTGGTCCAGGGACATGTCACAATCCCCCTTGTGGACAGGACCCTGGCAGAAGAGTCACATCATCTGGATGTGCTTGGTCCAGTGATATATCAATATCCCCTCTGCAGGCAAAGCTTAGGCAGGAGAGGAGACTCACTTCACCTTGGTGACTGGTCTAGATATATGTTGCAATGGCCTCCATGGGCAGAGCCATGGCAAGAGAATGACATCACCTTGGTGCCGGGCCCAGCAATGTGTCATGATCTCTCCAGGGAACAGGGACAAAGCAAGCAAGGAGAATCACATCACCTAGGTGCTGGGCTAAGTGATATGTTACAATGCTTCCTGTAGGAAGAATCCAGGCAGGAGAGTCACATTCCTGGGTGCAATACCCAGTTATGTGTCATAATGCACTCTAATTACAGGGCCAAGGCAGTAGAAGGAAGTCACATCACCTGTGTGATGGACCCAGAGAGAAGTCACAATGCCCTTTATAGGCAGGGCTCAGGCAGAAGACTCATATCACTTCAGTGTATGCTGGTGCCGGTGATATGTAAAAATTCCCTTGGTAGGCCGGTCCCCAGGAAGGAGTTTCACATTACTTAGGTGATTAGTCCAGGTATATGTCACAATTTTATCTGTGGGCTGGGCCTAGGAAGGAAAGTCAAATCACTCATATACCATAAAGGTATATGTCCCAATCAAACACTTGGGAATGTACAGAAATGAGTTTCACAGTCCCACACAAGTTCTGGCTTCAGGTATGAGCGGAAACTCCTCCTGGAGTTGGGTTCAAATACAGGAGATACAATCCCAACAATGGGCAAGGTCCGTGCATAAGAGCCCCAATCCCACCTGCAGATTGTGTTCAGTAGGGGAGTCACAGCCTCACAAGTCTGCTGAATCATGGTTCAAGAGTCATCAAGCCACCTGTGGACCAGATCCACATAAGAGAGTAACAATTCCAACTTACAACTGCTTATATGTGTGACATTAAGTACCTCATTAGTAGGCTCTGTTTGTGTGTGAGAAGAGAGATTGTGTCAGCTGGCTCTGGATATGAGAGTCACAGCCTCACCTATTAGTTGGGCCCGTTATAAAGCTTTCTGTATCACTCTAGGGCTTTATACAATAGGCCTGAAGTTCTAATCTTCTGTGAACTTTATAAAAGTGGAAGATCCAGGACATTATTTGTGGCCCGAAGCCTGGCTAGGACAGTCAAAATATCTCCTATTGTCTGTGTGTAGGTATGAGAGGCATCATTTTTCCTGTGAGCTGGGCCCAGGTATATGTCACAATTTCACCTTTGGGCTGGGACAAGACAGGAGTCATATCACTTGGGTGCTAGGCCCAGTGATATGTCACAGTGCCCACTGTAGGCAGGGCACAGGCAGGAGAATCACATCATCTGACTACTTGGTTCAGCAATATGTCATAAAATCTTCTGTAAGTAGGGCCCAAGCAGCAAGAAGAGTCATGTTACCTAGGTGCTGGGCCTACTGATATGTCACAATGCTCCCTGTTATCAGGATCCAGGCAAGAAAGAAGAGTCATTTTACACAGCTGATTGGCTCAGACATTTGTCACAATCTTCACTGTGGGCAGGCACAGGATGAAAAGGAGAGTCACATTACCTAGCTGATGGGCCTGGCCATATGTCACAATCTTTCTTGCAAGTAGGGCCCAGGTGGGAGCATCACATCACTATGTACTCAGCTCAAGTGTGTGTCACAATCCCAACTGTAGGCTGGGCCCAGGCAGGAAAGTAAACTTAATAACATGCTATGCAAAGGTATATGTCAAAACCACACCTGCAGGAAGATCCTGGAATAAAATTTCTAATCCTTCACATGTCCCAGCTGCAGGTATGAGAGTCAACAACTCCTGTGAGTTGAGCTGAATCTATGCATGCAATTTACAATCACAACAGTGGACAGGATCTGTGCATGGAAGCCTCAACTCCACCTAAACACAGAATCTTAGTAGGACAGTCAAAGCCTAACAGGAGTGCTGAAGTTTTGTCGAAGAGTTATTATTTTGCCTGTCAATCAAATCCATGTATCGGAATCACCATTCCAACTTCTGACTGCCACCAGGTGTGAGATTCAGAACTTCAGGAGTGGGCTGAGTCCATGTGTGGGGGTGACAGTCCTAGTTGTTGGCTGAGTGTGCTATGAGAGTCACAATCTCATGTGTGTGCTGGCCTGTTACAACAACTCTGTACCACCCAAGGGCTTTATAGGATATGCGTGAGTTCCCTAATTTTCTGTGACTTCTCTACAAGTAGGATACATGAAGCATACCTGTTGTTATAAGCCTAACTATAAGAGTAAAAGTCTCTCTTATTGGCTGGGTTCATGTATGACAGTTATCATTACGCCTGTGAGCTGAGCCTAAGTATATGTCACAATCCCAGTGGGCAGGAAGCAGGAAGGTGAGCCACATAGTCTTGGTTCTGGACCAGGGATATGTCACAATGCCCACTGTAGGCAGAACCCAGGGTGCTTGGCCCATTGATACGTCTCCATCTTTTCTGTCGGCAAGGACCAAGAAGGAAGAGAGATTCACAGTACCTATGTGCTTGGCCCAGCAATTTGTCACAATCCCCCTTGTAAGCAGGATCCAGGCAGGAGAAAAGAGTTCTATCACCTAGATAATGGGCCCAGGGATATGTCACAATCCCCACTTGGGGCACAACAAAATGAAATGAGGAGAGTCATATTACTCATGTGAAAGGCCCAAAAATGTGCTACAATTCTGCCTGTGTATATGTTCCAGGAAGTAGAGGTAAATTTCATTCCTGATTATCCAAGAGGTATGTCACAATCCCCCTTATGGGCAGTGCTCAAGAAAGACAGTCATACCACCTAAGTGTTTAGCCCAAGTATATGTCACAGTCCTAACTGTGGGCTGGGCCCAGGCAGAAGAGTAAAATCAATCTGGTGCCGTGTAATTATATATGTAACAAACATACCCTGTGGGCACTCCAGGGATGAGATTCACAATCCCATATACATCACAGCTCCAGGTTTGAGAATCCACACTTTCTGTGAGTTGGGTCCAAGTGTGTGATTCACAGTCTCAATGCTAGACTTGATTCATGCACGAGAGCTTCAACTCCACCTGTGAGCAGTGTCCTGGTATTGGAGGCACAGCCTCATAACTGTGCTGAATCTTGGTGAGAGAGTCACCATTCTACCTGTAGACAGGATCCACATGTGAGAGTCACAATTCCATCTTTTGACAATCTCCGGATGTGAGATTCAGAACCTCAAAATTAGGCTGTGTCCATGCGAGTGTGTGACATTTCTTACTGTTGGTTGGTTTTGCCTAAGAAATTAACAATCTCACTGGTGTGCTGGGCCTTGTTATGATACTCTGTAGAACCTAAAGGTTTTATAGGATATGTATGAGTGTCATAACTCTCTGTGACCTTTCTACAACTAGAAGACCTGGGACCACACTGGTTGCTCTAAGTCTAGCTATGAGAGTAAAAATCTTTCTTATTGGCTGGATCCATGTATAAGAATCATCACCATACCTGTGAGCTGAACATAAGCAAATGTCAAAATTTAATCTGTGGGCATGAACTAGGCAGGAAAGTCACATAAGTAAATGCTGGGCCAGTAATATGTCAATATGCCTCCTGTGTGCAGGGCCCTGGCAGGTAAGTCACATCACCTGAGTGCTGGGCTCAGCAATATGCTACAATGCCTGCTGAGGGCAGGGCCACGCAGAGTAGTCTTCTGAGTGTCATTGTTGGTTGAGTGTGCATAGAAGTGTGAGTTGGAGACCCAAGCCCACCAGTAACAGTCTCAACAGTGGTCTGAATCCATTCATGAGAACAACAATCCCACTTGTGATGCTGTACTGGTACAGGAGTTATGGCTTATGGGTGTGCTGAAAGCAGGTCTGAGACATCAAGTGGGTGCTAGGTCCAGCAATATGTCACAATCCACACTTTGTACAGGACCCAGGCAGGAGAGGAGAGTCACATCACCTAGGTGATGGGCTCATAGGTATGTCACAATGCCTCTTCTTGGCATTGCTTAGGCAGGAGAGGCATATCATTTGAGTGCAGTGTCCAGCAATATGTCACAATCCCACTTGGTGCAGGGCCCAGGAAAAAGAGGAGAGTCTCTTCACCTAGGTGATGGGCCTGTGGTATGTCACAACTCCCACTGTGTGCAGGGCATGAGGAGAAAGGAATACTTCCATCACCTAGGTGATGGACCCAGGGATATGTCAAAATCCTTTCTGAGGACTGGGCCTAGGCAAAAGAATCACATTACCTAGGACCTTGTCTCAGTTATATTTCACAGTCCTACTGGTGAGCTGTACTGAGGCAGGATAGTCAAATCAGGTGCTAGACAAAGGTATATGTAACAATCACACCTTCAGAAAGTCCAAGGATGAGATAATCCCACACATGTCCCAGCTCAAGGTATGAGAGTCAACACCTCCTGTGAGTTGGGCCCGAATACACCAGTAACAATCTCAACAGTGGCCCAAATTCATACATGAGAGCCACAATCCCACCAGAAACTGTGTCCATGTGCAGGAGTCATATGCTACAGGTGTGCTGAAACCTGGTCTGAGATTCTCCAAACTACCTGTGCACTGGATCTATGTATGAGAGTTAACATTTCAACTTTCTACTGCTACCTAGTGTGAGATACAGAACCACAACAGTGGTCTCTGGCCATGTTGGAGGGTGACAATTGTTACTGTCAATAACTTCCCTGTGGACAGTGCCCTGACAGCAAAATCAAATCACCTGTGTGCAGGCCTCAGCAGTATGTCACAGTTCTCTCTGTGGACAAGGCCAACGCAAAAGAGGAGGGTCAAATCACCTAGTTGATGGTCTGAGAAATATGTCACAATGCCTCGGTAAGCAGGTCCCAGGCAGGAGAGGCACATCACCTGGGTTCAGAACTCAGTGATATTTTAAATTCACAGGAGGGAAGAACCTAGGCAGGAGAGGAGAGTCACATCACCTAGGGGATTGGCCCAAAGAAATGTCACAATGTCCCCTGTTGGCTATCAATGGGGGAGAGAGAAGAGAATAGTCACATTACTCAGGACATTACCTGTTTCTCTAAGCCTGGCTCGGAGGGTCAAAATCTCTTTTATTGGCTGGGTTCACATGTGAGAGTCATCAGCATTCTTGTAAACTGTGACTAGTTACATGTTGCAATCCCACCTGTGGGCATGCACCAGGCAGTAGAGTCACATTACATGGGTGTCAGGTCTAGAATATATCACAATTTTCTCTGCAAGCAGGGCTTTTAAAGGAGAGTCACAACATCTGGATACTAGGCCCAGTGATATGTCACAATGCCCACTGTAGGCAAGGCCCAGGCAGTAAGGGAGAGTCACATTACCTGGGTGCTGGGCTCAGGGATACATCACAGTACCCAATAGTAGCAAGGCCCAGGCAGCAGAGGAGAGTCATATAACTAAGATGATGGACCAGTGATATATTGCAATCCCCACAGAAGGCAGGGCCAAGGCAGGAAATTAGTGTCACATCACCTAGGTGATGAGCCAATAGATATGTCACAATGCGCCCTGTGGGCAGGGCCCAGGCAGAGATACCACATGATCTAGTTTCTTGGCTCAGATAGATGTCACAATACCAACAATTCGTTGGGCCCAGGCAAGAGAGTAAAATCAATCAGGTGCTAGGCAGAATTATATATAACAAACCTGCAAAAAGATCCAGGAATGAGATTCACAAGCCTGCATATTCCCTGGCTCCAGGTATAAGAGTTAACATCTCCAGTGAGTTGCCCCCAAGTCCTCAGATTACAATCCCAGTGGTGAACAGGATCTGCGCATGAGAGCTCCACTGCTTTTGTGAACAGTGAGGCAGTAGTGTAGTCACAGCCTCACAGGTGTGCTGAATTTCGGTCTGAGATTCACTATCCTACCTTGGGTTCAGATTCACATATGAGAGTCACAATTCAAACTTTTGAATGCCTCCAGATATGAGTTTCAGAACCTCAACAGTGGGCTGAGCACATATGTGAGGGTGACTCTTCTAATTGTCAGCTGCATGTGCTTATGAGAATCACAATCTCATCTGTGTGTTGGGCCCTGTTATGACACTGTCTATGTCACTCAAGGGCTTTATACTGTATGCATACATGTCATAATCTTCTGTGACTTTTCCACAAGTAGGAGACCTAGGACCTTACCCAGTGCCCTAAGCCTATCTATGAGAGTCCAAATCTCTTCTCTTTGCTGAGTCCATGTATGAGAGTAATCATCATGCCTGTGAGCTGGGCTTAGGTATATGAACAATCTCACTTGTGGGCAGGGACCTGGCAAGAGAGTCACAGCACCTGGGCTTTGGGACAAGGATATGTTGATATCCATCTTTTCAGCAGGGCCCTGGCAGAAAGGTCACATAAACTGGGTGCTGGGCTTAATGATGTGTTGCAATGTCCCATGTGGGCAGTGCCCGGACAAAAGAGAATAGTCACATCACCTAAATGGTGGGCACAGAGATATGTTACAATGCCCTCTGTGGGAAGGGCTTTAGTAGGGGAGTCACATCATTTGGGTGCAAGGCCCAGCAATATGTAAAAATATTCACTGGAAGCAGCACCCAGGTAGGAGAGGAGAGTCATGTCCCCTAAGTTATGAGCTCATAGCTATATCACACATATTCCCCCTTTAAGCAGTGTCCAGGCAGTAGAGCATGGTCAAACCAACTAGGTAATGGGCCCAAACCTATGTCATAATCCACTCTGAGGGCAGAGCCAAGAAAAGATAGTGACATCACCAAGGTGTTTGGTCCAAGTATATTTCACAGTCTCATTTGTGGTCTGTACCCACGCAGGAAAATAAAATCATTCAGGTATTTGGCAAAAGTGTATGTAACAATCACACCTTTGAGGAGGTACGGGGTGAGATTCACAATCCTTCACATGCTCCAACACGAGGTATGGGGGTAAACCCCTGCTGTGGATTGGGCCCAACTGTGCAAGTCATAATCTCAATGGTGGACTGGATTCATGCATGGGAACCTCAAGCCCTCCTGTGGACTGTGTCTGGGTAGGTATAGTAGCTACCATTTACAAGATGCATAATAATGGTCAGATGCTGAACCCAGAGCTTTGCATGTATTATATCTCATTTAATCCTCACAACCACCTTTTTCCCAAAGGAGAACACTCAAGGCTCTGAGGGTAGGCTATTTACCTAAAACCACCAGGTTTAGAATTGGCAAGCAGGTCTTTAATTTTATTTATTTATTCAGAGGCAGAGTCTCCCTCTCTTGTCCAGGCTGGAGTGTAGTGGTGTGATCATAACTCACTGCAGCCTAGAAGTAGGCTCAAGTCTTCCTCCCACTTCAGCCTCCCAAATAGCTGAAAATACAGGACTGTGCCACCATGATGGGCTTTTTTTTTTTTTTTTTTTTTTTTTTTTTTTTTTTGCAGGGCAAGGGTCTCCTAATATTGCCCAGGCTGAATTTGAACTCCTGGGTCTAAGGGATCCTCCCATCTCAGCCTCCTAAAGTGCTCAGCCTTGCATGGGGAAGGCCAGAGATTCCTGTGGGCCATCCTCGTGGGTCAGTAGGGGGAGAGTGTGACCCTGAAGTAAGCTTTTCAGGAGAAGAGAGGATGGAATGTCATTCTTTTTTTGATACAGAGTCTTGCTTTGTCACCCAGACTGGAGTGCAGTGGAGCAACCATGGCTCACAGCAGTCTCGACCTCCCGAGCATAAGCGAACTTCCCACCCCAGCCTCCAGAGTAGCTGGGACTGCAGGCACACATCACCACATCTGACTAAGTTTTTACATTTTGTAGAGATGGGGGCTTCACTGTGTTACCCAGGCTGGTCTCAAACTCCTGGGATTAAGCAATCCTCCCGCCTTGGCCTCCCAGCGTTCTAGAATTATACGCGAGCGCCACCCCGCCCCGCTGGGGTGTTATCCTTTAGCGGCCAGCCAGAGGCCTCCCATGGCAGAGTGCTCCCTGGTGGGCTGGATAAAGGAGGGAGAAGTAGGAGCAGTGGAACAACAGGAGCTGGGCTTCAGATCACGTGACAAATACTTTGATGGAAGCAGACACGCGTCGGTTTATGCAACCTAAACACTCTTCTGAACCTGAGGAAGAATAGAGCCTCCCACAACCTGATGGAAAGAAGAGTTAGGGGGTTGCTGAGGAGTGTGGGGGATGAGGAAGAAGAAACTGAAGGGCTGGATGAGATCCACCCCTCCTCCTGGAGGCTGGAGAAGGGGTCCATGAACCCGGGATGTATTTGTACCTGTCAGCATGGAAAAATAACGTGGGGTTGCACACCTTCTTAGGATCCACGTTTCTCCCTGGTCTAGAGGCAGAGATAAGGGGATGGATCAGAAGAAGATGGAGGAAAAGGGTCCCAGGAGAAAGCTGCCTGGCTGGAGCTCCGTGAGGGAGGGGCAGAGGCGTGAAGGGGTTGAAGGAACTGCCCCTCCTGGGGGAAGGCGGGTCTCTGGAACAGTGAGAGCCAGAAGCGCGGAGGCGGCTGCTCTCAGTACGCGGGCTCCGCTGGGCGTCCCGACTGGCCTTCATTCCACCCCCGGATCTCCCAGACTGGGGTCTTCGGGGCCCACGAACCTTACTCCTATCCTCTTTTCCCCTCACAACCCTGTTCCTCATCCTACCCTTTCGACGTCCACCCTGTCGTCCCCCAAATCGCTTTCTTTGACCCCTGCAGACCCGGGCACCATCCCTCGCTTCCACCCGCTGCGGTTCGGGCCCCTCGCGCCTCCCTTTGTCCCTTTCAGTTTTTCGCGTGACCGACTCTCGGGGCCTCTCCTTTCTCAAACCCCTTGGCGCTGTCTAGCTCTCCCCATGGTCCTCTCTTCGGTTCGCACTTTGGTCCTTACTCTTCCCTTCCCTGGAAGAACCTCTCCTGTTTTTCTGGTTCTAGCCGCCTCCCCATTTCCGAGTCTCAGTCTCTGGCTTCCTAAGTCTTGCTCTTCCTCTGGGTCTCCCGCGCAGGGCTTCGCGGCCCCGCCCCTCTGCCCCTCCCATCTCGGCCCTCGCCCCTTCTCTGCCCCTCCCACCTCGGGTCCCCGCGGCTCCGCCCCCCTCTACCCTTCCCATCTGTGGTCCCGACCCTCTGCCCCTCCCACCTCGAGTCGTGCCCCTCTCTGCCCCTCCCACCACGGGGCGTCCGCAGCCCTGCCCTGGTGCCCTCTGAGCCACGCGGAGCCAGTGCTGCTGGCCGGAGAGCAAGGAGACAGGAGGAGCTGGGTTGGAGGCGGGTGGAGGCGGGGGTTCCTCACTTCAGACAGCTCAGCGCGGGGCCCGAGGCCCAGCCCCATGCCCACAGCTCCTCCAGACCCTGGGTGAGCCGGACCCCGGTGAGCGCGGGCCCCTTGCCTGCAGGCCCCAACCACTGGCAACATTGTGCTGCTGGCGCAGCCGAGCTGCCTGGCGCCCCCCACCTCCGCTCCCCACGCCAGCGTGCTGATGCTGCTGATAGTGGTAGTGCCCATCCCGGTGCTGTGGAGGGCAGGGGGCCCAGACAGACACCATGAGATGCAGGCCACCTGCAGCGTGGTGTACGACCCCTGCCTTGTGCAGGGCCCGGCGCCGGCGGGTGGCCAAATGCCTTGAGGGAGCAGAGCAGAGCGATGCGCAGTCACCCTCCACGCTGGTGCAGGGCCCCCAGAGGAAGCAGGGCTTTACCAACAAAATGATCCCCCGCCCCGGACCTCCTAGGGACCCGAGTCCTCCAGGCCCTTTGGGGCTGCTCTGAAAGAAGGGTGAGCCAGGCAAGCCGGGCCCTCGGTGTCTGCGGACGCGGGGACAGCGGCGCCATCAGCACGGCCACCTACATCACGGTGCCGTGCGTCGTCTTCTACCTCAGTTTCAATAAATCCCACACGAATGTTAGGATGTGCTGAAGTCTGACGGGCGCTGCGAGGGCAGCAATATGTGCGCAGACCTCTGCAAGATTAACCAGGTAGGCCAGTTGATGGAATGAGGATGACCCAGGGCTGGGCATCCATGGGTCCCGGGTGCAAAAGGGCACGCGATCAGAGTTCGCGGGGTTGCCAGGTGGACGCAGATGGAGAACCCACCCCACAGCGGCCCTAATGAGGCATCACTTACAGGAATGGTTAGAGCTAGTGGGTATCCCTGACTCATCGGTCCATGCGCACCAGTTCCAAGACAGAAGCTACTGGGCACCGGTGGCGTGAAAATGCAGGGAATAAATCCAGGTAGTCAGAGCACAGGGCTCCTAGCGCGGACTTTCCCCTGGGAAGATGATTCAGGCTCATACCAATGGGCGATAAGCAGATGGCAAGAATGAGGCAAGAGGTAGAAAGAAGCAGCCTTGGCGCCTGCGAGGGCCTCAGTGCGTGGTGATGTGCACAAGTGGAGAAGGCGGGCTGCAGGGAATTTTTAAGACACAAAGGCAAGGGGAGGCTGGAGCTCAGAGCCTTAGCTACAGTAAGTCCTCTGCCCTTGGGAAGAGACATGGGGCTGATGTGACACCCTTTGCAAAATCTGGAACTGGGGAGCTCCTTTCCACTGTAGCAGAACTAACTCACACAAGAAGGAGGCCTGGCGGGGGCAGGGGCACGGGTGTGGGGGGGCATTTTTCCTCCTGAAGCAAGCGAAGAGATGAAAACTTCCCTTCCTCATGGTCCTCATGGTCTCTCAGCTCCAATCCCTCCTGAGCCCTGGAGTGTGGTGGGATCCTCTTCATTTCCATTTGCAATTCCAGACACTGGAGCTGCAAGGCGCCCAGTGTGTGCGGACTCTGTGGACAGCAGGACCTGCCTGAGCTCCTACTCTCTTTGGGATGGCTGGCCCCAGGACCAACCTCCACCCATCCCTGCCCTGGGGCTCAAATGTACCCACCTCTTTTTTTTTTTTTTTTTTTTTTGAGATGGAGTCTCACTCTGTCGCCCAGGCTGGAGTGCAGTGGCGCGATCTCGGCTCACTGCAAGCTCCACCTCCTGTTACCCACCTCTCTTGATACCACCTCTCTTTCCAGTGCTCCCAGCTCAGGGTTGCCTGGGGCCCTCGGGGCATGGTGAGGTTGAGCAATCTCTTGGGAGAAGGGGACCCTGGTCAGAACTAAAGCAGGGCTGGTGGGAGTCATGGAAGAATCTCCTGAGATTGAGCCCCAAGGCCTTGTGGTAGCCTTTCCCAGGGCAGCACTATCCTGAGGCTCTGCTGGCCTTCAGGTTTTCAAGGCTCGGGGGCAGGCAGGGGAGGTCAGCAGAAAGCCTCTCAGGTACTTGTAAGTCAGGGCCCTCTTCTCTTTCCCCTGCCTGGCTGCTCCTACCCTCTGATTTCTGCCCCTCCCCTGCCTCCTTTCTATTGCTATTTCTTGTCCTTCTCTCTCATATGTCTGACTTTTCTGCCTCTCTCTTTCTGGGTTTCTGGCCTCTTCCCCCACCCGGAGTCTAAACCCCTCTTTCCTGTTCCTTGTGTGTGTCTCTCTCATTTGTGTCTTTCAGGCTTCCCAGTGCCCCTCCTCTTTCTTGGTTGCTGGCCAAATTGGAGACCCCGGTACCCAGTAAGGGCTCATTCCACAGACAGCCCCAAGATTTCCCTTATTAATCACCAATAAGGGATGCAGCAATGTCACCCTCATCAATGGAATTTCTTCCTTTCCCAAAGAATTTTGGGCTGGCACAAAGCTGAGGTTTCAGGGGATTGGGGGCTTGCCTGAATAGGGAGGCAGTCACCATGCCACTGGTTGACTCTAGACCCTGCTCCACCTCAGGAGGTCCCAGCAGAGCTGCAGAGATGAGGAGAAGCCCCAGAGGTGACCTCCAGAGAAGAGGAGGCCCCAGTGATGGTGTGTGCTTAGGGTGGGGGAACTTGCTTGACACTGGGAGGTGAAACCATGTCAAAAGCCCCTTCTCTTTTCTTCACCAGGGGAAGGGTATTCACTGGAGATGGGACCACAGGCTAGTAGAAAAGAAAGGAGGTTGCTTTAACTTGGGATTTCAAAGGCCCAGCACTTTAACAGTTCTTCAAACCAGTCCCTAACCCCCACAAAAAAGCCAGGGGAAATAGGCCTATAGCCCCTACCCCATGTCCTTTATGACTTCTCCTTCCAAATTGCCCAAGACTCATTTGACATCGTTGGTCATTCCCATTGTTAGTTTTGAGCCCCCACTAGGAGCCAGGTTTGGGGCTTGGTGAAAGGAGTTCAGGCCACTTTGGCCTCTAGGACTTCATGCCATATACTGGAGGAGCAGTTGTAATGTATAATCACACACCCCAAGGAGTCTTGTGTTAAAGCTGGGCTGGGAAGCCAATTAGTGACTTCTGTCCCCAAATACGTTGTCTGGAAGGGAGTGATTCATCGGGGCCTATCCTTGCTTAAACCAACCAGATGGTGGGGAGAAGGTGGTGATCTTGGTCTCTAAAGTGAGGAGATGCTGCTATGGAGAAAATAAAAAGGTCAAGTGTAGGGAAAAACTGGCTCAGAGGTGAACAAGGACATTCAAATAAGCAGGGAAAAAAATGACAGGACTGGTCAATGGATTAGAAAGAAGTAAGAAGCTTACACTTCCCACATCTTAGAACCAGGGACTGCCCTTGACACTGCACTATTTCTTCCTGGCTTTCTGCCTACAGAGACTTCCAGAATTTAGTGGAAGAAGGCAGAGCTGAATCTGGGCTCTGTGTCTTTCCAAGGCAAGATGGGGGTGTAGGGTCATTCATTGTCATGCTTGGTGCTGAGGCCCCCTCTGTTCTTGTCTGAGGCCCACTGGCCCCGTCCTTAGGAGCATCCTTGAGCCAACACTGATCAAACTTGTGGCACCAAGCCCTGGTAATTAGGATATGAGGAGCCTGAGGAAAGAGCTCTAGATTGGCAGTGGTGCCCTGGGTGCCTGCAGCTGCCTCCAGGATCTACAGTTCAGTTGAGTCAGAGAGGACACAGAATTGATCAGCTAGGCAGGGGGCTGTGTGAGGATGCCAGGGCCTATGGTTTGGGTGCTGTGTGTCTGGGGTAGGAGGCTGTAGGGAGGGGAGTATCCCAATGGGCAATGGCTCAGACAAGAGTCTGACAGAGGTGAGAGGTGCGGGCATATGTAGATTGAGGGCAGTGGTATAAAGACCTAACTAGAGATCAGCCTCTCCCTTGGTGGTTGGAGATCACCCACTCCCCCAGCTATCTTCTCTGGCCCCTAATACATTTCAGATCATGGAGCACTGTGCCTGGCACAGTAGGGACCCAATAAAATATGTGAAAACACAAGTGTCCCTGATGGGCCAGGCTGGCTCCCTGTAGGAGCCACACGTATACACTGGATACCCTAGGACATGTTTCCTGGCTACTCGTTTACACAGTCCCCTGATCAGACAACTGCCTCAGTTTTCCCTCCTGGCAGCACTTGAGGAGGTAATTCTATAGTGACCTCTCATGATAAGGCTCATACCTGCTTTCCTGCTTCCTTGGCAACCTCAGTTCCCCAAACGTCCCCTTGGATTCCAGAAGGAGCTAGATGCCTCAACTGTTTCCAGTTGGGTGGAGAATTGGGACTCTTGGGTTCCATTCCTGGATTCCCACCATCTAAGAATGAAATGGCATACATTCTCCTGCCTCCATGGATAATTAGGATAATTACAACAATCATGGTGATGAATAATTAACAAACATAAGCATAACACTTCTGATGGAGTCACACTGCCAGGAGATTCCTAATGACAGATGACTGCGTTCTAATAAAATTTGGCTATGAAGGAACACACTCTTTTAAAGAGTTGAGGCTAAATTAATCAGTGTAATAGAAATAATTGTTATTAGTAGCAATTTATTAGCAAAGATAATGAAATGCATGTGTATTAATAAATACTACCAGGATTGGGCCCCAGGGAACAATACAGAAGCTGGCCGCTTGCTTCCAGCTCTTCCCTAACAGCTCAAAGTCCCATCAAGATCTATTTTTTTTCTTTACCATCAAAAGTCTTTTACAAAGGTGACAGTGGTAAGGCAAAATCTTCTCATCCATTTTTTGGGACAGAGAATCATAGCTCCTTGACAGATGGCATCTCCTCCCGACCTGAATTTTATTCCCTTATCTTTAGCTAGACAAGTCTTCTCAGCTAAGCACCCAAACAGTACCTTCCCAGATTGGTGAAGAAGAGGTTGAGGGGATAGCAGAGCCTGGAGAATTGAGTTTTAAATGGAGAACCGCATGCATATATGTTGGACCCTCTTCATTGATGGATTATGGCTAATGAGCAGCTTTGATACGGTTGACCTGCAGTTTTGGCTCCAGCCCGGGAGAGTGGATGGGCTTCTCCTCTAATTTGGCTTGGTTCTACCCAGACTTCAGCCCTGGGGTTGGGGATGGAGCTGCCTTCAGGGAAGGAGCAAAATAGAGAGAAATCATGGAGAAACCCGGCCGTGAGAATCCCACTCCGTGCAACCACCCCACACCACAGGCACCATCCTAGAGATGGCTGTTCTCTTCCCATTCTCTACACAGAATATCCTGGAGAGGCCCAGGATCCTCGAGCTCAGGCCTTGTGTTTCCTCAGCTGTTAGAGGAAGGTCTGGAGATCATTCATGCACCACCACACAATATCTTATGATTACACTAACAGCCCCCATAAGTGACAGTAGGCTCTAAGCCCAAGTGCTGGTGCTCTTTTGACCCACTTTTCTGCCTCTCTCTCCTCATTCCTCATCAAGGCAAGGGCCAGCAAGGATGTTCTATGAAACCAAAATTCCCAGGAGGGAGTAAGGCCTAGATTTCCTTCTTCCTACCCAGTTCTTTTGCACCACTGTGGGGAGAGATATGAGAAGCTAAAAGTCCTCTTTGGGTGAGGAGTCACAGCTAGACAGCTACAGCTCCTTGGAGGCTGTCTCCCAGGCCCATTCTAAGCCGTGAGAGGAAAAAGCATTCTCAGGCCTTCCATGTCACTGCTGCAGTGAGAGATTCTGGAATGAACTTCAGACAAGGAGTCCAAAGACCTGGCCTGGTTCTGGGGTGGTTGCTGATGAGCAGCCTGATATTGGTCCAGCTGCCTGACCTATGGGGCCAAGGCATGCCTGTGTGTTCATCCACTGACATACAATGGAGTAGGTGTCATTGAAGCATATGGCATCATTATGAAAGCAGAGGAAGGAACGATGAGGAGAGAAAAGGAGGACCAGAGAATTCCTCTCTGCAAGAAGGACTTCCAGGCTTCCTGGAGAACTTAGGTTCTCAGCAGGCCAGACAACAATACCTAGTGGAGTGAAGGAGGACAATTCTACCTTGACTTCAAACTCAGGCCGGGATTAGACCTGCCCTAAAGATCCAGAGCTCCTCTAGGCCCCCCTCCCAAAACACTTTATGTATGATTGGCAGGGAGTGGAGTGGGATCAAGAGAGAAGCTGCCATATCATGCCATATAAGTCCTCTCAGACAGGTGAGGAAACTGAGGCCTGGAGGAGGACACCAAGAGCCTGGACAGGCAGCTGGCAGCCTGGAGGCTCTGAGGTCTAGGCAAACACCACCCCAACCCTCAGCCAGAGGCAGCTGGACTCCCAGCTTACTCACTTATAAATCATTCAGGTTTGCTGGGCCACTGGCCCTCCCTAAACCCTCCACCCATCTGTTCCTTTTTTTTTTTTTTTTTAATTCAGTTGCTCCAGACTGAAAGTTCCTGGATGGTAAAAACCATGACTGTTTCATCTACTTTTCTAATGGCCACATATAATGGAAACAATTAGTTTATCTGTTTGAGTTTCCAGACATTCTCCTTGTTTTTCATGAAAAATAGCAGGAAACTGGAGCAACTCTCATCTGTGTACCAACCAAGTATAGCTCTTCTCTGAGGGGAGAAACAAACACAGGATGACTCATTTTTCTTACACTGAGATAGAAGCAGAAATAACCACTCTTGTCCACCTGATACAATTTTGCCCTGGACATCCTCACATATCTCAGACTTCTAGGTGAATGTCACAGTGTTCCCAGTGACTCTGAGCTGATGGCCCAAAGATAATCCAGGCAAGAGACACTTAGGCAGATTCTAAATAGAAAATGAAACTGTCATGGTGAAGCTCCAGAACCTGGATCCAGATGTGATATTACCTGTCCTGATTAGCTAGCTTTTGAGGGAAGACAAGAACACTCCAGTATCACATCTTAGAGATAGGTAGAGTTGTGGTCAGTCACGGCTCTGTATTTTTTTGTGGCCTTGATCTCTCATTCCTAAGATGTTTGTTTACACTTACAGATTCTGCCATCAGATTCCATTTATACCTGGAGCCCCTCCTATAAAGGTGGCAAGTCACTAAACATGATCTGAAAAGGGCGAAGAGCCACACTGTTGAAGGGGGACTTTAAGATGCCTATGTTGACATCTCAAAAGGCAGAAAATGATTCCTGTGGGTTATCTGTACATTCTCTATTTAATGTCTGGTCTTGTCTTGTGAATTCCAGGCAGAGGTCAGCTCTAATATATAGATTTCAGATGACATCAACTTGGCTCTGCATTCTTGCTTATTACAGCAAGCAAAGTGAAATAAGAGATTCCCTTATAGAAGCTGCTCTAGCACATTCTAAATGATATCTGTACTTAAAATTAAAAAGCTGAGGCAACGTTATTATGAGTAGACAATTAATTTGGGTCAAGCTTGAAGATTCTAACTTGAAAGCATTAATTCAAGAGGAATAGAATATACACTTTAATTAGCAGCAGTTACAAATGGATTCATAAAGTAAAAAAAAAAAGAGGGACAGTTAGTGGACTAATACAAAGCTTTTTGTCAGGATATCTTATTTATTTACAGAAATAATATTGATTACTGGTGAGCTATACATTGTTAAGCTGCAGGGTATTGGCTAGTGTCTAGTACAGCATTATTAGGTTACTTTATAGCTACTGTGGCAATACCAAGAAGTTTCAAAAGATAAATACATAGCTCAAATGTGGGAGGAGGACGTAATTGTGGTCTCATTTTAATGTCTCTCTGGGCTTGATAACTAAGGGAACTTGCATTCTTTAGATAAAAGCTTTTCTTTTATACCAAATATCAAGACAAATATTTAGAAATTAGAGCTGCAGATTTAGGTTCTGAATGGATGGAGTAGCAGCAGGGGTTATCTGCACATTTGTGGGCATTTTGGCAAAAAAAAAAAAAAAAGAGAGAGAGAAAGTTGAGATTCTTCTGTCTGTATTCTATACAAGAGACAAGTTACTCTGGGTTTCCAGGCCTCATGTTCTCTTAATCAGTTTCAGGTTTGAAGATAGAATCATTATTAAAAGAGAGGGAATGGTTGATTGCTGCCCCATAAAGTTTGTAGAAATTTTGTCTAACCTCTCTAGAAGTGATTATAGAGCATCATAGATCAGAAATAGGCAGAGACGCAATTCTGCCTGCACATTTTGGGGACAACACGTACTTTGCAGCACAACTGTGAGCTAACTGGAAGCCTGAAAGAAAAAGGACCCTCTAGAATAAAGCTTGTTGGGAAACTTATATGTTTATATCATGTCTGATAATCGTGGACAGCGTTTGAAAAATATAACTAAAAGCAAATGGTTTTTAGCCCCAGACAATACTCCACAATGATAGAACAGGAAAAAACTGTTTTATTACAAAATCAAACCAGAATGTGACATGCATCATGGGCAACCTGCTTAAGAGATTGCAAAGATAGAAAGATGGTCACCATAATTAGCCCACAAGTAGAAGACTTTACAGCACCTGTTACGCATAGTTCATCCTGCATTCCCCTGGAAATTCAGGAGGCCATCTGTGTAAGCTAATTAGTTATAATAAATGAAAGGATAAGCTTCCTACATTTTTATGAAAGTAGGTAGTTTTGCAACTTGAAGCCAGGTGCCTGCTCAAGGTAGGGTCTCACTCTCTTATGAAAACTGTTGAATAAGGTGTTATCTGTTTGACTATTTACATTTCAAAGCAATGACTTCCTACTCCTTGAGCATACTAGCCATGATATATGTATACTAGTATATACTAATATATATACACATGCTAGTCATGATGTATGTAGTATTTAAAAAATTGTCAGCTGGGTGCAGTGGTTCATGCCTATAAGCCCAGCACTTTGGGAGGCCAAGGTGGGTGGATCATGAAGCCAGGAGTTTGAGACCAGCCTGGCCAAAAACCCCATCTCTACTAGAAATACAAAACTTAGCCAGGCGTGGTGGTGGGCGCCTATAATCCCAGCTACTCAGGAGGCTGAGGCAGGAGAATTGTTTGAGCCCAGGAGGCGGAGGTTGCAGTGAGCTGAGATCACACCACTGCACTCCAGCCTGAGCAACAGAGTGAGACTTTGTCTCAAATAATAACAATAATAAAATAATAATAATTAATATATACTTTGAGAAGGAGAGAAATAATATAATGTAATATAATATAATATAACATAACATAAAGGCTTTAAGAAAAGGAGGATGAGGCTGGGCATGGTGGCTCATACCTGTAAACCCAGCATTTTGGGAGGTTGAGGTGGGCAGATCACATGAGGTCAGGAGTTCAATACCAGCCTGACCAAAAAGTTGAAAACCCATCTCTACTAAAAGTACAAAAAATTAACCGGGCATGGTGGCAGGCACTTGTAATCCCAGCTACTCAGGGGGCTGAGGCAGGAGAATCACCTGAACCTGGGAGGCGGAGGTTGCAGTGAGCCGAGATTGTGCCACTGCACTCCAGTCTGGGTGACAGACTGAGACTCTGTCAAAAATAAATAAATAATAAAAATAAATAATAAATTATTTTTTAAAAAGCTAAACATCACTAATTATTAGAGAAATGCAAATAAAAACCACAATGAGATTCCATCTCACTCAAGTCAGAATGGCTACTATTAAAAAGTCAAAATATAACAGATGCTTGTGAGGTTGTGGAGAAATGAAATGCTTATACACTGCTGAAGAAAGTGTAAATCTTTTCAACCATTGTTTAAAACAGTGTGACAGTTTTTCTAAGACCTAAAAACAGAATTACCATTATACCAAGCAATCCCACAATTGTGTGGGATTCATATATATCAAAGAAATATGCTATTTTACCATAAAGACACATGCACTCATATGTTTGTGACAGCACTATTTAAAATAGCAAAGACAAGGAATCAACCTAAATGCCTTCAATGGTAGATTGAATAATGAAAATATGGTACACTTACATCATGGAATAGTATGCATCCATTAAAAAGAACAGCATAATTTTTTTTGCAGCAGCATTGATGGAGCTGGAGACTATTTTTTTTAAAAAAAAGCTAATGCAGAAAACTAATAAATGAGAGCCAAATAATGAGAAAACATGAACACAAATAAGGGAACAACAGTCACTGAGGCCTAGTTGAGGGTGGTGAGTGGGAAAATGAAAAAGAGTGTAAAAAACTTCCTTGGGTACTATGCTTAGTACGTAGGTAATAAAATAATCTGTACACCAAACCTCCATGATATGATTTTACCTATATAACAAACATGCACATGTACTCTGGAACCTAAAATAAATTTAAAAGAAACAAAAATCGGCCCAACATGGTGGCTTACACCTGTAATCTCAGCACGTTGGGAGGCTGAGACGGGCAGATCACTTGAGCTTAGGAGTTCAAGACCAGCTTGGCCAATATGGTGAAACCCCGTTTCTACTAAAAATACAAAATTAGCTGGGTGTGGTGGTGCATGCCTGTAGTCCCAGCTACTCGGGAGGCTGAGGCAGGAGAATCACTTGAACCCAGGAGGCAGAGGTTGCAGTGAGCCGAGATCATGCCACTGTACTCCAGCATGGGCAACAGAGCAAGACACCATCTCAAAAAAAATAAATAAATAAAATAAGCATATAAAAATTAAAAAAATAAAAGAAACAAAAATCTTTGTGTGGGGGAGAGTATAAGGTTGGTGGTAGGACTGGTTTGTGCTACATATAGTGGCCTATGTAGGGCTGTACTCTGATTTATTCCTAAATGCATGCAGGCAAATTAGATTATGAACAAGCAGCACAGAACTTTATGGTAGTGAAAGGAACAGGTTGCTGCTGCTGATTTGGTGTCTGGGGTTGGAGATATGCCAGGAGACTTGTAGGCACTTTGGTGGTTCTTGGCAAGAAACACTAAAAGCAAAAGTGCTGTGGTAAAATTCTTGAAAGTGGTGCCTAGTCCTGGGAGGGATAAGGACACATCAATATGTAGTGGGTATGTTTGTGAATGCATGAGAATCACGTAGTGGCAGCTGTGAAAGAAGAGAGTCTGTTATCACAATTTGTGTTTGCTAAGTTTTCAATTTTCTCTCACCCTGAGAAGAGACCTGAAATCACAGGACAATGTGCAGTATGAGAGCCTGTGTGCAGAAGATGAGAGCCTCTCTTTACCAGACACCCAGAGACCCCTCCAGGCCATGTCTCTATGATATTTTTTATCTGACACCAAATCTGTAGAGTTTGCTGAACAACAAGCAATTCTCCAACACCAACTCATTGTCTAACATATCAATTCTCATACCAACCAAAGTCAGCACATACTGTGACTCAGGGCTCAGTCTCACAACATTGCACTTAACTGCAGATGCCTGTCCCAAACCCCAAAGGTTCATCTATGCTTCTGAGCTACTGTCTATAAATCAGGGACTCCAATAATCTCCCTCAAGTTCAGTAATTTGATAGAGCTACTCACAGATCTGAGCAAAACACTGCACTTATGTTTACCGGTTTATTATGAAACATACAACCCAGAAACAGTCAAATGCAATAGATGTATAGGACAAAGGAAAAAGGGGGAAAAAGATAGGGCACATAGATAATCCTGGTAAACAGCTGTCATTAATAAGATTCTCCATCCTTTGTGTTCTCCAGGAACAGCTTAATGGAAAGAAACACTCTTCCCATTATGACTTAGATGGTGCTCTATTTTCTTACTTATCACATAGCCAGACATTGACTCTGTAAATTTCCATCTCTTTCTCATAAAACATCAGCTGAATGAATAATTCATCTTCAATGGTCAAAACCAAATACTTCTTAACCAAACTTTTCTTAATTTTCTCTCCTTCCCCAGGGCTCCTGAACTTCGAGGTACCCTCAGTCTAAGCCAACATACAATCCCATTTTCTGTCTTTCCTAAGAACATGCTGACTTCAGGGTAAAACATTCTCTGGTCTAGAATCTAATTTTGCCCCCCTCTATTTTACCATTCTTTTCCCACCTTCTTTCTAATCGTGTTTGCTATTCCCTACGAATGAAAGTTTTTGTCTGCCTAAACTTAGAGATTTGTAAATATCTTATACTTGGTACTTTCTCCTGTTATTTTTATTGTATTCTTTTTTGAGACTGAATCTCACTCTGTCACCCAGGCTGGAGTGCAGTGGTGTGATGTTGGCTCACTGCCACCTCTGCCTCCTGGGTTCAAGTGATTCTCCTGCCTCAGCCTCCTGAGTAGCTGGGACTACAGGCACACACCACCACGCCTGGCTAATTTTTTCTATTTTTTAGTAGATATGGGGTTTCACCATATTGGAAAGGCTGGTCTTGAATTCCTGACCTCATGATCCACTCACCTCGGCCTCCCAAAGTGCTGGGATTACAGGCATGAGCCACCACACTTGGCAACTTCTCCTGTTTTGGGAATTCCCTCAAAACTTCTTACTTTAATCTGGCTTTCTTTTATTTTACAAAGCCTAGAAATTGCTCCAGAACAAAAGCAGCTCTATTTTCACTAATATCCCACCAATCCCCATCCATCCTAACCTTAATTGCATCTGCTATTCATCCCCAGCTTTCCAAGGTTCTATAGCTTCTCTCAGTATAAAAGTTTCTTCTATGACTGAAGTAAGCAGGCTGGGACATTTGCAACAAGGAATCCCCAAAAGGAACTAACTGGTTCTTCAATAACCTCTTTTTGCAGGTTCAGTATTGGCCTTAGCTTGGAGTCACAGGGCTCAGGCCTTTATTTCCAAGTCAGTTTTATTCATTTAGTTTTTGAAACATCCAGCAAAATTACTCAAATGCAGTGTTTATATAAGGAAAGATTTTTTTTTTTTTTGAGAGAGGGTAGGGTATTGCTCTGTCACCCAGGCTGTGGTGCAGTGGTGAGATCTTAGCTCACTGCAAACTCCGCCTCCCAGGTTCAAGTGATTCTCCTGCCTCAGCCTCCCAAGTAGCTAGAATTACAGGCATGCACCACCACACCCAGCTAATTTTTGTATATATATATATTTTTTTTAGGAGGGATGGGGTTTCACTATGTTGGCCAGGCTGGTCTCAAACTGCTGACCTCAAGTGATCCACCCACTTTGGCTTCCCAAAGTGCTGGGATTACAGGCGTGAGCCACCACACCCAGCCAAGGGAAGAAAATTTTAAGGTGCTTACATTATATAGCTCAATGAGAAAACCAAAGTATTATCCCTTTCAGACAATACATATATAATTCACTTATTTCCATAACAAATTATTCAGTAAACAATTAGTCATATGGGAACACTTCCAGGAGGTGCCAAATGCCATCTCAGAAAATGTAGCATTAAATTCAGAAATCAAGATAACAGAATAAAGAACAGAGGTGTTCACTGTCTCAAATTAACCCTGCAGAAAGAGAAACTCATGTCTTGATGAATCTATGTAATTCACCAATTATGTACTACTTTATGCAAAAGTATTCACTTCCTACAGTCATAATGAAAAATACATTTTCCAGATTGTTATCCTTGATAGTATTCCCAAAGCTAAGCCTTGGAATACTGTTTGAAATCCCCAGCCAAAAAGGAACACATCTGAGAAAATTCCTACATTCATTCTGAGGAAGAAAATGATAAATGAGTACTTTTAACAAATAGAATATATGACTAAATTTTCTTTCTGAAACCCACCTCTTTTATGCCCTTTGTAACTATTTTTTTCCCTTATGAGCCCTACTGATAAAATGCAATTTACAGTTAAGAAACTAAATTTAAAATAAGAAAACAAATCTTTTCAAGGTGATAAACCCAGCAAGTGGCAGTGCTGATTGGAAACTAGACATATCTGACTCAAATGTCAAGTCAACCCATCCAATCACTTGCAAGAGTCTCCCACCCCATCTTTCTCACCTGAGTGAATAACCACCGTTCCAGGAGACACTGCACTATGCCCCTGTGAGTGTTCCTGGTGTAATTACTTTTCAGATTCTTGCACCATCTCAGTAAGGTAAGTTTTTCTTGTTTTTAGAAATTCTTTTTTCCCTTCACAAATCTGAGAGAATCCAGAGGGCACAAATTAATTCTGTGTTTTTCTCTCCATACCAGCATCTAACTGGCTGACCAGCAATGTCAATGGAAGCTGGGTTCGGTAAAGACAATTCTAATGTTGCTTTTTAGAGGTAGAGTACACCAAGAGATTTCTTTCAGCCCCAGGACATCCACCTGCTCTCTTGAAAGGCTTCACTCCACATAATGTGTTGTCCTTTGAGAGAAACTAATTCAGGGAATCATAGTCACTAGACACTGCAACATTGTGGGTATCTTGGTTTATCCTCAGGCAATACTGAAAACCAGGACCAGGAATAAACTGAAGTGTGGCTGAAGAAACATCACCCTGTGAAGTTTCCCCATAAAAAACCTCAACCCAAAGACATTCTGATAGGACATCTGCGCTTAGAGATGATAAAAAAAAAAAAAAAAAAAAAGGAGAGGCACAGAGATATTTTACAATACAGTGTCAGAGGATTTCTCTCTGGTTTCATCTTATGTAAAATATTTACAAACAGAAAACTTTTTTTCATAAAGCATTGAATGGCAGTTGTTAAATGCCATCCAATGCTTTGTGAAAAAAATTTTTTTAAATACTGTGTCTTAATGTACAATAAAGGACAAATACATGACAATATGCATTAGGGAGGAAAGTTGGAATTTGGGAATGTCAGAAGAAATGGAAAATTTAGTATTTAACTGCAAGCCATTTTTTTTTTTTTTGAAATGGAGTCTCACTCTGTCACCCAGGCTGGAGTGCAATGGCGTGGTCTCGGCTCACTGCAACTTCCGGCTCCCGGGTTCAAGCGATTCTCATGCCTCAGCCTCCTGAGTAGCTGGGATTACAGGCATGCGCCACCATGCCTGACTAATTTTTGTTATTTTTAATAGAGACGGGGTTTCACCACATTGGCCAGGCTGGTCTCAAACTCTTAATCTCAGGAGATCTGCCCACGTTGGCCTACCAAAGTGCTGGGATTACAGGTGTGAGCCACTGTGCCCGGCTAATTTTTGTATTTTTGTATTCACCATGTTGGCCAGGCTGGTCTCGATCTCCTAACCTCAGGTGATGCACCAGCCTCGGCCTCCCAAAGTGCTGGGATTACAGGCGTGAACCAACTCGGCCTGCAAGCCACTTTTAAAAATGCAGGGGAAAACCAGTTTTCTGTGGAGTGTGAACATAATTAAATAGCAGGCAATTAGACTGAGATGGGTCTATTTTCCTGGGCTTCCACTTAAAAACAGAAACTCCAATGCATTTATTGTAAATTATCATACTGGGGAAGACAAAATTCAGGCTTAACCAACCACGAACTGCCAATTAACCTTTTGACATAACCAAGAGATTTTCAACCGGATCTTACAAATGAGGAAACTACATAACTGTACATAAACCATTATTGAATTTGGTTTGCTTCATCATGCAACTTATAAAATATTTTCATTCAAGCCTCTCCCATGAACCACAGTCCACAAACGATAGCTGGGTGCTCTATGATTCCTGACTCGCACTTTGATCAAATTATTTTAATTTTTCTGCCATGACTCCCATACATTTCTTTTCTGTTTTGTTGTTGTTGTCATTTGTTTGTTTGTTTTGAGATGGAGTGTTGTTCTGTCGCCCAAGGTGGAGTGTAGCAGCACGATCTTGGCTCACTGTAACATCCATCTTCCAGGTTCAAGCGATTCTCATGCCTCAGACTCCCAAGTAGCTGGGATTAAAAAAATGCGCCACCATGCCCGGTGAATTTTTGTATTTTTAATAGAGACAGTCAGATCTGGAGTTCCTGGCTGCCAACTATCCCTCCACCTCGGGCCTCTCAAATTGCTAAGATTACAGGTCTGAGCCACCACACCTGGCCAACTCCCATAAATTTCTAATAGGAAAAGGAGGAACTGAGGACCCCATGGACCACAGCTCTTTTCACTCATGAACCCCGCACCCTAAGTCAGGATTCTCCCCTGATAACTCTCCCATCCCTGCACAGTCTGGGAGAGATGCGGGGCTGGGAATGCAGTGTGGGCGGCAAGCCACACAGGTGCTGAGGCAAGAGAGTGAGGGCAGGAGCTGTTCCAGTATAATAAAATATATAAAATAAGAATAGTTATACTAGATATAGATCATAGATATGATTACATATGAATATCATTAATCATTAATTTGTAGCAATTACTCTTTATTCCAATATTATGATAATCCTCACTCTACAATCATAACCTAGGAAAAACGAGGCCATACAGAGAGAGATAGGAGCTGAGAGGACATAGTGAGCACTGACCAGAAGACAAGAGTGCAAGCCTTCTGTTATGCCCAGACAGGGCCACCAGAGGGCTCCTTGGTCTAGCCGTAATGCCAGCGTCTGGGAAGATGCCATTGCCAAGCGGACGTGGTGTAGCGGTAGCATCTGTGTCAAGGAAAAACACCCACTACTTAGCAGACCAGGAAAGGGAGTCTCCCTTTCCCCAGGGGAGTTTAGAGAAGACTCTACTCCTCCACCTCTTGTGCCTGCAGTTATCCGGAGGCCTATCCTTCTCCCTGTGATGCTGTGCTTCAGTGGTCATGCTTCTAGTCCACTTTCATATACCATCCTGTACACCTGGCTCTGCCTTTTAGATAGCACTAGCAAATTAGTGAAAGTACTAAAAGTCTCTGATATGCAGAAATAATGGCATATGCTGTCTCTCTCTCTCCTCTCTCTGCCTCGGCTGCCAGGCAGGGAAGGGCCCCCTGTCCAGTGGACTCGTGACCCACGTGACCTTACCTATCATTGGAGATGGCTCACACTCCTTACCCTGCCCCTTTGTCTTGTATCCAATAAATATCAGCGCAGTCTGGCATTCGGGGCCACTACTGGTCTCTGCATCTTCGTGGTAGTGGTCCCCCAGGCCTAGCTGTCTTTTCTTTTATCTCTTTGTCTTGTGTCTTTATTTCTACAATCTCTCCTCTCTGCACACAGGGAGAAATCCCACCGACCCTGTGGGGCTGCTCCCTACAGTGCAGAGCTGCCCAGAGAGGGCTTCAGGCCAGGACAAAGTCACTGCACAGGGAAGGGACAGAACAATGGGGTCCCTGCTGCTGGCCCAGCCGCCATCTTATGGTTGAAGGGGGCTGTGGGCCGAGCTGGGACTTGGGTCCTCAAGACTCTGAAGCTGACTGCAAGGAGGCCGGTGTCCCTATACAGTCACTTCCCGCCAGTTCCAATCAGCCCTCTCCCCATCTCTTGGGATGGTGGACCCCAAACTGTCACCATTTCTAGGTTTCCAGGGAGTCTGCTGCCTTAGCCATGGATCTCTGAACACCTGAAAGGCACAGGACCACAGAGGATGGGTGTCTAGGAGCAGAGGACACAGAGCAATAGAGTTGAGACCTGGAGCTCTGGATGCCGAAAAACACAAAAGTCCCATTAAAATCCCAGAAGCCACCCTGTCCTCTCCAGCTGTGGGAGAGTTTTTAATTTAGTCCCCTGAATGGATAAGCTCCAGTCCCTGCCCTCTCAGGCCCTGAGTGACAGAAGATTCGACCACACACTGGGCTGAATGAAGCAAGAATAACAGCCTAGGCTACAACCTTTGCAGGCTGGGCTTCCTCGCTGAGTTGAACCAAGCCAACCCCAGAGGGTATTTGCATTTAACCTTGTGTATATGGTCATATGCATTTATAAGTTATATGTAATATGGTTATTCATAAATGTAAAAATTATAATGACAATTTTTTTTTGAGACAGAGTCTTGCTCTTGTCACCCTGGAGTGCATTGGCACGATCTCAGCTCTCTGCAACCTCTGCCTCCCTGGTTCAAGCGATTCTCCTGCCTCAGCCTCCTGAATAGCTCAGTTTACAGGCACTCGCCAACACCCCTGGCTAATTTTTGTATTTTTAGTACAGATGGGGATTCTCCATGTTGGACAGGCTGGTCTTGAACTCCTGACCTTATGATTCTCCTGCCTCGGCCTCCCAAAGTGCTGGGATTACAGACATGTGTTACCTCGCCCAGCTGACAATTATTTCTAGATTTCTGATTTTTTTACCTTCCTGGCTGGAATTCAAAACAGGTAGAATTGATTGTAACAATTTAATTTGTCCAATATATCTAAAATATTGTCATTTTAATATATGATCAGTATGCAATTGTTAATAATGTGTACATATTTTTTGAAAAAATATTTAAAAATATACTCTGGGCCGGGCGCGGTGGCTCACGCCTGTAATCCCAGCACTTTGGGAGGCCGAGGCGGGCGGATCACGAGGTCAGGAGATCGAGACCATCCCGGCTAAAACGGTGAAACCCCGTCTCTACTAAAAATACAAAAAATTAGCCGGGCGTAGTGGCGGGCGCCTGTAGTCCCAGCTACTTGGGAGGCTGAGGCAGGAGAATGGCGTGAACCCGGGAGGCGGAGCTTGCAGTGAGCCGAGATCCCGCCACTGCACTCCAGCCTGGGCGACAGAGCGAGACTCCGTCTCAAAAAAAAAAAAAAAAAAAAAAAAAAAAAAAAATATACTCTGTATTTTAACATTCTAGCACATTGCAATTTAGACCAGCTACGTTCCAGCACTCTGTAGCCACACATGGCCAATAGCTGCACAATAAAATGCAGCTGATGTCAGGGGTGGAGGGTCTTAACATTTCTTTTCTGCCAGAGGTGAGGGAACAGCCTCTCCCTACCAACATCTTTCACAGTTCCAAGAGTAAAACAGATAATGTTCACAGAGAGAGCAGCCAGAATAAAATAATTATAGGTAGACCACTGCTGGTCATTTGTTACCCACCTTTTTCTGAGACATCATACAGTGAACAAAAAATGGTGGGGCCACAGGAGAAGAGAACACCATATCTTCAGATCTGTCTACGGTCTTGACCTCTAACGTTTAGACATAGAGAAAATAGATGGAAGGCAAACTTATTTTGAAATTGTGCCTTAGCCCCTAATGATCAGGCTGTGGTCATCTGTTTCCTCATGTGGTGTGGGGAACTGTGTGTGTATAAGCACAAATTATGTGCATATATATCTACATACATTTCTACATTATCTTAAATGACATTCAACTTTAAATAAGGAGAAAAGGAAATCAGTATCTATAGTGTGGCCACTGTTTGCAGGTAACTAGTAATCAACCTGTCATTAAATCCTGGCACTCTGTCTGCTCTGGGTGCATGTACTAGTTAGCTATTGCTTGATTTAAAAAAAATCCAAAATGTATTATCTCATGATTGAGACGGTCAGCAATTTAGGCTGGGCTCAGTGGGGTCATTCTTCTAGTCTAAGCTGAGCTGCTTCAGGCATGTGTGGTCAACTGCTTGTTGACTAGGCAGCTGTGATTCTGAGGGTGAGCTTTTGCTTCTGGGGCTATCTAGATTGGAACTATGTTTATCCTCCTTATGTGATGTTATCCCCCAGCTGGCTAACATGGACTTTCTCTCATGGAGATGGTAGCGTTCTTAAAAAAAAAAAAAAAAAAAAAAAAAAAAGAAGCATTCAAGACCTTTTGAACCTAGGCCTGAAACTAGCACTCTTATCATGTTCACAGGCTTCTAATGGCCTGTGAAAATAAGGTCAGCCAAATTTAAGGTTTTGTAAACAGATTCTGGATCTTGATGGGAACAGCTGTAAAAGCACCTGGAAATGGACATGAATACAAAATAAATGTCAGAAATTGCTTCCATTTTTGCAACCATTATCACTTTGTCTTTTGCCTTTATAGAATTCTTCCAAGTCAAAGAACTTGTCCAAAGACCCACAACTGCTAATTGGTGAAGCTAAGACTCAGTATCATCTCTGTCTTACTTTATAGCTCATGTACCTTCATGATCACACCACTCAATTAGCTGGCCTAGACCTTTTTAGTCGTGAAGAGTGACACTTCTACAATACAAGCTAGATTCCTTCTAGATATGGGCCCATATAGTACTGTTTAACATTGAACTGGATGTGGTGGCTCATGCCTGTAATCCCAGCACTTTGGGAGGCTGAGGTGGGCAGATCAAGATATCAGGAGTTCAAGACCAGCCTGACCAACATGGTGAAACTCTGTCTTTACTAGAAAAACAAAAATTAGCTGAGCATGGTGGCACGAGCCTGTAATCCCAGCTACTGAGGAGGATGAGGCATGAGAATCACTTGAACCTGGAAGAAAGAGTGTTTGAAATTCTTGTTCCCCAGTGCCATAAAGAAATAGCACTTGAACATAAATTTAATTTATTTAGTAAGGTCATTTTTACTTCCTGCAGAAAGGGTACACTTGTCAGCAGTTTTACCACGAGAGTACACTTAACAAAGGAGACAGGGTCATTTATAACCTGACGCATCCACCCTACTGCAGTGTCCAGTTTCCATTGGCTGGAATGGAAACTCACATTCTGTATTTGTCCCGATTGGCTAGCAACTTAGAACTTTTTAAAAGAGGCAAAGGCAGAGGAGAACAAAGGAAGGAGAAGTAAGTTGTGGAATGCTGAGAAAGGTAAAAACACTTTTAAATAAGGAAGAGGAACAGGCTATGACCTAATGCTTGCTTGGACCAGTATAAGCATGCCAGGGCAGATATTCAGGCTAAAATGTGGGAGCTAAGAACATAAAGTACATTGATTTCTTTATTATGGCTAGCAGATATTTAAGAATGTTAGCACTGGTCTTTGAATAAATTTTGCTTCTAAGAGAAGTTACTATTTATTCCTAACTAGATGGGGAGGAAAGTCTTTAAAGAGGAAACTCTACTTTACTTTTTACAATATTCCTTCTCTTTTTATTTCATAATTCATCTTCAAACTTGTTTAATATGTTTTGACTTAATTACTTTTTTTGTCCTTCTAAGATAAGTAATTTTTTTTGAACTAGGTGGTGGAGAGTTAGGAGTTAACTCTGTAAGAGTGGCAGAGACAAGTTTTTATATAAAACTTTGAAGGTAGGGAATAACATAACAGTCTACAAGAATAAGTACACCAATAACAATAGTGAACAAGGTGAGAATTGAAGGTAAAATTCCTTTTTATTCACTGAACTAATGTTTTAATATTTTAGAAAAGGGGTTATTTATTTTAGAATTTTTGGCAAGTTTATCGGATAGGGCTGTTAACCTTTGTAGCTCTTTTGTTATAGTTCTATCAGGGTCAGTATTATCAGGAACATAGGTACAATATTGAGTTTTGTATAAAACATTTAATTTATTGGTATTTGTGGGGAATTAGACACATTACTACTGTGTTACAACTGAGCCATTAATTTTGTAGCTTCATCAACATTAACTGGTTTGCTTTCATGACACTGCTGAGGAATCAATTCTTTCGGCAGAGGTTCCAATATTGAGTTTCAATTATGACACAAATATCTCCCTTTTCTGCTAATAGTATATTGAAAGCTATTTTATTTTTCTAGGCCTTCTGGCCAGTAGATTCTAATTGCTTAGCTATCTCTTTGATGGCATCCTCAGTGTAATTTATGAATTGTTGTTAATGGTAAGAGATAGAGTTTATTTAGCCTACTTTTTTTTATAGTTACTTACCCAAATAATGTGGTTTTGAATTCTGCAAAATCAAATCTATTTGATTTTGTGCTTTAATCTTATCTGGCATTTCTCACAGGACCTTAATAGCATTTATGTAAACCTGAGGATTAAAGGATTCATAAGGAGTTTTTGTTGGCCTGCAAGTGTTTTGTTTTTACCTTTTTAGATTGATGAAATGCTAGGGTAAAGGGGATAGCCAATTGGATTAGAGCACAAGTACTGCTCCAATTATTTGGCAGAATATACAGTAAAGGTCTTGTACAGTACCACCATACATTTGTTTGGGGATGGCTAAGCATGGACTGATGGGCAAGATCTTGGGAAGGCTTGAGCTCCTTGCATCCTTTAATGCTTCCAAGGAACACTAAATTTTCCTCCTGCTGTGAGAGGCATGAAGTAAACTTGGCATTTAGAAGTGCAAGCTGGACTGACCTAGGCGGCTGACACACAGGGTGTTGTATTTCAGGAAATAGCAGAGAGAGCTCAGTATGTTGGATTATCTCAAGCAGTGGGATTTTGAAAAAGAGCCACCATAGAGTCCCATAGAGTCCATATCTGGTTGACGAGGAGATTATCCGAGTGGAAAGGGGATAATCTGGGCTGCTTGCCTACCGTGCATACAAGCATAGTAATCGCTTTTATTTAAAGTGTGAATGGATTTAGTCCATTTCAGCCAGGCATTTATTTGTATCTTGATATTTTGTCTTGATGGCTAAGGTCTATTTTAGATCTCTTATTTTTATAATATACACCCTAGTTTTATTAGATGTAGGAGCAACCAGTGTGGGATCTAGATCTGAGGCTACTGAAGAAGGGGAAGATGGGGGAATAATGCATATTTTAAAAATACCTGGGGGGTATTTTTTATTTATGTCAATCCTTATACCATAGAATCAACTAAAGGCAGGTCTAGAGTTAGTTAAGGTGGAGGTGCTGATAAAGAGGACAGGGTTATATTGATAAGGCTGACAGTTAGAAGGGGTACTCCTTTTAGTGAAACAGATGAGGGGTTTTAGATCTGCACAAACCTTTTAGTGGACGTCCAATTTTGCTCCTGGGTAGTTTGAAGGATGTAGTCCCGTTTACTACAAGGTTGCCAGGTGGTAGGAGCCGAAAATCGACCTCTTGGCTGCAGGTCATTATAACGAATGTGTGCTAGGGGTAACTGTGTCAATTAGAGGGCTGGGACATAAATATTTGTGTGAAAAGCGTAGCCATTTTTGATCATTTACATTTCCCCAAGGTATGACAGAGCAAGTATTAAAGGCAATAGTCTGAGGTGAGTCAGACTTAGTTACATTAATAACAAAGGAGATAACAACAGAATAAGGAAAGGAAAGGAAGCAATATAGAAGGTATATGAAAGTTAATCTTTCTTTAACATTCACTTAGTAGGGCTTGATCTTAGTACAGTAACCCATGATTCTGAGAGGAAGATGTTTTCCTGACTTGAGTATGGTGGATCTATTTTCTTTTTTCTGGGCTGTGCAGACAGCAGTATTAGTGGTTAACAGCATAAAATAGGGTTCTTCCGAGGCTGGCTTGAGTTTTTTCTTTCTATCTTTTGATGAAGACGTCATTTTCAGGCTGGTGCTGGTGTACTGGAAATTCTAGGTGTGGTACCTGTGCTAAAAGACTTTTAGTTTCGAGGGAAGGGAAAGTGAAGATAAATTAAGTATATAATTTCTGCTGCATATCCTGGGGCTTGAGGCCTCATGGTAACGACTCCTGCTCCATTCCTGCTTAGCGCCAGCCAGGGGATGCTGCAACTCTGCCCCCTCTTAATGTCTTGGCCTTCTTGTGGCCTTCACCGACCCTGCAAACTGTAAACTTAAGGATGAGGGGCCTTGTGACTTACCTGGCTGCCTTTGGGCCTTAAGAAAGCTAAACACCATTTTATATTTGACAATGTTGTTTGTATGATTTTATACTAGATAAGTTAAATTTTATCTTTATATTAATGTGCTATTAATGTTAAACTTAATTATAATAAAATCTTGCAGATGTTATTTATCCAATTTTAATGTCTGACTATAAGGTAAGACTTTTATAGACTCTTTTTAACTTTCTATAATTTTTGGTAAAGAGCAGGCTAATGCTTCAAGAAAAATACATTGTGCTTTAATTTTAATGTTCAGTTCACAGAAAAACTGAATGATACCCTTTTTAACTTTAGCCAATATGTTTACACACAGAATTTCTTTTACAATTAACATTTTAAAACTTGCTTAAACTTATAAAACAAATTTTTTAAATCTTCAGTGTAGGTAAAAATTGGTATTTTTATTCCTCCTTATAATCCTGTTATTAAGAGTATATTTTTCTTACATACCTTGTACATAAACTATTTTTAAAATAATTTTACATTCAGGAGGCCTAATTAATTTTAAATTATACAATATTTCTTGTATAAATTCCCTTTTATAGCTTTTCTTATGACTTTCATAGAGAATCTTCAACATGTCTTAACTATCTGCCTTCCTTTTACACTATTTCTTTTCCTGGTTTCACCCTCTGTGTCTTCCTTTGATTTCTGTCTCTTCCAGTTTCTCTCTTTTTCTTTCCCTCTATTTCTCTCTCTCTCATTTGCACTCTATTTTCCTCTCTCTTTGTCGTCCTGTTTCCCTTTCTTCTCCCAAGTTCTCCTGCTCCTGCCACAAGTGGGGCTGGGCCACAACACGGCCCCGCCCCCGTATACCTGCTGCCTTCTCTTTCTCCTTTTGTTTTTCTTTTCAATTCCCCTTTTTACTTTTTTTCCTTTCTTCTTACACTTAGTTTCTCGGGCTGGGTGGGATTTGTGCGGCTGCGTTCTGGGCCCTGGGCAGTCACTCGCCTAGAGGCTTGGCAGATGCCTGCTGCAAATTGCAAGAATTATGCCTTTTCACTTCCTCTCTCTCTCTCCTGGTGCCAGCCCCACCCTCTTTCTCACATAGAGCCAGGCTGGGAAGAGGGACTTAACCCTTGGTGTGCCTGTCTGGCTGTTTGGCTCTGTGCTTGCTGTTTTTGCTTTCTTTCTCTCTGACTTCGTCTCCTAGTTTCTTTTTCTTTCCTGCTGGTCTTTCCTTTATCTCTGCCAGCCACCTATGCTGCTGTTTTTCCCTTCCTTCTCCTTCCTTAGGGGAGGGACAGGCAGGAGTGGAGCTACTCTTTCTTTCCCCAAGAAGAAAGGAAAAGCGGTTCTGAATATCTTACTACTGGAGGTTTGTGCGAGGTTCAAGCCCCCACCATGGGGATTTCTCACCTCTTTCTGAGGTTCAACCCCCCTCATGGGGATTTCTCATCTCTTTCTGGGGTTCAACAGCCCCCATGGGGATTTCTCACCTCTTCTGGAAGTCCAACCCCTGCATGGGGATTTCTCACCTCTTTCTGAGGTTCAACTCCCCCCTGGGAATTTCTCACCTCCTTTTGAGGTTCAATCCCCCACTCATGGGGATTTCTCACCCTTTCTGAGGTTCAACCCCCCTTATGGGGTTTCTTACCTATTTTTAACCTTCAAGACATCCCAACTAAGGGATACTTTACTGTCCCTGTGGTTTTTCTCTCCTTGGTATGTCCTAACCAAGGAATGCTTTACTGTCCTGTGGCTTTTCCCTTAGTCCCAACCACCAAGGAAATACTTTACTGGCTCCCACGGCTTCTTCTTCCTTGGTCTGTGCACAGAGTCATCCCACAGTATGTGAGGATCCTTTGAGCTAGGTTGCTGGCCAGTTTCTTTCTTTCTTTCTTTTTTTCTGCATTGCTGAGAGTCCAGGTTTATTCATCACACTGGGTGGGTCTCAATTTCTCAACCACGAGGACTCCTGCGATGAGGTAGGGAAGCGTGCTCCGTCATGAGAGAGAACTGGAGACTTCCCCTGGAGGAGAATGTATTGACATATGGATTGCCACCAAATTGTTTGAAATGCTTGTTCCCCAGTGCCATAAAGAAATAGCACTTGAACATAAATTTAATTTATTTAGTAAGGCCATTTTTACCTCCTGCAGAAAGGGTACACTGACTAGCAGTTTTGCCATGAGAGCACACTGAACAAAGGAGACCGGGTCATGTATAACCTGATGCGTCCACCCTACTGCTGTGTCCAGTTTCCATTGGCTGGAATGGAAACTCACATTCTGCATTTGTCCCAATTGGCTAGCAACTTAGAACTTTTTAAAAGAGGCAAAGGCAGAGGAGGACAAAGGAAGGAGAAGTAACTTGTGGGATGCCAAGAAAGGTAAACACACTTTTAAATAAGGAAGAGGAACAGGCTATGACCTGGTGCTTGCTTGGACCAGTATAAGCATGCCAGGGCAAATATTTAGGCTAAATTCTGGGAGTTAAGAACATAAAGTACATTGATTTCTTTATTATGGCTAGCAGATATTTAAAAATGTTAGCACTGGTATTTGAATAAATTTTGCTTCTAAGAGAAGTTACTATTTATTCCTAACTAGACGGGGAGGAAAGTCTTTGAAGAGGAAACTCTACTTTACTTTTTACACGGAGGTTGCAGTGAGCCGAGATTTTGCCACTGCACTCCAGCCTGGGTGACAGAGCAAGACTCCATAAAAAAAAAATAAAAAAAAAAACATTGAGAAAGTATTTCCCCTTGAAAATTGCAGAAGTGGGCACTCCAGCCTGGGTGACAGAGCAAGACTCCGTCTCAAAAAAAAAAAAAAAAAAAAAAAGAAAGTATTTCCCCTTAAAAATTGCAGAAGAGGGCCAGGTGCGGTGGCTCACACTTATAATCCCAGCACTCTGGGAGGCCAAGGCGGGCAGATCATTTGAGGTCAGGAGTTTGAGACCAGCCTGGCAGAAACATGATGAAACCCCATCTCTACTAAAAATACAAAAAATTAACCAGTTGTGGTGGCATGTGCTTGTGATTCCAGCTACTCAGGAGGCTGAGGTGGGAGAATGGCTGGAACACAGGAGGCAGAGGTTGCAGTGAGCTGATATTGCACCATTGCACTCCAGCCTGGGAGACAGAGCAAGACTCTGTCTCAAAAAAAAATAATAATTGCACAAGCACAAGGCATCTCACACCTGTAATCATGGCACATTGGGAGTCTGAGACAAGGGAATCACTTGATATGAGGAGTTCAAGACTAACCTGTGCAACATGGTGAGACCCTGTTCCACAAAACAACAACAACAACAACAACAACAAATCAGCTGGGCATGGTGGCACATACCTGTAATCCCAGGTTCTCAAGTGCCTGAGGCTGAAAGATTGCTTGAGTTTTGGAGGATGAGGCTGCAGTGGGCTGGGATCAGTCATATTATTGTGCTTTAGCCTGGGTGATAGAGTGAAACTCTGTCTCCAAAAAATTTGCAGAAGCATTTTGGAAACACAAAAACAAAACTAAAAAAAAAGCTAAAGAAACCAAATTTAGCAGAGTTTAATTGAGCAAAGAATAATCTGCCAATTGAGCAGCTTGTGAATCACGAGTAGACTCAAAGAGACTCCAGCATGGCCACATGTTGGAAGATGTATGGACAGAAAAAGCAAGGTGACATACAGAAACTGGGAGTGAGGCACAGAAACAGCCAGATTGATGACAGCTCAGATTTTTAAAATTTGAATATAGTTTGAAGAGTTGACCCCATTTGATTGGCAAAAATTTAATGATTAGCACAAGAACATTTATAGACTGTTTACACGTCCAGTTAGGTTTTAGATTACCATGTACAAAAAACCCTATTGACAGAAATTAAACATAAAATGAGGTAGCTTTAGGCTAAACTTAATTTAACAGTTTCCCTATTTTGATCATCCTAAAGTATCCAAGTTTGAGATATGCCAAAATTTTAGATATTGGTATCACAGTATCACCATGATAAATGTACTTATTTCATCTCAAATTCCACTGGGAAATAGAACTTTGGATTTGGTAAAATAGGAACAAGAACTTCAGGTTGTTATTTTTTAATAAAAATTAGAGTAAAAAAGATCTTTTTATGTTAAAATCTGCTGTTTACAAAAGAAAAACAAAACCAGGTTGTTTTTAGAATCTACCTATTTTCTCAAATTCTCAGTTTGATTATGTCACATTTAGCATGAGTGATTCCATTTTTGTTTTGTTTTGTCTCATCTGTTGTACACTGTTCCTAGTGTACAAGTTCAGTCCAAAACAATAGACTCCAATAATTTTATTTAAACATTATTTTACTGCAGGTGCAGTGGCTTATGCCTATAATCCCAGCACTTTGGGAGGCCAAGGTGGGCAGATCACTTGAGTTCAGGAGTTCAAGACTAGCCTGGCCAATGTGGTGAAATCTCATCTCTAGTAAAAATAGAAAAATTAGCCTTGTGTGGTGGTGCATGCCTGTAATCCCAACTGCTGGGGAGGCTGAGGCAGGAAAATTGCTTGAACCTGGGGGGCAGAGGTTACAGTGTGCAGAGATCGTGCCACTGCACTCCAGCCAGGGTGATAGAGCAAGACTCCTTCTCAAAAAAAAAAAAAATACTTTCGGTTAAGTTCTCACTTAGATGAGAGTGTGACCAAAACTCAAATCACTACTGCCAATCACAGTTATTATTTTGGGTTTCTATACTTATCATGCCATTTATAGGTTATAGTGTTCATATAGTCTTTGAGGGTTTTTTGTTGTTTGTTTGTTTTTTGAGATGGAGTTTTGCTCTTGTTGCCCAGGCTGGAGTGCAATGGCACCATCTCAGCTCATTGTAAACTCCTCCTCGTGGGTTCAAGCTGTTTTACTGCATCAGCCTCCTGAGTAGCTGGGATTATAGGCAGGCACCACCATGCCTGAATAATTTTGTATTTTTAATAGAGATGGGGTTTCTCCATGTTGTTCAGGCTGGTCTTGAACTCCCGATCTCAGGTGATCTGCCCTTCTCGGCCTCCTAAAGTGCTGGGATTACAGGTGTGAGCAACTGAACCTGGCCTTTGTTTTGAGTTTTTGTCATTTCAGTTAAGAACAATTTGGCATTCTAGAGACTGCTGTATGTATGCACACATTTATAACTTTTGAGATAATATATTGCACCAGGAAGACCATTATTTTCACTATCAGGAAGTTAATATCAATAGAGTTTGGAGTATGCTTTTTCTTTTTCTGTTTTTTTTTTTTTTTTGACAGAGTTATGCTCCATTGCCCAGGCTGGAGTGCAGTGGTGCAATCTTGACCCACTGCAAACTCTGCCCCCTGGGTTCAAGCAATTCTCCTGCCTCAGCCTTCCCAGTAGCTGAGATTACAGGTGCACACCACCAGGCCTGGTTAATTTTTTTTTTTGTATTTTTAGTACAGACAGCATTTCACCATGTTGGCCAGGCTGGTCTCGTCGAACTCCTGACCTCAAGTGATCCACCCACCTCAGCCTCCCGAAGTGCTGGGATTACAGACGTGAGCCACCGAGCCTGGCTGTAGTATGCTTTTTAACCAGGGTCCCCATGAACAAAACCACATAAAATAAAGTAGATCAAAATAATTATCCAGATAAATGATTTACTCATTTCAATCAAGCAGTCTGTTCATTAATCTCCTATGACTAAATAGCATTAATATCTGATGTATTACAAGTGTTAGCAACTAAACAGATACTTCTGTTTATCCAATAAATAATCTAGAGAGGCCAAGCATGATGTCTCACACCTGTAATCCCAGCACTTTGGAAGGCCAAGGCGGGCAGATCACCTGAGTTCAGGAGTTCAAGACCAGCCTGGCCAACATGGTGAAACCCTGTCTCTACTAAAAATACAAAAATTAGCCAGACCAGACATTGTGGCTGGTGCCTGTAACCCCAGCTACTTGGGAGGCTGAGGCAGGAGAATTGCTTGAACCCAGGAGGCGGAGGTTGCAGTGAGTCAAGACCATGCCATTGCACTCCAGCCTGGGCAACAACAGCAGAACTTGGTCTCATAATAATAACCATTATTATTATAAATAATAACCATTATTATTATTATAAATAATAACCTAGAGAAATTTGATTTTTTCGCATAACTTTAATAAGAAAATTTAAATTCTATTTTGTATCCATACCCTTTACTGCAAAATCTGCTATAGAGACTATTATGGTAGATAAATTTCTAATTATTGTCTAATTTACTCTAAACCACGGGAAAAGAAACCTAACAAATAGTGCCCATTCAGAAAAGTCAAGGCCTCCTGACAATGCAGTTTAAAAAATTCTCTTTAGCTTATAAGGTCGTTTAAGAACAATGAACCAATGTTCTGTTTCTTATATTATGAAGCAACAAATATCCCATTAAAATTTCTCATCCAAATTGTTCTTTTATCTTTCATCTATCAAAACATAAGTTTATCCATATATAAGATTGGCTGCAAAAACCTCTAAATATACAAGTATACCCCTGGAGTGAACACAAGATAACCATTTTTATTTCTATTTTTATAGAGCCATAAGCAAGAATATAACTGTGAGCTAAGAGTGTCATAGAAACAGAGATATATTGATGTTTTATATAGTGAAAAAAAGCTGTCTACATCAAGATTACCATCTCCTTCTGAGGAGAAACTTTCCTGGTTGGCTTTGCCTTAAGTTCTCCAATGGCTATAAAATTTCAAAAGTTTGGAGGCACCCTTCTGAGTTGAGAAATTATAACCCAAGATTCAAGGTCCTGAAGTCTTTCTGCAGGGTGGATGGCAAGAGGGGAATCAATCAATGGTTTCTATTAAAAATAAAGTTTAATTGTCTTCAGTCAGTGGACCATCAAAAGCTTTTTTACCTCGTAAAAATGAGCTTTGGAATAAAGCATTAAAGGCTTGCTGCATTTATTCATATCTGATTTTGGTACCAGAAGATACATGAGGTTCTATTATTAGATTCATAGGCCTTCCAATTACAATTTTATAATGGTCAACATATTTTTTCTACTTTAAGTGGATCTGATTGTCATTAATCTGAAATTGCAACAGCAATCCAATCAATTTGGTTAGCTTTGCTTAATACTATTGTATCTGTAATAACTTAACAGTTTTACAACTTCTCTACTAAAATAAGAATTTTTATCATTGGAGTTTTTTTTCAGAAATGTCACATTAGGAAAACATATTTTCTAATATCTTTTTAGCTACTGTCATAACATCAGCCTTCTTGCTTAAGAAAGCATTTATACAACCAGAAAACGTGTTAAAATGACAATTGAGTAAAATTTCTGTATAAATGTTTAAATTACCCATCAGGTAGCATAAATGTACCTGAAGTTTTGATTGTCTTCTCAGTATTATATGTTTGGCAAACAAAGCATTGGTCATAAAATATTTTAGTAATTTAGATAATCAACACACACACACACACTTAATTTACATTTAATTTAGATTATTTTATCATTTCTGTGTTGAGTGATAAAATGCATAGCTTTTAATAATGGAAGCTATAAGAACTCAGGAAAGCCCAAGTGGCTGTCTAGGTTTTTCAGGAGCCCACACTTAACATTGGATTTATGTCCTCTTATTTTTTTGTTTTGGTTGTTATTTTGAGACAGAGTCTCACTCTGTGGCCTAGTCTTCACTCTGTGAAGTGCAGTGGCACCTTATCAGCTCACTGCCACTTCTGCCTTCTGGGTTCAAGTGATTTTCCTGCATCAGCCTCCTGAGTAGCTGAGATTACAGGCCTTTGCCATCATGCCTGGCTAATTTTTGTATTTTTAGTAGAAATGGGATTTCCCCATGTTGGCCAGGCTGGTCTAGAACTCCTGACCTCAAGTGATCTACCTGCCTCAGCCTCCCAAAGTGCTGGGATTACATGTGTGAGCCACTTGCCAGGCCAGGATTTCTGTCCTCTTACATACTAGGTTTGTTTCTGCAATTTAGGTACGTAGCACTAATAACTGATGAGTTATCATACATAGGTAATTATACTTGGACCATATGGTTTATTCAAATTTCATATCTAATGAATTTCATTACTTGCTGATTTAGCATAAATATCTGGCAAAGTATTGTTTTGGTATTCAATTAATTTTTGTCTCTCCTGGGTTAGCAGTTTTATGAGTCAGTCTCTTCATTAAATTTCCCAGAATTCTGACCCACTCTAAACAATATAATTCTAAAATGACCAGAAAACTGCATGCAACTTGTCTGGGCACTTTTCATCCTTTTCATGAATCTCCTTGAAGACACAATACTCCAGGATTTTGTGTGCTTATGAAGATTTTAGGAACTGCATTAGAATTAATCCATTAACTGTGGAAATATCTTAAAATGCTTATAAAGGCACATCGACAAAAAATTGTTTATATTTATGGCCTACAGTAATTTATCATAAAAACTGTAATTGTGGGCTGGGGGCATTGGCTCTTGCCTGTAATCCCAGCATTTTGCGAGGCCCAGGCAGGTGGATCACCTGAGGTTGGGAGGTCTAGACCAACCTGACCAACATGGTGAAACCCCGTCTTTACTAAAAATACAAAAAATAAGCCAGGCATGGTGATGGATGCCTATAACCCTAGCTACTCAGGAGGCTGAGGCAGGAGAATCACTTGAATCTGGGAGGTGGAGGTTGCAGTGAGTTGAGGTTGTGCCACAGCACTCCAGCCTGAGGGACAGAGCAAAACTCTGTGTCCAAAAAACAAAACAAAACAAAACAAAACTGTAATTATGATTAATAGCATATACTCAGATGTATTAGAATTTTATAAATCCAATATAATTTTGGATCACATACTAATTAGATATTTAACAAAATACAAGTTGAAGAAAGTAAAACATTTTTTATTTGACAATATTTCCCATGTTATTTAACATATTAAAAGATTCTGTTTATCTCTCTTGGGTGTTTCAGGGACCCTCTTTTCTTTTGTCAAAAAGACAATTTTGGAGCTAAAATTTGGCTTTGGGAAGCCTGTCAAATATGTCAAAGTTTGGGCCAGGAATGATGGTTCATGCCTGTAATCCCAGCACTTTGGGAGGCTGAGGTGGGCTGATAATCTGATGTCAGGTGTTCAAGACCAGCCTGGCCAACATGGTGAAACCCCATCTCTACTAAAAATACAAAAATTAGCCAGGCAGGGTGGCACAGGCCTGTAATCCCAGCTCCTCCAGAGGATGAGACAGGAGAATTGCTTGAACCCAGGAGGCAGAGGTTGCAGTGAGCTAAGATCGCACCACTGCACTCCAGTCTGAGTGACAGAGCAAGACTCTGTCAAAAGAAAAGAAAAGAAAAGAAAAGAAAAAAAACCCTAAGGTTTAAAACAATTTACCAAAATAGGATCAAGGTCACCACGAAATAATAGTCATTCACTTAGCCAAAGTGATAATTTAAGAAAATTATTAAAACAAAATCCTTTTTTTATAGAAAAGATTTAGTTTGCTAGTCAAAAGGCCTAAGTAAGAAAGCATGACTGATATTATATGTCCTCTCTTTCTCATTCTTTAAATTTACTCAAAAGTTGAGCAAAAATATTATACTGTGTTTATTAACACTACATACAATTTTTGTTAAAGAGAAAATCAAATGTTACTTTTTTATTAATGTATTATCAATACTAAAGCTAATTTTAATAAAATCTTATAAAGAAATCTATCAAATCTGTCATTTTTGACCACACTAGTTTTCCATAATTATTTTAAAATCTCATAATTAAATTTTATACTTCTTATATTTTAGTTTTATCTATATTCTTTTTATTCTTTCAATCTGAAACAACACTTAAGCAATTTCAAACTGGATAAAAATATTCTAAACACACATTTTATGCCTTTATAACTTTATTCATCAAAAGTATATCTTGCTTTTTTCTTTTTTTTTTTTTTGAGACAGAGTCTCACTCTATCACCCAGGCTGGGGTGAGGTGACTTGATCTCTGCTCACTGCAACCTCCGCCTCTGGGGTTCAAGCGATTCTTGTGCTTCAGCTTCCCAAGTAGCTAGTATTGCAGGAGCCCACCACCACACCCAGCTAATTTTTGTATTGTTAGTAGAGATGGGGTTTCACCATGTTGGACAGGCTTGTCTTGAACTCCTGACCTCAAGTGATACACCTGCCTCAGCATCCCAAAGTGTTGGGATGACAGGCATGAGCCACTTCACACAGCCGTTTTTTTCTTATCTACTCTTTAGGCAGACTTGTTTTTCTTACATTTAGTGTTTTTCAATTATATTTAGGAATTACATTAACTGTTAATTATCCCAACTTTTAGTGAAATGTCTAGGAAATAATTTTGAACTTTCCTGTGTATTTGTAGATAAAAAATTTATATTATTTAAAAAGTTGTTTTCCTGATTTTTTTTAATTTTCTTTTTCTTTTTCTTTTTTTTTTTTTTAAATTTTTTTTTTTTAATTATACTCTAAGTTTTAGGGTACATGTGCACATTGTGCAGGTTAGTTACATATGTATACATGTGCCATGCTGGTGTGCTGCACCCACTAACGTGTCATCTAGCATTAGGTATATCTCCCAATGCTATCCCTCCCCCCTCCCCCGACCCCACCACAGTCCCCAGAGTGTGATATTCCCCTTCCTGTGTCCATGTGATCTCATTGTTCAATTGCCACCTATGAGTGAGAATATGCGGTGTTTGGTTTTTTGTTCTTACGATAGTTTACTGAGAATGATGGTTTCCAATTTCATCCATGTCCCTACAAAGGACATGAACTCATCATTTTTTATGGCTGCATAGTATTCCATGGTGTATATGTGCCACATTTTCTTAATCCAGTCTATCATTGTGGGACATTTGGGTTGGTTCCAAGTCTTTGCTATTGTGAATAGTGCCGCAATAAACATACGTGTGCATGTGTCTTTATAGCAGCATGATTTATAGTCATTTGGGTATATACCCAGTAATGGGATGGCTGGGTCAAATGGTATTTCTAGTTCTAGATCCCTGAGGAATCGCCACACTGACTTCCACAATGGTTGAACTAGTTTACAGTCCCACCAACAGTGTAAAAGTGTTCCTATTTTTCCACATCCTCTCCAGCACCTGTTGTTTCCTGACTTTTTAATGATTGCCATTCTAACTGGTGTGAGATGATATCTCATAGTGGTTTTGATTTGCATTTCTCTGATGGCCAGTGATGATGAGCATTTCTTCATGTGTTTTTTGGCTGCATAAATGTCTTCTTTTGAGAAGTGTCTGTTCATGTCATTCGCCCACTTTTTGATGGGGTTGTTTGTTTTTTTCTTGTAAATTTGTTTGAGTTCATTGTAGATTCTGGATATTAGCCCTTTGTCAGATGAGTAGGTTGCAAAAATTTTCTCCCATGTTGTAGGTTGCCTGTTCACTCTGATGGTAGTTTCTTTTGCTGTGCAGAAGCTCTTTAGTTTAATTAGATCCCATTTGTCAATTTTGGCTTTCGTTGCCATTGCTTTTGGTGTTTTGGACATGAAGTCCTTGCCCACGCCTATGTCCTGAATGGTAATGCCTAGGTTTTCTTCTAGGGTTTTTATGGTTTTAGGTCTAACGTTTAAATCTTTAATCCATCTTGAATTGATTTTTGTATAAGGTGTAAGGAAGGGATCCAGTTTCAGCTTTCTACATATGGCTAGCCAGTTTTCCCAGCACCATTTATTAAATAGGGAATCCTTTCCCCATTGCTTGTTTTTCTCAGGTTTGTCAAAGATCAGATAGTTGTAGATAGGCGGCCTTATTTCTGAGGGCTCTGTTCTGTTCCATTGATCTATATCTCTGTTTTGGTACCAGTACCATGCTGTTTTGGTTACTGTAGCCTTGTAGTATAGTTTGAAGTCAGGTAGTGTGATGCCTCCAGCTTTGTTCTTTTGGCTTAGGATTGACTTGGCGATGCGGGCTCTTTTTTGGTTCCATATGAACTTTAAAGTAGTTTTTTCCAATTCTGTGAAGAAAGTCATTGGTAGCTTGATGGGGATGGCATTGAATCTGTAAATTACCTTGGGCAGTATGGCCATTTTCACGATATTGATTCTTCCTACCCATGAGCATGGAATGTTCTTCCATTTGTTTGTGTCCTCTTTTATTTCCTTGAGCAGTGGTTTGTAGTTCTCCTTGAAGAGGTCCTTCACATCCCTTGTAAGTTGGATTCCTAGGTATTTGATTCTCTTTGAAGCAATTGTGAATGGGAGTTCACTCATGATTTGGCTCTCTGTTTGTCTGTTGTTGGTGTATAAGAATGCTTGTGATTTTTGTACATTGATTTTGTATCCTGAGACTTTGCTGAAGTTGCTTATCAGCTTAAGGAGATTTTGGGCTGAGACGATGGGGTTTTCTAGATAAACAATCATGTCGTCTGCAAACAGGGACAATTTGACTTCCTCTTTTCCTAATTGAATACCCTTTATTTCCTTCTCCTGCCTGATTGCCCTGGCCAGAACTTCCAACACTATGTTGAATAAGAGCGGTGAGAGAGGGCATCCCTGTCTTGTGCCAGTCTTCAAAGGGAATGCTTCCAGTTTTTGCCCATTCAGTATGATATTGGCTGTGGGTTTGTCATAGATAGCTCTTATTATTTTGAAATACGTCCCATCAATACCTAATTTATTGAGAGTTTTTAGCATGAAGGGTTGTTGAATTTTGTCAAAGGCTTTTTCTGCATCTATTGAGATAATCATGTGGTTTTTGTCTTTGGCTCTGTTTATATGCTGGATTACATTTATTGATTTGCGTATATTGAACCAGCCTTGCATCCCAGGGATGAAGCCCACTTGATCATGGTGGATAAGCTTTTTGATGTGCTGCTGGATTCGGTTTGCCAGTATTTTATTGAGGATTTTTGCATCAATGTTCATCAAGGATATTGGTCTAAAATTCTCTTTTTTGGTTGTGTCTCTGCCCGGCTTTGGTATCAGAATGATGCTGGCCTCATAAAATGAGTTAGGGAGGATTCCCTCTTTTTCTATTGATTGGAATAGTTTCAGAAGGAATGGTACCAGTTCCTCCTTGTACCTCTGGTAGAATTCGGCTGTGAATCCATGTGGTCCTGGACTCTTTTTGGTTGGTAAACTATTGATTATTGCCACAATTTCAGAGCCTGTTATTGGTCTATTCAGAGATTCAACTTCTTCCTGGTTTAGTCTTGGGAGAGTGTATGTGTCGAGGAATGTATCCATTTCTTCTAGATTTTCTAGTTTATTTGCGTAGAGGTGTTTGTAGTATTCTCTTATGGTAGTTTGTATTTCTGTGGGATCGGTGGTGATATCCCCTTTATCATTTTTTATTGTGTCTATTTGATTCTTCTCTCTTTTTTTCTTTATTAGTCTTGCTAGCGGTCTATCAATTTTGCTGATCCTTTCAAAAAACCAGCTCCTGGATTCATTGATTTTTTGAAGGGTTTTTTGTGTCTCTATTTCCTTCAGTTCTGCTCTGATTTTAGTTATTTCTTGCCTTCTGCTAGCTTTTGAATGTGTTTGCTCTTGCTTTTCTAGTTCTTTTAATTGTGATGTTAGGGTGTCAATTTTGGATCTTTCCTGCTTTCTCTTGTAGGCATTTAGTGCTACAAATTTCCCTCTACACACTGCTTTGAATGCGTCCCAGAGATTCTGGTATGTGGTGTCTTTGTTCTCGTTGGTTTCAAAGAACATCTTTATTTCTGCCTTCATTTCGTTATGTACCCAGTAGTCATTCAGGAGCAGGTTGTTCAGTTTCCATGTAGTTGAGCGGCTTTGAGTGAGATTCTTAATCCTGAGTTCTAGTTTGATTGCACTGTGGTCTGAGAGATAGTTTGTTATAATTTCTGTTCTTTTACATTTGCTGAGGAGAGCTTTACTTCCAAGTATGTGGTCAATTTTGGAATAGGTGTGGTGTGGTGCTGAAAAAAATGTATATTCTGTTGATTTGGGGTGGAGAGTTCTGTAGATGTCTATTAGGTCTGCTTGGTGCAGAGCTGAGTTCAATTCCTGGGTATCCTTGTTGACTTTCTGTCTCGTTGATCTGTCTAATGTTGACAGTGGGGTGTTAAAGTCTCCCATTATTAATGTGTGGGAGTCTAAGTCTCTTTGTAGGTCACTCAGGACTTGCTTTATGAATCTGGGTGCTCCTGTATTGGGTGCATAAATATTTAGGATAGTTAGCTCCTCTTGTTGAATTGATCCCTTTACCATTATGTAATGGCCTTCTTTGTCTCTTTTGATCTTTGTTGGTTTAAAGTCTGTTTTATCAGAGACTAGGATTGCAACCCCTGCCTTTTTTTGTTTTCCATTGGCTTGGTAGATCTTCCTCCATCCTTTTATTTTGAGCCTATGTGTGTCTCTGCACGTGAGATGGGTTTCCTGAATACAGCACACTGATGGGTCTTGACTCTTTATCCAACTTGCCAGTCTGTGTCTTTTAATTGAAGAATTTAGTCCATTTATATTTAAAGTTAATATTGTTATGTGTGAATTTGATCCTGTCATTATGATGTTAGCTGGTGATTTTGCTCATTAGTTGATGCAGTTTCTTCCTAGTCTCGATGATCTTTACATTTTGGCATGATTTTGCAGCAGCTGGTACCGGTTGTTCCTTTCCAAGTTTAGCGCTTCCTTCAGGAGCTCTTTTAGGGCAGGCCTGGTGGTGACAAAATCTCTCAGCATTTGCTTGTCTATAAAGTATTTTATTTCTCCTTCACTTATGAAGCTTAGTTTGGCTGGATATGAAATTCTGGGTTGAAAATTCTTTTCTTTAAGAATGTTGAATATTGGCCCCCACTCTCTTCTGGCTTGTAGGGTTTCTGCCGAGAGATCCGCTGTTAGTCTGATGGGCTTTCCTTTGAGGGTAACCCGACCTTTCTCTCTGGCTGCCCTTAACATTTTTTCCTTCATTTCAACTTTGGTGAATCTGACAATTATGTGTCTTGGAGTTGCTCTTCTCGAGGAGTATCTTTGTGGCGTTCTCTGTATTTCCTGAATCTGAACGTTGGCCTGCCTTGCTAGATTGGGGAAGTTCTCCTGGATAATATCCTGCAGAGTGTTTTCCAACTTGGTTCCATTCTCCACATCACTTTCAGGTACACCAATCAGACGTAGATTTGGTCTTTTCACATAGTCCCATATTTCTTGGAGGCTTTGCGCATTTCTTTTTATTCTTTTTTCTCTAAACTTCCCTTCTCGCTTCATTTCATTCATTTGATCTTCCATCACTGATACCCTTTCTTCCAGTTGATCGCATCGGCTCCTGAGGCTTCTGCATTCTTCACGTAGTTCTCGAGCCTGGGTTTTCAGCTCCATCAGCTCCTTTAAGCACTTCTCTGTATTGGTTATTCTAGTTATACATTCTTCTAAATTTTTTTCAAAGTTTTCAACTTCTTTGCCTTTGGTTTGAATGTCCTCCCGTAGCTCAGAGTAATTTGATCATCTGAAGCCTTCTTCTCTCAGCTCGTCAAAATCATTCTCCATCCAGCTTTGTTCTGTTGCTGGTGAGGAACTGCGTTCCTTTGGAGGAGGAGAGGTTCTCTGCATTTTAGAGTTTCCAGTTTTTCTGTTCTGTTTTTTCCCCATCTTTGTGGTTTTATCTACTTTTGGTCTTTGATGATGGTGATGTACAGATGGGTTTTCGGTGTAGATGTCCTTTCTGGTTGTTAGTTTTCCTTCTAACAGACAGGACCCTCAGCTGCAGGTCTGTTGGAATACCCTGCCGTGTGAGGTGTCAGTGTGCCCCTGCTGGGGGGTGCCTCCCAGTTAGGCTGCTCGGGGGTCAGGGGTCAGGGACCCACTTGAGGAGGCAGTCTGCCCGTTCTCAGATCTCCAGCTGCGTGCTGGGAGAACCACTGCTCTCTTCAAAGCTGTCAGACAGGGACACTTAAGTCTGCAGAGGTTACTGTTGTCTTTTTGTTTGTCTGTGCCCTGCCCCCAGAGGTGGAGCCTACAGAGGCAGGCAGGCCTCCTTGAGCTGTGGTGGGCTCCACCCAGTTCGAGCTTCCCTGCTGCTTTGTTTACCTAAGGAAGCCTGGGCAATGGCGGGCGCCCCTCCCCCAGCCTCGTTGCCGCCTTGCAGTTTGATCTCAGACTGCTGTGCTAGCAATCAGTGAGATTCCGTGGGCGTAGGACCCTCTGAGCCAGGTGTGGGATATAGTCTCGTGGTGTGCCGTTTCTTAAGCCGGTCTGAAAAGCGCAATATTCGGGTGGGAGTGACCCGATTTTCCAGGTGCGTCCGTCACCCCTTTCTTTGACTCAGAAAGGGAACTCCCTGACCCCTTGCGCTTCCCAGGTGAGGCAATGCCTCGCCCTGCTTTGGCTCGCACACGGTGCGCACACACACTGGCCTGCGCCCACTGTCTGGCACTCCCTAGTGAGATGAACCCCGTACCTCAGATGGAAATGCAGAAATCAGCCATCTTCTGCGTCGCTCACGCTGGGAGCTGTAGACCGGAGCTGTTCCTATTTGGCCATCTTGGCTCCACATTCCTCTTTTTCTTTTTAAACTGAGTTTTGCTCTTGTTGCCCAGGCTGGAGTGCAATGGGACTATTTCAGCTCACTGCAACCTCTGCCTCCTGGGTTCAAGCAATTCTCCTGCCTCAGCCTCCCAAGTAGCTGGTGTAGCAGGATGAGCTGCAGAGAAAACTCCTCAGACACTGGGTGAAAGAAGGAAGTAGGTTTATTTGGCCAGGAGCTTCAGCAGACTTCCGTCTTAAAAGCCAAGCTCCCCAAGTGAGCAACTCCTGTCCCTTTTAAGGGCTTACAACTTTAAGGGGGTCTGCATGAGAGGGTCGTGATTGATTGAGCAAGCAGGGGGTATGTGACTGGGGGCTGCATGCACCAGTAATTAGAACAGAACAGGAAAGAGATTTTCACAATGCTTTTCCATATAATGTCTGGAATCTATAGATAACACAAGCAGTTAGGTCAGGGGTTGATTTTTAACTAACAGGCCCAGGGCATGCGCTGGGCTATCTGCCTGTGGATTTCATTTCTGCCTTTTAGTTTTCACTTCTTCTATCTTTGGAGGCAAAAATTGGGCATAAGACAATATGAGGGGTGGCATCCTTCCTTATTCCCCCCTTTGAGAACTTCACTCATTAGTGGGAGTTCTCACTTTTATCCTCACTACCCATGTCTTCTTGTAGGACAAATTGATAATGATTTATATAGTACACTCGTGCTGAAGCATTTTGGTGAACTAAGGTAGTGATGAAGCTTTTTTTATTTGAAGGAGTACAGGTAGCAAACAAGGGAGTAGTAAGCAGGTGCCTATTACTATTATAATTTCTATTATAAGAGTTTTATATCTTCCTAGTTCTGGGATCCATTTTCTAAACATGACCTGAGGATTAAATCCATGGCACACTTGCATGGGCACATATGCCACTTTTGTCATATCTTTAACTATGTCTTCAACTACTTGCCCTTGATTATCTATGTGAAGACAGTAACTGGTAAGATTAAATTTCCCACAGACCCCCCCCCCCCCCGCCAAGCTGCTAGCAAGTAGTTGAGAGCCAGTCTATTTTGATAGATAGCATTTCTCATCTGAGTTTCTTGCTGGGCCAGAATAGTCAAGGCTCTGCCAGTTTTATTAGTGATTATTTCTAAGGTTTGGTTGAGCATGTAAATAGGGGTCTGATATCCCCATGAGCCATCTTGTACCCAAGTAGCAGGCCCATAATATTGTATGATTTTCTTAGAGGGCCATTTATCATCTTTCCAATTACCTATAGCTATGCTTCTCTTTTAGTGGGAAGCATAGACAGGGAAGCCCAGGAATTCACTTGATTTTATGGGTAGTAGGAAGAAGGATGGTTTAACAGTGCCAATAACACAACTACCTGCCCACTGGTCAGGTAATTTGGCATAACCTTTATGCCCGCACATCCAGTATAATCCAGTGGGGGTTTTCCAGTCCTGGTGGGACTCCAGGTGGGTCCACATGGTTTGCAAATTTAGGAATTTACTAAATGGATTCTTTTTAGTATGGTTTAGACCCAATGAGATGACTATTTTTAATTTTATTTTAAAGACTGTGACCATAGGGGGCTCAGATGGGTTATAATACACATCAGGCTGGTCACTTCCTGGGCTACATAACTCATACTGGGTGGTATTATACAAACAAGTCCCTTTTAGAGTTCCAGCACATTTATAATAACTATAGAACAAAAAGACGATTTTAAATTGTTGCCCTACCTTAGTGACCTGATGTATACACTGGGAACAGTCCTTAGTTTGAGGAAGTCAGTTGAAGTCCCTACTGTATAAGTCCAAAATTTAAGGAAAATAAGTCCCATGGTGAGTTTCCTCATGCTTCAGCCATGCATGGACCAGTTAGCTTCCGGGTGTGACTGGAGCAGGGCTTGTCATCTTCTTCTGAGTCACTTTGCAGGGATTGTCCAGGCTTGGTCTCACCTCCCAGGTCTCAGGTGCTGCAGGTTTTATGCAGCTGTGATGGATCCAGGTTGGGATTCCTCTTACTTTTACGTCTGTGGGAGTGGTCAAGATGATGATCTGGGGTTTTTTTCATTGTGGCGGCAAGGGGGCTACACTCTAATCCTTGATCTACACCCAATCACCTTTGCTGTTTTCTGTACCAAGTCAGCCACAAATGCTGGCTCATTGTCCAAGCTGATTTGTAAGGGCAGTCTAAACCTAGGGATGAGATCTCCACATTTGTGCATCTCAGTGAAGTCTACTTGGAGTTCTTCAAAGGGGGCTGCTCCATAAGCCTGTATGCCAGGTGGAACAGTTAGACCTTGCCTAGCATTGTGCTGCCAGGAGGTGACACACTGCTATGCCAGTGTTTTGGTAAGGGCTGAGAGATGTGAGATGTAGAAGTACTGGCTTAACAACTTTTTAAGTGACTCTTGGCCTAGGTGGGTGGTCTCATGCACAGCCAGTATGACCACAGCTCCTAGCAGTTGTGGCATGGCTATTCTTCTGTCTGATAACCAGATCCATCCTTCTATTACCTGCCCTCCCTCTGGTTGATGAAATGCCAGGATGAAAGGGATAGCCAATTGGACCAAAGCACAAGTGCCACTCTAGTTATTTGGCAGAGTGTCCAGTAAAGGTCCATCACAATACCACCACACATCCGCTCAGGGATGAACAAGGGATGACCTATTGGTAAGCCCTTAAAAATTCTTAAGCTCACTGCATCCCTTCAGGTCTCCAAGGAACACTAAGTTTCCTCCCTGTCGTGAGAGACACGAAGTTAACTTAGTGTTTGGAGATGGAAGCTAGATGGCCCTCAGGGACTGACCCACAGGGTGTTGAACTTCAGCATATATCAGAGAGAGAACTTGGCACAACTTATTACTCTAGGCTGTAGAATCCTGGAAAAGCACTACCATGCAGTCCACACCTGGTCGACTGGAGGACCTCCTTAGTGGAAAGGGGACAATCTGGGCCTCTGGCCTGCCATGTGCACAAGCACAACAATTGCTTTTGTTTAACGAGTGGACAGAATATTTGATCCATTCCAACAAGGCATTTGCATCTTGGTATCCTGTCTTAATTGTCAAGATTTGTTTTAAGTCTTTAACTTCTATGATCCTCTAGTAAAATGAATGTATGGTTTTAGGAAATAACAAAAACCAGTTGGGGCAGTCCATCCTTGCTCTTTAGTGGTTCACAGAATGTTGGGCCAACTACAGCATAAAAGCTCTACATCTGGGCGCAAGACTCCTAGTTGACACTGGGGTCTTTATCAAATTCTCCTGAGATTAAATGGTCCTAATTTATTAATGACTAGTCTGAGGAGAGTCAGGAGGGACAGAGGTACTTTTCTGAAGTAGAGAGCTGTCTTTGACTTGGCAAGCCCTCACAGGGTATAACAAGGGAAGCATTAAATTCAATAGTTTGAGGTGGAATTGACTGGGTTATGTTAATAACTAGATGGTCAGCAATAGAGCAAGAAAAGAAGGAACACTAATAGAATAGATGAATTAAATTTTTCTTAGCTTTAGTTTGGTAGAATTTTCCCTTGGGACTACAGCCCATGACTCTAGAGGGGTGGCGCTTTCTTGACTTGGGTGTGATGAATCCAATCCCTTTTTTGCTGTATGAACAGCAGTCTCAGTGGTTAGCAGCACAAGGTAGGGTCCTTCCCAGGCTGGCTTGAGTCTTCCTTCTTTCCACCTTTGATGAGAATGTGATCTTCCAGCTGGTGGTGGTTTACAGGAAATTCTAGGGGTGGTACATGTGCTAAAAGACTTTTAGTTTTGAGGGAAAGGAAAGTGGAAGATAAACCAAGTATATAATTTTTAAGAAATTGATCTTCTTTTTTTAAATGTGGGGACATCAGCAGTGGACTTTATAGTCCTTGGTGTCTTCTTACTGAGAAATTTCCTTTAGCATCTATTTTTGTTAGTTTTTAGACCAAAGAAAGCCAAACACCATTTTATATTTGACTATGCTTTCTATATAATTTTTATATGAGATAAGCTATATTTCACCTTCATATTAGTGTGTTATTAATGTTAAAATTAGTTTTAATAAAAATTTGTAGATATATTTATTCAATTTTTAATGTCTGACCGTAAGGTAAGATTTTTATAGATTCTTTTTAACCTTTTATAATTTTTGTTAAAGAGCAGGTTAGTGCTTCAAGAAAACCCCATTGTGTTTTTACTTTAATGTCCAGTTCACAGAAAAACTAGATGACATCCCTTTAACTTTAGCTAATATGTTTAGACACACAATTTTATTTACAATTAATGTTTTAAAACTTGCTTAAACCTTTAAAACAACAAAAAAAATTTAACCTTTTAATGTAGGTAAAAATTCACATTCTTATGCCTCCTTATAATCCTTTTACCAGAGGTATATTTTACTTTCTTTACACACCTTGCACATAAACTGTTTTTTCAATAGTTTTACATTCAGGAAGCCTAATTACTTTTAAATTATACAGCATTTCTTGCATAATTTTTTTTATAACTTTTTTTTTCTTTCATGCTTTCACAGACAATTCTTTGACATGTCTCAACTTTCTGGCTTATTACAAACATTTCTTTCTTTAAACAACCAGTTAATTTATTTCAGGACAAGAATTCAAAGATGGCAACCATTCTTTTCCAAAGTGAATTTTCTTTATGTCTGTGGACTAGACTGTCTAAGGCCACAAGATTAGAAGTTACTATAATACATGTTACACTGTTAACTTTTAGCAAACTTTACTTTTGTTGAAAACCTTGTAAGTTTGGGATTTCAATTATCCTTTGCTATTAATATGAACTTGTTTAGTCCAAATTAACTTAGAATTGGTATAGATGGCCTTTTTTTTCCCTATAATTACCCAGGAGGAACCATCTATTGTCCTGTCCTGAAGGAAATTCCTCCTAGGTCTGGTCATACCTTTGTATGGTAATTAAGATTTAGAGCCCCTGTTAGGAAACCTGCTGGGTTAAGGGAATTTTCAGTGGTTAATGTTAAATCATCTTTTTTTTTTTTTTTTTTTTTTTTTTTTTTTTTACTTAGTGTACTTCTGAACTGGTGGGGTGTACTCACAATGAGGTTTCCTCTAAAAGTTATTTTTCTACCTTCTTCTGTTAGCAAAGCAATTGCCGCTACATATTGAATGCATATGGGCCATCTGCAGGTTACTGGGTTAAGGATTTTTTAAAGGAAGGCTACGGGTTATCAGTGGCCTCAGTGCTTTTGGGATACACTTTTGTTTACACTGAAAACAAGGTGGTATTGGAGTGGCATAGGGTTACAGAGAATACCTTCACTTATTAACTATAAGTTTTTAAATTTACCTTGGCTTTTAAAGGAATAGAGTACACTGTTTTTTTCTTAACTACTTGTATATCTCTCTCTTTCTCTCTTTTTCTCTTTGACTTTCTGTCTGGCTCTCTCTGTCTTTGCTTTTGCCTCTGTCTCTTCCTCTCTCTGTCTCTCTCTTTCTCTCTCTCTCTCCCTCTCCTTGACTCCTTCTTTGTTTCTCTGTCTCTTCCTCTCTCTCTCTGCTGGTCTTTCCTTGCCTCTGGCAGCTACTTATGCTGCTGTTCTCTCAACCACTGTGGTGGAGCAGGGTGGGGGGGTGTCTAAAACCAGCTGAAACCAAGTGTCTATGTACTGAACTGGTCTGGGTGCTGTGGTTTACAGGTTACCTTGTGCCATACCTTTGAAACAAGAGACCTGTCCAGGCTTCCTTCTGATGGCCAACCCATCTCTAATGCTGGCCAGTCTATTTCACACAATGTTCTAAGTTTTCCTGGTGTCATAGTAACACTGTAATCTCCCTTAAATCCTTTCTTGAAATTTTTCAACACAGTTCCTAGTGGAGTGGGCTTACTTTGTTCCTGATCCATGTTTCCTCAAGAAAAAACACCACGCTCACACCACACACACACAACAAAACAGAGAATGGGTAAAAAGGGCACACACACACTTTTACAGTTTACACCAAACCAGAATCAAAACCAAAATCAGAGTATCAAGAAATCCAAGCCAGGTCAAAACTAAAACCAAAGTATCAAGCAATCGAAGTCAAGTCAAAAAACAAAAAACAAAGTGCCAATACAGGCACACCATGGGTGATCAGGCCATGCTTCCACTCAAATGGAGTGGGCAAGTTCCAAAGACCAGTCTTACCAAGTTTCAGATGTCTGGACTCCAAGTGCCAGTTCCTTCCCAGTGTTCAGCCACTGTGTTGATCCTCCACTGGGGCCTGCCACACACTGCTCTGGCCAGGTGTCCCACCAGGGCAACTGCCTACCTGGGAGCACTTTTTGGATCCGCATCGCTAAGGCTGGTTGGAATCCCCCACAGGGATGTTCCACAGGGCAGGACAAAGATGACTAAGGGGCTGCCTCCACCATCCACCAGCCACCTCCTTTCCCAGTCAGGGAACCAGGAGTTGTAGCAGGATGAGCTGCAGACAAAACTCCTCAGACACCAGGTTAAAGAAGGAAGGAGCTTTATTCGGCTGGGAGCTTCAGCAGACTTGTGTCTCAAAAGCCAAGCTCCCCAAGTAAGCAATTCCTGTCCCTTTTAAGGGCTTACAACTCTAATGGGGTCTATGTGAGAGGGTTGTCATGACCAATTGAGCAAGCAGGTGGTACATGACTGGGGGCTGCATGCACCAATAATTAGAATGGAACAGAACAGGACAGGGATTTTCACAATGTTTTTCCATACAATGTCTGGAATCTACAGATAACACAAGAAGTCAGGTCAGGGGTTTATTTTTAACTAACGGGCCCAGGGCATGTGCCAGGCTATATGCCTGTGGATTTCATTTCTGCCTTTTAGTTTTTACTTCTTCTTTCTTTGGAGGCAGAAATTGGGCATAAGACAATATGAGGGGTAGTCTCCTCCCTTATTGGGATTACAGGCATGCACCACCACACCCAGCTAATTTTGTATTTTTAGTAGAGATGGGGTTTCTCCCTGTTGGTCAGGCTGGTCTTGAACTCTCAGCCTCAGGTGATCTACCTGCCTCGGCCTCCCAAAGTACTGGGATTACAAGCGTGAGCCACTGTGCCAAGCTAAATTTTTTTTTTTATTAAATTTTCTACTAACTACCTTATCAAATTATATTTAGCTTTTTAAATATTATATAAAAATATGATGCTAGCCAGGTACAGTGGCTCATGTCTCATGTCCTCTTTCTCAATCCCATATTTTCGGGAGGCCAAGGCAGATAGGTTGCTTAAGCTTAAGAGTACAAAAACAGCCTTGGCAACATGGTGAGACCCTATCTATATAAATAATTCACAAATTAGCTAGGTGTGGGTGTGTGTGCCTTTAGTCTCAGCTACTCAGGAGGCTGAACTGAAAGGATCATCTGAGTCCAGGAGGTAGAGGCTGCAGTGAGCTGTAATCATGCCACTGTACTTCAACCTTGGTGACAGAGAGACCCTGTCTCAAGAAAAAGATGCCAAAGCATATAAACTTAAACTTATGTTTAATAATTAATGTTTTAGGCTGAGCATGGTGGCTCATGCCTGTAATCCCAGCACTTTGGGAGGCCGAGGCAGATGGATCACCTGAGGTCAGGAGTTCAAGACCAGCTTGGCCAACCTAGTGAAACCCTGTGTCTACTAAAAATACAAAAAGTAGCTGGGCATGGTGGCGGGTGCCTGTAGTCCCAGCTACTTGGGAAGCTGAGGCAGGAGAATCACTGGAGCCCAGGAGGTGGAGGTTGCAGTGAGCCAAGATCATGCCATTGCACTCCAGCCTAGGCTACAGAGTGAGACTCCATCTCAAAAAAAGAAAAAAGAAATTAACGTTTTAGTATTTTAATATACAAATGACTCATAGATTTTATGACTATTATTAAATTAACATAGTATCACTTTAAGATTCTAAATTATTGAAAAAGATTTTGAAACTATGACATGGGTACTCTTCCTAATATCTTTCCCAGTCATCCTGAGTCTCTAGTAGGCATATGACACATAAAATGGCTCTGAAGGTCAGGACCTGCAAGACTCCTACATTTACATACTAGGTGTAGAGCTCAGGATAAAAGCTGGATCCAACCTCTTAAAGAATATCCAGAAGGCAAAGCTTGGAAAGAGAAGAAGAGGCCATATTAGGCTTCATTGTCTTGTAGCTGCTGGTCTAGGCACTGAGAACTTGTTACCAGGTCTCAACATGGCCACCTATCCTCACACCTAAATCCAGAGGTTCAAAACCAAAAATTTAAGTTCACAGCCAAATCAAGCAAGTATCAAATTACATTTAACTGATTATTCTGAAGTCATTTCTACTTTTACCAACAATCTAAAAGCTGGCTTTAGCCGGGCGCAGTGGCTCAAGCCTGTAATCTCTTTAGCCCGTAGGTGCACTACCACATATAGGCATATGGTTTGAATGTATATAAGCACTGGAAAAGAAGCCTGTAACGTCGAGTTGGTCCAGTGAGTTATTCTGACTGTCTCTCTGTAGCCAGTTGAAGAAATAAACTCTCTTCTTTCTCAGTTTTTATGCATCTCATTATTGGACCATAAGAACAAGCAGCCAGACCCCTGTTTAGTCTGGGAAACCTTCCAGGGCCTAATAGTTGTACATATAAATGTAGTCTTAGCTGAAAGGTAAACTACTCAGTTTTTAAAAAATTAAAAATTTCAGCTGGATGCGGTGGCTCACATCTGTAATCCCAGCACTTTGGGAGGCCAAGGCAGGCGGATCACGAGGTCAGGAGATTGAGACCATCCTGGCTAATGTGAAACCCTGTCTCTACTAAAAATACAAAAAAATTAGCCAGGCGTGGTGGCTGGCGCCTGTATTCCCAGCTACTCAGGAGGCTGAGGCAGGAGAATGGCATGAACCCGGGGGGCAGAGCTTGCAATGAGAGGAGATTGTGCCACTGCACTCCAGCCTATGTGACAGAATGAGACTCAATCTTAAAAAAAAAAAGAAAAAAAATTAAAAATTTCATTTTATCTTGAATTGTAATTGCCCACGGGGTTCTTTCTGCACACTTCATAAAGAAAACTGCATTGTACTAAAGAAAGTGCTCAATAGACATGAGGCAGTCACTCTACATGCAAAATAGAGTTTGTACTTAAATCACTTCATCCAGATGGGGACAGTGGCTCGCGCCTATAATCCTAGCACTTTGGGAGGCCAAGACAGGCGGATCACTTGAGGTCAGGAGTTTGAGACCAGCCTGGCCAACATGGCAAAACCCTGTCTCTACTAAAAATACAAAAATTAGCCAGGCGTGGTGGTGGGTGCCTGTAACCCCAGCTACTCTGGAGGCTGAGGCAGGAGAATCACTTGAACCTGAGAGGCAGAGGTTGCAGTGAGCTGAGATTGCACAGTTGTACTTCAGCCTGGGCAACAAGAGTGAAACTCCGTCTCAGAAAACAAACAAAAACAACAAAAAATAATCTTATCCAAAGCTTATCGGTGAGGGTCTTTCTTTCTTTCTTTCTTTTTCTTTCTTTCTTTTCTTTCTTTCTTTTCTTTATCCTTCCTTCCTTCCTTCCTTCCTTCCTTCCTTCCTTCCTTCCTTCCTTCCTTCCTTCTTTCTTTTCTCTTTCTTTCTTTCTTTCTTTCTTTCTTTCTTTCTTTCTTTCTTTTCTTTCTTTCTGGTTTCATTCTTGTCACCCAGGCTAGAGTGCAACAGGGTGATCTCCACTCACTACAACCTCAGTCTCCCGAGTTCAAACAATTCTCCTGCCTCAGCCTCTCGAGTAGCTGAGATTACAGACACCCAACACCACACCCAGCTAAGTTTTGTATTTTTAGTACAGATGGGATTTCCTTGTGTTGAACAGATTGGTCTCAAACTCCTGACCTCAGGTGATCCACCCACCTCGGCCTCCCAGCTGGAATTACAGGCATGAGCCACTGCACCCAGCTGTGAGGGGTCTTTCAAAGGCAGTTTCAATAAGGAGTGAGTTGGTCAGCGAACAGGTGCTTGCTCCTGATTAGTTGGAGTGGAGATAAAATTATAGGAGGTCAAAAACATAAGGGGTCAAAGCTGTCTTTCTGTAGTTTGAATAACTTGTGGGTGGGGCCACAGGAGCTGGGTTGGTTAGTCTAGAAGAAGCCATCAGGTCCAGATGAAGCCATGGGGATAAGACATGCATAAAACTTGTAGAGATATCTCAAAAGGCTAATCTTATGTACTATAGAAGTGACAATGTTTGCAGGAGCAATTGGAGATGTTGCATATTTTATAACCTCCAGAATAATGGCTGACTTCCTTCATGTCTGTGCCTTGGCAGGACTCAGGCTTCCCTCTTCCCATCAAGCCTGATGGCCTCCCAAACAAAAGTTGAGTTTGGAGCCAAGGCCTATTATCATTTAAACAACAGCCTGAAGGTTTTCACTAGTTAGCTGGGCCCAATAGCCCAGGAATACTTAAGGGAAAGTTGAGATAGAGGGTGAGTTAGCTCAGCTTACTGTTGTAATTTTTCTCACTAATACAATTTTTGCATTGTTAATTTTAGAACCTTGGCTTTAGCTTAGATCTTTCTGAACAACTTAGCCAGTAATTTTTCTCTGCCTAAAAGCACAAGAAAAAATAACAAAGGGGGAAGTAAACAAAAATTCCTGCAAATTTTCAGAAGCCAATGTTTACATCCCTTGAAATATTGCCATTTACTGAAACCACCATTGCAAAATTATACCTGAGTCAGTGAAAGAGAGCTGATGTAACTAACTCCATCTTGCTTCTAATGTTTAAGATGTCCCTGTTCACTCTTGTGTGTAGGCTGAACTAATTTTGGGAGGAACTTAGTTTATAGTTCAAAATGAAGGCAATAGCAGCCCTTTCCTAACACAAACTTCCTTCTTTCTTGGAGACAAGACTGCCTTTGTAGGACTAGCAAATTAGCCACAAGATTAGAAATTATGGTTTAGGAGTCATGCAGCTGGAGACTACAAGATTCTGGCATTACACTAACTGCTCCTGGGGATAACATCACTGTTTTGTGTGTGTGTGTGTGTTTGTGTTTTGAGACAGAGTCTCACTCTGTCATCCAGGCTGGAATGCAATGGTGCCATCTTGGCTCACTGCAACCTCCACCTCCCAGGTCCAAGTGATTCTCCTGCCTCAGCTTCCCAAGTAGCTGGGATTACAGGCATCTGCCACCACACCCAGCTAATTTTGTATTTTTAGTAGAGAGGGGTTTTCACCATGTTGGCCAGGCTGGTCTACAACTTCTGACCTCAGGTAATCCACCAACCTCAGCCTCCCAAAGTGCTGGGATTACAGGCATGAGCCACCATGCCTGGCCCCATCACAGCTGTAAAATCTAAGATTAGTGCTTGGAATATTTTTCAGACTCTGAACTGGATAGATCAGCTGGCATCACCCAAATTGATAAACTGGCTTACCTGATCTGTGCCCCCCACCCAGGAACTGACTTAGTTCAAGAAAACAGCTTTGACTTTCTATGATTTTATTTCTGACCCAACAGGTCAACACTCACTGGCATTACACTATGCACCAAATTATCTTTAAAAACTCAACTTCCCAAATGCTTCGGGAGACTGATTTGAGTAATAATAAAACTCTGGACTCTCATACAGGTGGCTCTGCCTGAATTACTCTTTCTGTATTGCGATTCCCCTGTCTTGATAAATTAGCTCTGTCTAGGCAGTGGACAAGGTGAATCCTTTACATGGTTACATTACAATTGATTTCTGTCTTACCCAGTGAGACATAAGAGACCTCTAACTGAATTCCAGTTAGTTAATTATTAGATCCAAACTGATCCTGGACCCAGTCCAGGTTTTGTCCTGACATCCAAATCAAGTTCAGATTTTAAATTTTCTTAAACTAACTCAGAGAGCTCAAAACAAAATTTTATGACACTTTGGAATCCAAGAGAAAACTTACTAAAATTCCCAGATGCTGCAAAAGAGCCATGGAAACAATGGGTTATTGTTTTGTCACCTGGTACTCCTGGTGGTCACTAGAGGCTCTACCTCAGATTCCACTATTGATGCAGTCTGTTAAAATTTAGAAAATTTCCTGGGCACGGTGGCTCATGCCTGTAACCCCAGCATTTTGGGAGGCCGAGGCAGGCAGATCACCTGAGGTCAGGAGTTTGAGACTAGCCTGCCTGGCCAACATTTAGCAGAAATCCCGTCTCTGCTAAAAATACAAAACTTAGCCAGACATTGTGGCAGGTGCCTGTAATCCTAGCTAGTCTAGTGAGGCTGAGGCAGAAGCATCACTTGAACCTGGGAGGCGGAGAGTGCAGTAAGCTGAGATCGCACAATTACACTCCAGCCTGGGTGACAGAGTAAGACTCTATCTCAAAAAAAGAAAAAAAAATGTAGAAAATCTTAGACAAATTAAATTTAACGGAGTTTAATTGAGCAAAGAATGATTCAAAAATAGGGCAGTCTTGAGCCAGAATAGGGTCAGAGAGACTCTCAAGCAACTACATTGTCAAAAATGTTCAAACCAGAGCAACTCCATCTTGAATATGGGCTAGGCAAAATAAGGCTGAGACCTGTTGGGCTGCATTCCCAGGAGGTTAGGCATTCCTAGTCACAGGAAGGAGGTCAACAGGACTGATATCACAAAATACAGGGGATAAAGACTCTGCTGATAAAACAGAATATAGTAAAGAAACTGTCCAAAAATCCATCAAATCTAAGATGACAATAAAAGTGACCTCTGGTCAACTTCGCTGCACATTATATGTTAATTATAATGCAGAAGCATGCTAAAAGACACTCCCCCCAGCACCATGACGGTTTAAAAATGCCATGACAATGTGCAGAAGTTCCGATGTTTAGTCTAAAAGGCAGAGAAAACCTCAGTTCCAGAAATTGCCTTCACCATTTCTGGAAAACTCATGAATAATCATGAATAATCACTTTTTTTTGATGGAGTCTTGCTCTGTCACCAGACTGGAGTGCAGTGGCACGATCTCAGCTCACTGCAACCTCCACCTCCTGGGTTTAAGCGATTCTCCTGCCTCAGCCTCCCACGTAGCTGGGACTACAGGCACACGCCACCACACCCGGCTAATTTTTGTGTTTTTAGTAGAGATGGGGTTTCACCATATTGGCCAGGATGGTCTCCATCTCTTGACCTTGTGATCTGCCCACCTCAGAGTCCCAAAGTGGTGGGATTATAGGCATGAGCCACAGCGCATGGCCATTTTGTTTTTTTGCTTTTTGAGAGGGAGTTTTGCTCTGTCACCAGGCTGGAGTTCAGTGTCAAGATCTCAGCTCACTGCAACCTCTGCCTTTTAGGTTCAAGTGATTCTCCTGCCTGAGCCTCCCAAGTAGCTGGGACTACAGGCACATGCCACCACACCCAGCTAATATTTGTAATTTTAGTAGAGACAGGGTTTCACTATGTTGGCCAGGATGTTCTCGACCTCTTGACTTCATGATCCTCCCCTCTTGGCCTCCCAAAATGCTGGGATTACAGGCATGAGCTACCGCATCCCACCAATCCCTTTGTTTTAGTATGAAATTAAGAAATAAGTATATGCACTCAAGCAGTCCACAGAGTAGCCTTTCTTTAATTCCTTTACTTTCTTAATACACTTGCTTTTACTTTATGGAATCACCCTGAATTATTTATTTATTTATTTATTTATTTTGAGGCAGAGTCTCCCTCTGTCCCCTAGGCTGGGGTGCAGTGGCACAATCTGGGCTCACTGCAACCTCCACCTCCTGGGTTCAAGCAATTATCCTGCCTCTGCTTCCCGAGTAACTGGGATTACAGCCACCTACCACCATGCCTGGCTAATTTTGTATTTTTAGTAGAGACAGGGTTTCACCATGTTGGTCAGGCTAGTCTCAAACTCCTGACTTCAGGTGATCCATGTGCCTTGGCATCCCAAAGTGCTGAAATTACAGGTGTGAGCCACCATGATTGGCCTGTCACCCTGAATTATTTCTTATGTGAGATGCAAAAACTCTCTTTTGAGGTCCAGATTGGGACCCCTTTCTGGTAAAAATATAATGAAAGAATATTTATGCACAGAAAAAGAAAAGTGAATTACAGAGAAAGAAGAGAGGTACACAAACAGCTGGATTGATTACACCTTGACATTTGCCTTATTTAAACATGGATTGAACAGTTGGGCACCATTGATTGGCCAAATCTCAGTTACTTGCACAAAAATAGGTTACAGTCTGTTTACACCTCCAGTTAGGTTTCAGTTTACCACGTATGAAGAAACCTTTAGGCTGAATTTAAACTATATAAGGAGGCAGAGTTAGGCTAAACAAAACATATTTCATATGTGTGCAAACTCTTTTCATCCCTTTTTGACATTTGTAGGCTATCTATTATTTTCAACACTGACTAAAACTACTGTGCCTAAAACAACTGTGGGGGAAAGGAAGAGAGATCAGACTCTTACTGTGTCTATGTAGAAAAAGGAAGACATAAGAAACTCCATTTTGATCTGTACTAAGAAAAATTATTCTGCTTTGAGATGCTGTTAATCTGTAACCTTAACCTCAACCCTGTGCTCACAGAAACATGAGCTGTATTGAATCAAGATTTAATGGATTTAGGGCTGTGCAGGATGTGCCTTGTTAACAATTTGTTTGCAGGCAGTATGCCTGGTAAAAGTCTTCACCATTCTCCATTCTTGATTAACCAGGGATACAATGCACTGCGGAGAGCCACAGGGACCTTTGTCCAAGAAAGCCTGTGTATTGTCCAGGTTTGCCCCCACTGAGAGAGCTGAGATATTGCCTCATGGGAAGGGAAAGACCTTACAGTCCCCCAGCCCAGCACCCATAAAGGCTCTGTGCTGAGGAGGATTAGTGAAAGAGGAACGCCTCTTTGCAGTTGAGATAAGAGGAAAACATCTGTCTCCTGCTTGTCCCTGGGAATGGAATGTCTCAGTGTAAAACCCGACCACACATTCTATTTACTGAGATAGGAGAAAACCTCCCTATGGCTGGAGCTGAGACATGCTGGTGGCAATACTGCTCTGGTACTCTTTACTACACTGAGATATTTGTGTAAAGTTAAACATAAATGTGGCCTACATGCACATCCAGGCACAGTACGTTTCCTTGAAATTATTTATGACACAGATTCCTTTGCTCACATGTTTTCCTGCTGACCCTCTCCCCACCATTACCCTATAGTCCTGTCACATCCCTCTGGCCAAGATAGTAGAGATAGTGATCAATCAATACTGAGGGAACTCAGAGACCAGCACCGGTGCAGGTCCTCACTTGCTGATCGCCGGTCCCCTGGGCCCACTTTTCTTCCTCTATACTTTGTCTCTGTGTCTCATTTCTTTTCTCAGTCTTTCATCTCCACCTTGAGAGAAATACCCACAGTTGTGGAGGGGCAGGCCCCCTTCAAACAACCTCTTACTTTGAAATCAAGTGACTTATATTTAGATCTGCAAAGAAAACATTTCCTTCTGCTGAGTACATCTAGAAGTGTGTTTTGATTTTTAACATGGCAAAGCTTCTTTTCAAGATTCCAAAGTCAGAAGCTGCCATGGAGAAAATCTCAGCAGCACACATGAAAATCAGACAGCAAGTGCATCTTTTGCCCTCAACCAATTTGTTTCACACCAGTCTGCATGTAAAAATCACCTTGTGTGGGTGCTTGCTGTGAAGTTTTAATTACCTCCTTCTATTCTTTATGTGACTCATATATTTTACACCTACACATTATATATGTCACAATACTGTGTGATAATCCTTCTTTAGAATAGTCATATCATAAAAAAATTAAGAGAAAATTCTCTTAATAGGGCCTGGCACAGTGGCTCACACCTGTAATCCTAGAAATTTAGGAGGCCGAGGCAGGCAGATCATCTAAGATCAGGAGATCGAGACCAGCCTGGCAAACATGGTGAAACCCCCATCTCTACTAAATAAATACAAAAATTAGCTGGGCGTGGTGGTGGGCACCTGTAATCCCAGCTACTTGGGAGGCTGAGGCAGGAGAATCACTTGAGCCCAGGAGACAGATGTTGCAGTGAGCCAAGACTGCACCACTGAACTTCAGTCTGGGTGATAAAGTGAGACACCATCTCAAAAAAAAAAAAAAAAAAAAGAAAAGAAAAGAAAAGAAAAGAAAAGAAAAAAGAGAAAATGCTGTTTATAAATATTTGGAGGCAGGTACTCTTGGGCCATGTAAATACACAGTTTCTCCTTTAAATTTCACCTGCTATTTTTGCATTCCTTAGTACGTCTTGTCTACAATAATTATTAATGCGATGTTCTAATGATAATTTTCTATTTTGCATTATCCATCTACATTGATTAGTACTTGGAATTCCATAAAGATCTCCTTTCTATGTTTTTTCCTTTGTTTCTTATTTATTTTTTCTTTTCTTTCTATCTTTCTTCTTCCTTTTCTTTTTTTTTTTTTTTTTTTTTTTGACAGAGTTTCTCCCTGTCACTCAGGCTGGAGTGCAGTGGTACAATCTGTGCTCATTGCAACCTCCTTCTCCTGGTTTCATGTGATTCTCCCACCTCAGCCTCCTTAGTAGATGGGATTACAGGCATGCGCCACCATGCCTGGCTAATTTTGTGTTTCTATTGGAGACCGGGTTTCACCATGTTGGCCAGGATGGTCTGGAACTCCTGACCTCAGGTTGTCCACCTGCCTTGACCTCCCAAAGTGTTGGGATTACAGACGTGAGCCACCTCACATGGCCTGCATCATTTTTAAAGAGTAAAAATTTGAAAAAAAAAAGGCTGCTACTGATAACATCACTAACAGCAGCACAGGTTTTTGTTTTTGCTTTTTTTTTAAAAGGTGTCTTGCTTTCCCACCAAGGCTGGAGTGCACTGGTGCAGTCTTCTCTCCCCACAGCCTTGACTTTCTGGGCTCAAATGATCCTCCCACCTCAGCCTCCTGACTAGCTTGGACTGCACAGGCACATGCCACCAATGCCACCATGCTTAGCTAATTTTTTTTGTTTGTTTAGTTTAGAGGTGGGTCTCACTATTTTAAGAATTAAAGAAAGGAGAGAAACACGAAGGGTGACTCAATAGTTAATAAGTTTATTTTAAACCTCGGAGTGATGGTTGGCTGAATTGGGTCAGAGGCACACTGTCTTACAGACTAAGCATTTTTAAGGATTCAGGGTGGGAGAATTTATCAGAGGCTTGGACTTCTTCTGTGTCTCTTTGTTGTGCTTATCTGGGCAGGAGAATTGTGTGTCTGTTCCCACACATCTTTCTGCAGCTGCAGGCATATCCCTTGAGTCTGCCTTTAGCTTCTCTCTCTTAGTGCACCAGAAGGGAAAGAATGTGCCTATTAAGGCCCACTGTTTTACTGGGGCCCCATTGTATGAGGTGAAGTTTGGCAGTTACCCAAGAGACTTCCTCCCTGCCTTCCACTGTGGCTGAGCTGTCTTATCTATGTTTTACTATTAGCTCTTTTCTGGCTGCCTGTAGTTAGAAGAGAAGTGATTTTCTTGAAATGCATGAAGCTGGAAAGGCAGCTGAAACTTAAAGTGACAGTGTTTGTCTGAGATGACGGTGCTCCTGCTTTGTCAGCTATGTTATTCAGGCTGGTCTTGAACTCCTGAGCTCAAGCAATCTTCCTGCCTTTGCCTCTCACAGTGCTGGGATTACAGGTGTGAGCCACTGTGCCTGGCTTCTTAAATAGATGTGATAGTTACTTTTTTTCTTTTTGAGATGAAATCTCACTCTGTCACCCAGACTGGAGAGCAGTGGTGCAATCTCAGCTCACTGCAACCTCTGCCTCCCAGGTTCAAGTGATTCTTCTGCCTCAGCTGAGTAGCCGGGACTACAGTCAACTGCCTCCATGCCTGATGAATTTTTGTATTTTTAGTAGAGACGAGGTTTCACCCTATTGGCCAGGCTGGTCTCAAACTTCTGACCTTGTGATCTGCCCACCTCAGCCTTCCAAAGTGTTGGGATTACAGGTGTGAGCCACCACACCTGGCCAATATTTACTTTTATGTGTCCATATTAAAGGTTACACAGATAGCCAAGAAAGCATTATTTCTGATGTGTCTGTGAGGGTGCTTTGGAAAGACATTAGTGTTTGAATCAGTGAACTGAGTAAAGATGTGGACAGTCAAATGTGGACAGGCACCAGCTAACCCACTGAGGATGCATATAAAGGCAGAAGAAGGATGAATTTACTCTCTCATGAATGTGGCACATCCACTTTTTCAGCCATTGGACAGTGGAGTCCCATGTTTGCAGGGCGTTAGCCTTGGACTGAAAGTTGTACCATAGGCTCCCCTGTTTCTCAGGCCTTTGAAGTCAGACTGAATTTCACTACTGGGTTTTCTGGTTTTCCAGCTTGCAGATGAAACATCATGAGACTTTATAATCATATAAGACAATTACTATAGTAAATCCCCTTTTACATGTCTGTATATATCTAATTGATTCTATTTCTCTGGAAAATCCTAACACAATACAGTTTCTTTCTAGAGTGTTTTTAGGTTACCAGAAAAATCGAGCAGAAGGTATAGCGATTTTATGTATACCCCCTTCCCACACATATGCATAGCTTCTCCCATGATCAATATTTCCTACCAGAGTGGTATATTTATTAAAATTGATGAACCTACATTGACACATCATTATCACTCAGAGTCCATATTTCACAGTAGTGTTCTTTGTTGGTGTTGTACATTCTACGGATTGGGACAAATGTATAATGACCATGTATCTACCATAACAGTATCACACAGAGTAGTTTACTGCCCTAAACATTTTCTGCATTTTTCCTATTTATATTTTTCTCTCCCCAGTGCCTGGGAAGCACTAATATATTTATCTTCCCTATAGTCTTGTCTAAACAAACTGTGGTACTGAATGTCATAGAGTTGGAAACATACAGTTTGTAGGCTTTCCGGATTGACATACTTCCTTTGGTAATATGCATTTAGATTTCTTTCATGTTTCTTATGGCTTTCTAGCTTATTTCTTTTTAGCACTAAATACCATTTTATTGTCTAGGTGTACCACAGTTTGTTTATCCACTCACCTACTAACATACATCTTGGTTGCTTTCACATTTTGGCAATTATGAATAAAGCTGCTATAAACATCCATGTGCAGGTTTTTGTGTAAACCTGTTTTTAACTCCTTTGAGTAAATACCAAGGAGCACAATTGCTGAATCATATGGTAAGAGAATACTTAATTTTGGGAGACTACAAAACTAAACTGTTTTCCAAAGTGGGTGTAACATTTTGCAATCCCATTAACAGTGACTAAGATTTTCTGTTCCTCCATACTCTTGCCAACATTTGTTGTTTGTGTTGTAGAGTTTGGTAATTCTAGTATGTATGATGTGATATATAATTTTTTTCCAAGATGGAGTCTTGCTCTGCCTCCCAGGCTGGAGTGCAGTGGCACAGTGTGATCTCAGCTCACTGCAACCTCCACCTCCTGGGTTCAAGCTACTCTCCTGCCTCAGCCTCCCAAGTAGCTGGGATTACAGGCACTTGCCACCATGTCCAGCTAATTTTTGTATTTTTAGTAGAGGTAGGGTTTCACTATGTTGGCAATGCTGGTCTTGAGCTCCTGACCTGAAGTGATCTGCCCACCTCTTCCTCCCAAAGTGCAGGGATTAGAGGTATGAGCCACTGTGGCTGGCCAGTGAGATTTAATTGTTGTAATTTGCATTTCTCTAATGACATATGATGTGAAGCATCCTTTTCATATAGCTATGTGTCATCTTGGTAAGTTATCTGCCTTTAACCCATTTTTTTGGGTTGTTTATTTTCTTATTGATGATTTCTAGGTCTTTTTTGTATATTTTGAATAGTAGTCCTTTAATATGTCTTTTGCAAATATTTTCTCCCTGTCTGTGGCTCATCTTCTTATTCTTTTGACAGCATTTTAAACAAAGTGTAAATTTTTAACTTCAGTGAAGTACAGCTTATTCACTGTGTAAAAAAATGGATTATGCCTCCAGTGTTGCCTCCAAAATGTCTTCTCCAAACCCAAAGTTATCTAGATTTTCTCTTATATTATCATCTAGAAGTTTCATAATTTTGTATCTTACTTCTAGGTTTGTGATCAATTTGGATTAACTTTTATATAGAATGTAATGTTTTTATCTAAATTCATTATTTTTGCACATACCTGTTTAATGGCTACAGCACTATTTGTTGAAAAGACTACTTTTTCTTTATTGCATCACTTTAGCATAAATCTTTTAAATTTCAAAATAACCCAATGAACAGAGAAACTGAATTAAAGACAAAAACAAACAAAATTATATTAAAACATCTTCAGCCAAATGAAGTGACAAGATATCCTTGTACTAAAATTATTTTGCTGGGCCAAACTGTCAAGTGCAACAATACTTGTTTGGTATAAAAACAAATGTCTGGAACGGGAAAGAGGACAAAGTGATATTAGAAGGCTCTGAGAGACAGGCATTCCTAAAATTGCTAACAAGATTAAAAATTATAATAAGCAATAAAACATTTTTATAAACAACAAAGTTTTGTGATTATATACAACACAGATGAAAGCTATAATCTAATATTTCAAATAACAGTAATTAAGAATATTTAGAAAACCAATAGAAGCTTTTAAAGAACAGTATATTGCTGATTTGGGAAGAGATAGGAATGATTAGACAATAGAAAAATAGAAAATAGTGCTAACAGATCTCAGAAAAGCAAATAAGAAGCAAAATAAGAAGAAAAACAAAAAAATAACTTTAGAAAAAATACAAGAAACAAGCCAATAGACATATCATCACAAAGAAAATAGAAGATGAAAATGAAGAAAATAGGGAAAAATAAAGAGATTAGATGATACAATACAAAGTGATAGATTTAAAAACTAGTCAAAGAAGATTCCACTTATGTATAAGAAGACACAGAACACTTGATTGCCCCCAAAATAAACCCCATACCTATTTTTTTGTTTTTAAGGTGGAGTCTCACCCTGCTGCCCAGGCTGAAGTGCGATGGTGTGATCTCGGCTCACTGCAACCTCTGCTTCTGGGGTTCAAATGATTCTCCTGCCTCAGCCTCCTGAGTAGGTGGGATTAGAGGTGCTCGCCACCATGCCCAGCTAATTTTTGTCTTTTTAGTAGAGACGAGGTTTCACCATGTTGGCCAGGCTAGTCTCAAATTCCTGACCTCGTGATCTGCCTGCCTTGGCCTCCCAAAGTGCTGGGATTACAGGCGTGAGCCACCACGTCCAGCCAAAACCCCATACCTATTAACAGTCATGCCTCACATCTCACATACCTCTAGAGGTTCCTGTAAACCACGAATCTACTTTTTCTATTCTGAACATTTTATGTAAGTGCAATTATAAAATAAGTGGACTTTAGTGTCTGCTTTCATTTAGCATATTGTTTATGATGTACATTTATGTTGTAGTATATCTCAGTACTTTATTAATTATGAAGGTTGAATTATATTCCATTAACATAATATACAAACAAATTTGTCTGTTCACCAATGGATGGACATTTAGGTCGTTTAAACTTTCTAATTATAATGAATAGGCTGCTATGAATATTCATGTACAAATTTTTGTTTGAATGTGTTTTTAATTCACTTGGGTATATAACTAGACCTGGTATTATGGATCATAACTATCTGTTTAACATTTGAGAAACTTTCAAACTGTTTTTAAAGTAACTGTGCAATTTTAAGTTCCCAAAAGCAGACTATGTTGGCTTCAATGAGATGGGAACATAGGAGCACCTTTTTTTTTTTTTTTTTTTTTTTTTTTTTTGAGAGGGAGTATTGCTGTGTCACCTAGGCTGGAGTGCAATAGCTCGATCTCAGCTCACTGCAACCTCTGCCTCCTCGGTTCAAGCGATTCTCCTGCCTCAGCCTCTTGATTAGCGGGGATTACAGGCACCTGCCACCATGCCTGGCTAATTTTTTTTTGTTATTTTAGTAGAGATGGGGTTTCACCATGTCGGCCAGGCTGATCTCAAACTCCTGACCTCAGGTGATCTGCTTGCCTTGGCCTCCCAAAGTGCTGAGATTACAGGCATGAGCTACTGGGCCCAGCCAGGAGCACCCTTTAAAATAGCAATACATTAACCCTCAAAAATGAATATGTACATGCTGAGAAGCCGAGTGCAACAGGAGATTAATGAAGAGGGTCAGCAGCAGAATGACTGGGGAAAGGATGTATTAATAAGGGAAAAGTGTGTTGGGGCTGATTGCTCTGAGGAAAAGTAGGTCAGGACTCCTGGTGTAGGTGGCTCTAGGACCAAGTTGGCATGGGCAGCCTGGATGGGCTGGTGAGTCAGGAAACCCTGGTGATGCAATTCCCAGCTGACAGCACTCTCCCAATTGCAAAGAGTATCTTTTCACTTCTCCAGTTGCTAGGTCAGAGGGGACCCATGGGCAGCTCCGCAGGTCATTTTAAAGTCAGGGAAATGCAGAAAAAAAGGATAAAATTGAGTCTCTGTCCCAGTGTACTCCTGCCCCCAGCCAACCTTCCACCTCTCTCATTAGTGTCCCTGAGATGCCTGGCAGTGCCTTGGGCCCTCCTTTCATCTGGGTTTCAGCCCACTCTGTCCTCTTCTACTTCCTGTCTTTGATTGCCTCTTTGGCTCAGGCTTGTAACATCTGCAGTGCCAGTCACCTGGGATTGCAAGCGGCCCAGATGGTCTGTTCAGAGTGCTGCTGGGAAGGTGGGTGCTGGGACAGTGGCCCTGGGAGACTAAGAAGCTGAAGGAGGGAAGAAGGAAACGTGAGAAGGTTACAGCCATGCCTCTGGACTGTGAGTGTGCATTTGGTGGGGGTGTAAGTACTAGACACTAAGCATTGAGCGTTCAGGATGCTGGTCATCAACAGGCACATTTGGGACCAGATCCAAGGGCAGCAGAGACACTGAAGGAGGAGAGGCTTGTGGGGTTTGAGACATAGGAAGAAAGTATCTGTGAGTGGGTAGATACTCCAATCACTTGGTTAGACAATAAAGCTAAATGTCTTTCTAATGAAGAGGGGGACTGTAGCCCATTTCAGCTCTGGAGTAATTCTGAAATATCAAGGGCCAAGGAAACCTCAGAGAACTAGATGCAGGCCCTTGCTCACAGGACCTCAGCTGCTTTCTCCAAGGGGTTCAGAGACACACAGTGGGCCCAGAGTTGGCCCAGGTGTCCACTGCCTTGGTGAAAGCTCTTTCTCCCACAGCTGAAACCTCCTAAACCTCACCTCACCATGTGCCTCTTTTCACAGGCTAAAGTCCCAGGGAGAAAAGACTTTGGCTTGGGGCCCTTCATGGTGAACGAGGAGATGGGTCCACTGAAGAGAAAAAAAAAAGGAATGGAAGCTGACCTACAGGGAACAAGAAAGTGGGGCCAGCCACATCCTCCAGCCACCAGTTGGGGGGTGTGGGGGGAGGGGGTTGGACAAGATGACCTCTGAGGTTTCTGTCTCACTCAGTCTGGCTGACAGCTGAGTGACAGGCTTGCTCAGAAAGGACATCCAGATGTCAGTTTCTGATGCATCCAGGATACTGGAGTTCAAACATTTTCACCCTTCTACTTCCTTGGCTCCAAGCTTTATACTGAGAGCTGGTTCTCAGGCTGTGAAAGGGGTAGGGTTTGCGGTGGGCAGACTGCTGACCTCTGCCTCCCGATTTCAGGTTGCTCTGCCACTCAGTGTTGGCCTTGGACTGTCCTGAGCAGGTTGCTGTTCCCCTACCCTGCCATGTACATAGAAGGCAAGTGTGAGACCTTCATTTTCTCACTAGAAAATACTGAATAAAGTTTTCTGAGGGCCCCCTTCCCTATTTCACATGCTAAGCTGGAGGGCAAAAATTGAACATGGAAGTGGTAGAAATAGGTAGTTCCCAGTGGAACACCAAATACAGCCAGGCTGAAGGGCCCAAGCAAAGCAGAGGAACAGACAGCACTGGATTCCCCTCATTCATCCCTGTTCTCTGCTGACTCTTCCCAAGTTGGGGTCCCATCAGCTACCCATGAGCATGCCAAAAACAAGCACACAGTTAATAGTTTGCAGCATAGACAAGCAAGGTTCTGAGAGAAACACCACCTCCCTGGCAACTGTACACTCTGCTCTCCTGAGACTGGAGAGCAAAGCTGATTACAATCAAAGGGAAAAAGACAGAAAATATCCTGCCTCCAGGAGTCAGGCTATCCTCCAGTTTTCTTGGCAGCACCATTGTCCCTTGCTGACCACTGACTCCCTGCCAGGAGGGGTGGGAGAGAGACTAGGAGACTCACCTTGGGACAAAGGGCTGGTCCAGCCTTTTCAGCTCCTGGGGAACTTTGTCCCAGCCAATGCTTTCATGGAAACTGAGCTATGAGAGACACTCCTCAGAGAGATCAAACATGACATTGAAATTTCAAGTAGGTGGGGCCAGAGAGGGGAGCATTCTTCATGGTGGAAGGGCCCAGTGGCATCTAGAGTTTGATGACTGTGGCTGAGAAGACATAAGAAAAATGGCAGGGGAAGGAGGCTCTTCCCTCCTGAGGGGTGCTGGGCCCAAATGAAGCCTGGGTCTCAGGCAGAGCCCCTCTCCTCAGGCAGGGCAGGAGAGACTGGTATTAGCATTTGGTGACCCACTTTGGGGCCAGATAACTCCCTGGCTCAAAGAGGCATGATCTCCTCCTCTTCGTCTTCATGGGACATTGAGATATCTTGGCCATGGTGCAGTCAGGCCCAGGTGGGATCCTCAGAGTTTGTATGGAACCACTCAATCACCCTGCCATGGTTCAGGTCACATGGCCAGAGAATCCTGGAGACTCTGGGCAGAGAGAAGGAGGGTGCTGAGGAAAGATCAGGGACTGGCCAGAGGAAGGAGTATTTGTAAAACTTGGAGAGCCAGATGCTGGAGACATCAAGTTGCCCCTAACTTTTCAGGTCTCCTGGGGCCTGTCTGTGTACAAAACCCATGATCCTAGGGTTCCAGACTTCTACTGTAGCATAACCCCACAACTGAGACCCCCTGGACATCTCTCAGCCCCAGCTGGGCCTTGGAGACAGCACCCATAGGCAGGGCAGAGAAGGAGTGAGACTCACTTGACTCTGAACACAGGTCCTGATCCAAAGTTGCTGCCCTGGCCAGGCCAGAAGTTCTGCAGGCCTCTGACCCAGGCTGAATTTTTTCCTCCTGCACTAGCTGCTGCATGGTCTCAAATTCTGTGATCATATAGGTCAGGAGGTTAGCTTCTTGGAGCAGGAAATATTGTTTATGGGCCAAGCACAGCACCTTCAGGGCCAACTTGGAACAGAAAGAAGGAAATTTTCACCCTTACTCAGACCCAGCCTTACCAGGGGCTTCTGTGTTGTGACCTGTCCCTATTATTCCAGGTGTGGTTGAGGAACCTAAACTGGTCCCCTGGTTCCCTCCTGCCTTACCCCAGACTTGCTGGCCAGACTCACCACCCTCTTAGCCATGGCTACTGCACTGCCATACACTTCATTAAAGCCAAGGCTGGCCGTGATGGCTGCAGGTACTGGTGGGAGGTATTACCCACTAAAAATACCGCATGACAAAGACAGTTAGTTACTTAGGAAATAGAAAAAGGGCAGTAAGTGGTTTTGGACTTAGAAGGACTTAGATTCCTCTCAGATCTGTCACTGGCTAGTGCTGTGATCATAAGTTTATCTACCCTAGGGCAATGCAAGGGAGCAGCTAACAACACAGCTCAAGTCAGACTGCCAGCTTCCTGCTCAAATTCTTCCTCCAACATCTCCCAGCTGGGTAATCTTGGACACATTGATTAATCTCCATCTCCACAACTTTAAAATGGTGCTAACAAATGCGTGCACTAATGAATATTATTATTAGAATGGTGGTTGGATGAGTATATTACATACAAAATGTTTAAAGAATATGTGGCTCATAAAAAGCACTGTAAGTTTAGCTAAATATTGTTTCCTGTAAAATAGGGCTACCTTATTAGGATAAGAGGAGATTATATAAGATAGGCTATGTTCATCCTGGTTCTGAGAAAACTCTCAAAAATACATTAGTCTGTGCTCTTTATTTGATGATTAAAATCTTGAAAAAGTATTTGTAAATCAGTGCATATTTCACATACACTAGGAGGGGCTATTTAAAGGAAATTATCAGGGTAATGCAATTATTGTTGTAAATTTAGATTCCAATAAAGTATTTTTTTCTGTAAGGCACACCTATAATAAAGGAATATGAATAATTATTAAGTGTGAATTATCTATGGAAATGATTTATCTTCAAGTATCTACCTGCCTGGACATCTCCAAACCCCCTCCATTGCCCTCAGTCGCTATGTGCTTAGAGAACAAAAACTCTTTTTATAACACTGCCTCAGGCCTTTTTGAAAAAAGGAAGAATTAAAATTAAAATGGACATAGTGGCAACTCATTCTATATCATGAACCACATCTATATCTCTATATCATGAACCACACATTATAAGGAAGATAAGACTATTGATATAACTGGGTATTTAAAAAAATGCACAGGCCTGGATGGCAGGCTCCATCCCTCTTGTGTTTGACTATTCCATGACACTCTTCACTTGGGCTTCTGTCCCAGGTTCTTCTCTTGAAGGGTTTGAGGTCCTGCAGGGAGCTCTTGGGTGCAGGGCTGAGTGGGAGGGTACAGTGGGAAAGGGAGTAGAAAATCTAAGGGGGAAATAAGGATGTGAGAAGCAGGGTGTGGGGCAGGTGGGAGAGCAGGGAGTCAGTGAAATCTCTGTAGCATCAAGGAAGTTCAGAGTCTGTAAGGAGAGGACACTTGGGTGGTAGCTGAGTGTGGAAAAAGGAGTCAGGGGTTTTCTGGTTTGAGAAACAATAACACAAACCCTAAGTTCACCATCTCTTGAATAATAGGTCCTGTTCATATGGGCTTCAATGCCATTTACTCATTTGACACAGAGCATTCTAAGTGACAATCAGTTGCTGGGCACTGGATGGGAATCCTTAACCCTAGGTATTGGAACAGAAGCAAGGAGTCACTGACCTCCAGGATCTGGAGGAGGGGAACTGGTTCCTGTCCTGGCCAAGCTGCAGGGTAGAGGCAGAGTGGGCAGTGAATTTCACTGTTTTGTGGTGTCCCTATGGGGATTATGGAAGGTTCTGTTGTGGGGGCCAGGCTCCCTCCTCATACACCTCAAGCTTCTTCCTCACAATAGCCACCTGTAGCAGAAGAAGCCCGGCCCCTCAGAACCCCAGCTGAGCCCAGGAGGTGAGGGATGTGTACAGAGGCCCAGTGATACTCCCAAGCTTCTGCTTCTTGCTCTTTGTCCCCAAGCCTGTTCCCCAGGCTGGTGCCTCACCCAGCCTGGATTTGTTGGCAGATCGTGGTATACCAGCTGAAGTGACAGTTCTGGCTGATTAAATTGTTCTTCAGCTGAGATTTAGGGCACAGGGAGATATTTGTTTGTTTATTCAAAGCAGCTCTTATCAGTCACCTCTGATGGCTAGACACTGCACTAGGCATCTCACTCATGTCACAGTGACCCACCTGCACAAATAGGGAAACACACCAAAGAAGGTCAGTGCCATGCCTGGGGCCAGAGCAAAGGTAGAAGGTATCCTTTTGGCCTAAGACCCCTGACTCTATGACTAAGACATTCTTGCCAGGCTCAGGCCACTGCTCCACAGTGGCTCCAGGAGAGCCAGGGCCCCGTGGGGGTGGAAGAGAGGGAGAGGCCAAGCAGATGCAGCAGAAACCATATATTGGTGTTCATATTTTGCTGAAAATATGCTTCTGTTGCTAAAAACAAGCTTGGACTAGACCACTGGCTAATAAAAGACCACCTCTCCTGCTATCTCCCTTCATTTTGAAGACCATCTTACCTCTGCCAGCTGGCAACTTCCCATCCAAGCATGGGGATTCTATTGCTACTATCACAGAGAATCTCCATAGAGACAGAAGAGCTTCTTTCTTCTGCCTTGAGAAACACTTGTTCCAGGAATCTGAGAGATCTGTCTGGGTTCTGTTTCTTCTTGCTCCCAGGATGAGGGCTCCCACCGCACCCAAGCTGGCCCTTGATGGCACACACTGGGGAACCCAATCCCCTTGGCCCAGTCAGCATATGTGAGGGTGTTTTATGTGTTCTTGTAGGCCAGGCTGGAGGTGCTGATGGCAACAATCATCACCATGTGGCAGTTACCCCTGAGGGAGTCTGAGAAGGCAGGCCAGTTTGCTGTCCTTGCAGGGCACATGGGTCTTGTGGCCCTGTGGGGCAGTGAGCAGGTGTGGGGTGAGGTGGCTGACTAGAGTGTCCCACGTGAGGCCTGAAAACCTTTGGCCCAGGGTTCAGACACTCAGTTGCTATCCTGTGGTAGGTGCTGGTCTGTGTTGCTTAGTCTTTGCATCAGCCAGGGCATTGAGGATGTTGATGAGCGCCAGCAGAGAGTGATTGATGTTGGCACCCTCCCGAAGCTGATCCCTGTTCTCCTGGGTACTGGATGTCACCTCAGCATCAGCCAGGCCAATCAGGCTTATCTTCATCACCTGAACATCCTGGGTTAGTTCTGGATCCCAGTTCTGCTGGTTCTCAAAGACCCGGGAGCAGATGGCAGGGATTGTGGGGAAGTGGGGCATTAGAAGCCCCCACTTCAGGCTCTGACTCATGATCCCTCTCACCTGGAAGATGGCATGGGAGTGGGAGGGAGTTGCACTGGCATCAGTGGAATGCCGCATGCAGTTATGGGTCCCCCTGGTCAGCATCTCCCCTGCTCTGCTTAGGTTGGCTACAGAGAAGAGGCCAAGGAGCATGGCTGTGGGATCCCCCACCAGGACTTTTCCTCTGATGGAAAAAGCTGCGCTTCAGAATGAATGTCAATCCTCCTTGCTGCCACCACTGCCACCATCGTCACAGGACCCAGGGCATCTCCAAACAGTTTTATGAAGAAACCCTGGAGGGCCAATGTGATTGCTCATCCCACCTAAGCCCAATCCCGCACCTGGTGGAAAATAAGTCCTTCTATCACTACCCCTTTGCCCAGATCCTCACAGATGGCAAGGGGCTCCTTGGGCTCCAGGAGGTCCTGGATCTGCTCATTGTACACCTGAAGGGAAAGGAAAAAACTTGAGGGAGAGGGGTCCATCAGAAAATCTCTCTTCCTGGATGCTGGAGGAGGAAGCATGGGGCTGGGGCGTATCTGAGACCCCTTGTATAAGTGACATTTTACAGGACCACGTTAAATGATAAGAGCATGGTGAAGTGGTGGGGGGGTCATTTTTATTTTAATTAATTAATTTATTTATTGAGATGGAGTTTTGCTCTTGTTGCCCAGGCTGGAATGCAATGGCACGATCTCAGCTTACTGCCACCTCCGCCTCCCACGTTCAAGTGATTCTCCTGCCTCAGCCTCTTGAGTAGGTGGAATTACAGGCATGTGCCACCACACCCAGCTAATTTTGTATTACAGGCATGCACAACCCTGCCCAGCTAATTTTGTATTTTCAGTAGAGACAGGCTTTCTCCATGTTAGTCAGGCTGGTCTCAAACTCCTGACCTTAGGTGATCTGCCTGCCTTGGCCTGCCAAAGTGCTGGGATTACAGGTGTGAGCCACCATGCCTGGCTTGGGTGGGGGTCATTCTTATGCAGCATCTCGCTGAGCTATATCTATGCCATAAGCTCTCATTGGGCCCCAACTCTTTGTTTTCTACCATTCTGTCTTCCACCAACTCACTTCCCTCCTCAGGTGGTTGTAAGAATGAAATGCAGAGCAGAGGGCAGCCTGAGCTCCTGACAGGTGATGATCACCTCAAAGTGCTTCTCCTCCTGGTGGTCCTCAAAGTGCCTGTAGAGGTACCTGATGGTCAGGTCCATGATGCTGGAGGTCTCCTCTCTTTTCAGCATGGTGAGTGTCTTCTCAGGCCCAGTGACCCCATAGGCAAACACTACAGAAGACAGAGCATGGAGGAGGCCCCAGTGCACTGCCGCCCAGCTCAGCCCTTCTCTCCCCATGCCCCTCTCATTTGCCTTTTATGTATCCCAGTCCACTGCTCCCACCACTCACACAACCCATGTTCCCACTGCAGTGTTGGCATACTCCACGTGTCTGTTCTGGCTCCCCCCTAGGCTGGTGGATTTCAGGACAACTAGATCTCCATTGTGAGTGTGGGCTATCCCTTCCTTCCCCAGGCTAGATTCTGTCAAAGGTCCACAGTTTTTTTTTTTTTTTTTTGCTCATATCATTTACCTTGATTTGTAACCACATACTTGTCGGTGTGATTCTGTGATCAGTTTCTCTTCCCTTCTAGGCTGTGAGCACCAAGAGAACATAAACCACGTTGGTCTGGTTTGCTATTGTATTCCCAGGCCCAGTAACATGCCTCACATGTAGCAGAATGAATAAATGGGGCCACACAGAGCATGAAGAGGCCAGAGCTATCCTCAATAAATCATGCCCAGATGTGGGAGGCCAGAAGAAACATGAAACCCTGCCCTAGTTCCACAAGGCTATTGACAAGTGGAACCCAGGTTATCATCTTAGCAATTGTAACTCTGAAGGAAGCGTTCCACAATGCTGTATGTTGTGTGCTGAACACATCCTGATATGTGGCCACCTCATCAAAAATCCAAGCAAAGACAATGTCAGGTCTTTGTTCTTCTTAGAGCCATCATAAACGCTGCCCAATTTCAGGCCAGGAAACCCTCCATGGGTCTCCTCAGTGTTAAACAAAAACACCTTCTCATCCATCACCTGAACCACAGGCTGCTTTTGACTTCCAACTCTCGAGGGGGGAGGTGCTGCACCTGAACCACTACCTGCACCATGCCATCCTCCACGGCCATCATCATGGCAACATCTGGGTGAGACAAGATGAAGATAAGGACTAATTCTACTTTATGCCTGACTAAATGCCCCCTGAGGCCAGGCACAGTGGCCCATGCCTATAATCCTGGCACTTTGGGAGGCCAAGGCTGGTGGATCACAAGGTCAGGAGTTTGAGACCAGCCTGGCTAATATGGTGAAACCCCGTCTCTACTAAAAATACAAAAATTAGCTGGGTGTGGTGTCAGGCACCTATAATCCCAGCTACTCAGGAGGCTGAGGCAGGAGAATTGTGCCCGAGAGGCAGAGGTTGCAGTGAGCCCAGATCACGCTATTGCACTCCAGCCTGGGTGACAGAGCGAGACTCTGACTCAAAAAAAAAAGTGCCCTCTGAGCTCAGGAGTCTCGTCAATTCCTTCCCAATGGCTGGCCTCTGTTTTGTGCAAGAGTGTAAAAATAATGGTGCAAGCACCAATTATTAATATATATATTTTTCACTTCCAATACCACCTTTGTCACACCCACTATTACTGGGCTTTCTATGTTTCACTAATCTATTTGTCAATTCTTGTGCCAGTACCACACTGTTTCCATGATATTACTTTATCATGTGCTTTCTATCTCATAAGGCAAAAATCCCTTCATCAGTCTTTTTTATAACTTTTTTGGCTATATTTAGGCATTTATTATGGTATTTGACTTTAAGAAAATTTTATCAATACGACTCCCAACCCAGAATCCCTGATTTCCTCAAAAACTGCATTGGGATTACAGTTGATGTTGCATTAAATTTACATATTAATTATATTAAACCTTACATTTTATTATTTATTTATTAATTTATTTATTTTTACGTAAACCATTAGCAGCTTGGTACATTAAACTTTTTCTGGAAAGATTGTGGCTACTACCTTTATATTTGTTCAGGTATTTTTAAAATCCCTCAATAAGATTTTATAGTTTTCTCTCTCTTCAGTTAGGTTTTGTAATAGTCCTTTTACTATAATTAGCAGATACAATTTAATAATGAAATATTTTACCGCATTTCTATTCCCAGCTGATAATTGCTAGTAGAGAAACACAAATATATTTTCTATATTTGCACTAGATCTACCACACTCATATGCTTTTAACACTAATTGATTTTATTGGGGCATATTGAGTTTTCCAACTATACAATTATGTATCAGAAGATAAAAAAATTACCCTTTTTCTCTGTATGTATACTAAATACTTAATTTCTTGTCTATTGCAGTCTCCAGAACTTCAAAAACAATGTCAAAATATAATAATGATAATAATGTGCATTTCTGTTTTGTTTCTGATTTTAAAGAAAATGGCTTCATTGCTCCACTATTTTGACATTAGTTCTGGACCTGAAGTCTTTATCAAATTAACAATTTCTTCTAATTTTATTTAGAATTATTATTAGGAAAGCCTAGACTTTTATCTAATGCTCTTTTAACATCTCCTGATATGTTTATGTGGGGTTTTTATCTCTTACTTTGTATCTCTGGTAAATCATTTGATATTACTCTGGGTATCAAACTAAGCTTGCATTCCTGGAAAAAGTCCTTCCCTGGCCATAGTAAACTTTCCAACACTTAAACAGTGAAATAGTCAAATGTTTATGGTTTTTATGTTAAACTTATGAAGATACCCCTTCCCCTGAAGTAATCAATACTTTTCTTATATTTCTGTCTAATGCTTTTTCTTACAATTGGTCTCCATAGAGATGGAATCTTTTTGTGTGTCAACTGTATGACGAATTTTCTAGATATCTTCTCTTTCTAATTGGTAAGCAATTATCTCAAGGTCAATTATTGAATACTGCATTCTTTCTTCACTACTTTAAAATGTCAAATTTTATGTAACTAAATTCTCAAAGAAATGTGAATTCACGTCTGGAATCTCTACTCTGTTTCATTGCATTTATTTTTTATACCAGTACCTCACTGATGAAATTACTGTGGTTTAGTTGTATAACACATCATTGCTCTTTTTCTTGGCTATTCTCAGACATTTTGTTTTGCAAGTAATTTTAAAATCAGCTTATGAAGTTCTATGAAAAACCTCAGTAAGATTTTAATTTGGATTATTTTGAATCTATGGATTAATATAAAGGGAATCAGCATCTTTACAAAATCAAATGTTCCCATCTAGGAACCAATATCTCTTTTCATTTATTCACAACTTTATAATCAATTTTAAAATTTTCTTCAGGTGGCATTATGTGTTTCTTCATAAGTTTATTACTAGTTATATGGTCTTTGCTACATTCTGAATAGGCTCCCTTTAAGCTGCATTTGTATTTTTTTGCCAGAATATATAAAAAGCTACTTACTTCTGTATACAGATCCTGTATCTGGCCACAATGATGAACACTCTCATTGGATCTAAAACATTGTCAAGATTCTCTTAATTCTTTTAATACAATGCTAATTCAGTTTGCAAATGACACGTTCTATTTTTAGCTTTTTAATATTTCGTTCTTCACTTCCAGTAGCCACAAGGAATATAGGAATAAGTGTTAAAATTTATCAATGTTTTTTGGCACTTGCTGAAATGATTACACAGTATTTCCTTGTTAGTCAATTAATGTAAAGGGTGCCACAACAGATTTTCTCATATTAACCAGGTTATAATGCTAAGCAGGTATTTACACATTTTGCCTCATATTTCCCCAGGCCTCTCTCACTGGCATTTTATATCCTTTACAAAAACCATATAATTATCTCAATATATGCAGAAAAGGCCTTTGACAAAATTCAACAACCCTGCATGCTAAAAACTCTCAATAAATTAGGTATTGATGGGACGTATCTCAAAATAATAAGAGACAAACCCACAGCCAATATCATACTGAATGGGCAAAAACTGGAAGCATTCCCTTTGAAGACTGGCACAAGACATGGACGCCCTCTCTCACCACTCCTATTCAACATAGTGTTGGAAGTTCTGGCCAGGGCAATTAGGCAGGAGAAGGAAATAAAGGGTATTCAATTAGGAAAAGAGGAAGTCAAATTGTCCCTCTTTGCAGATGACATGATTGTATATCTAGAAAACCCCACTGTCTCAGCCCAAAATCTCCTTAAGCTGATAAACAACTTCTGCAAAGTCTCAGGATACAAAATCAATGTACAAAAATCACAAGCATTCTTATACACCAACAACAGACAAACAGAGAGCCAAATCATGAGTGAACTCCCATTCACAATTGCTTCAAAGAGAATAAAATACCTAGGAATCCAACTTACAAGGGATGTGAAGGACCTCTTCAAGGAGAACTACAAACCACTGCTCAAGGAAATAAAAAAGGATACAAACAAATGGAAGAACATTCCATGCTCATGGGTAGGAAGAGTCAATATCGTGAAAATGGCCATACTGCCCAAGGTAATTTACAGATTCATTGCCATCCCCATCAAGCTACCAATGACTTTCTTCACAGAATTGGAAAAAACTACTTTAAAGTTCATATGGAACCAAAAAAGACCCTGCATCACCAAGTCAATCCTAAGCCAAAAGAACAAAGCTGGAGGCATCACGCTACCTGACTTCAAACTATACTACAAGGCTACAGTAACCAAAACAGCATGGTACTGGTACCAAAACAGAGATATAGATCAATGGAACAGAACAGAGACCTCAGAAATTATGCCGCATATCTACAACTATGTGATCTTTGACAAACCTGAGAAAAACAAGCAATGGGGAAAGGATTCCCTATTTAATAAATGGTGCTGGGAAAACTGGCTAGCCATATGTAGAAAGCTGAAACTGGATCCCTTCCTTACACTTTATACACAAATCAATTCAAGATGGATTAAAACTTAAACGTTAGACCTAAAACCATAAAAACCCTACAAGAAAACCTAGGCATTACCATTCAGGACATAGGCATGGGCAAGGACTTCATGTCTAAAACACCAGTAGCAATGGCAACAAAAGACAAAACTAGAAATAAGCTACCTATGAAAATGACTTGCGATGTGTGGATTCATCTCAGAGAGTTACACTTTTGTTTTGATTCAACTAGTTGGAAACATCCTTTTCATAGAATCAGAAAAGGGACATTTCTGAGCATCTTGAGGTCTAATGTGAATAACAATATCCTGCAATAAAAACTAGAAACATCCTATCTTTGAAAATGCTTTACAAGGTGTGGATTCATCTCACAGAGTTAAATCTTTGTTTTGATTCAACTGGTTGGTTACACTCTTTTTGTAGAATCTACAAAAGCATATTTCTTAGCCCATTGAGTACCATAGTGAAAAACTGAATATCCCAAGATAAAATCTGGAAACAAGTTTGTGTGAAAATTCTTTGCAGTGTGTGGATTTATCTCACAGAATTAAACCTTTGTTTGATTTAATAGTTTGGAAGCACTCTTTTTGTAGAATCTACAAAGGGACATTTCCTAGCCCAATGAGGCCAATAGAAAAAAAAGCATATCCAACAATAAAAATTAGAAACAAGTTATCTGTGAAAATACTTTCAAATGTAAGGATTCATCTCACTGAATTAAATCTTACTTTTGTTTCAAAAGGTTGGAAACACTTTTTTTTTTGTAGAAATTATGAAGGAACATTTCTGATTTCATTGAGGCCTATAATGAAACACCGAATATCCTGCAATAAAAACTAGAAACAAGCTATATGTGACAATGCTTTGTGATGTGTGGATTCATCTCACAGAGTTAAGATGCTGTTTTGATTCAACAGATGAAAAACACTCTTTTTGTAGAAGGTAAGAATTTATATTTCTGAGCAAATTGAGGCCAGTAATGGAAAACAAAATATCCTTCTATAAAAACTAGAAATAAGCTATCTGTGAAATACTTTGCAATTTGTGTTTTTAGCTAAAAGAGGTAAAGATTTCTTTTGATTCACCAAGTTTTGTGGGGTATACGAAGGGACATTTCTGAGCCCATTGAGGCCTATAGTGAAAAACCGAATATCCCACCTTAAAAACTGGAAACAAGCTATCTATGGAAATACTTTGTAATATGTGGATTCATCACAGCAAATGGAACACAGGTTCAAAGCACTCTTTTTGTGGAATCTACAAAGGAACATTTCTGAGCACATTGAGGCATATAGGGAAAAACCGAATTTCCTGTGAGAAAAACAAGAAACAAGGTATCTGTGAAAATGCTTTGTGATGTGTGGATTCATCTCAGGGACTTAAATCTTTGTTTTGTTTCAACAAGTTGGGAAGACTCTTTTTGTAGAATCTGCAAAGGGATATTTTTGAGCCCTTTGAGCTCTATATTGAAAAATTGAATATTCCATGATAAAAACTACAAACAAGCTATCTGGGAAAATGCTTTGTGATATGTGGATTCATTACAATGAATGGAACCCATATTTTGATTCACCAGGCTGGAAACACTTTTGTTGTAGAATCTTTGAAGACACATTTCTGAGTAAATTGAAGCCTATAGTAAAAAAAACCCCTCATATCCCACAATAAAAACTAGACACAAACTATCTTTTAAATGCTTTGTGATATGGAAATTCATGTCACAGAGTTAAATGGTTAACTTGATTCAAAATGTTAAAAACACTTTTTTGTAGAATCTATGTAGGGATATATCTAAGCCCGTGGAATACTACTGTAAAAACAGAATTTCCCACAATGAAATCTAGAAATCTAGGATCAAGCTATCTGTGAAAATGCTTTGTGATTCATGGATTTTTCTCACAAAGCTAAACCTTTCTTTTGATTCAACAGGTTGAAAACACTCTTGTAGAATCTGCGAAGGAATATTTCTGAGTCCATTGAGGCCTATAGTGAACAACTGAATATTTTGCTATAAAAACTAGAAACAAGCTATCTGCAAAAATGCTTTGCAATATCTGGATTCTATTCACCTAGTTAAACATTTGTTTTCATTCAACAGGTTGAAAACACTTTTTTTTGTATCATTTACAAAGAAATATTTCTTAGCCAATTGAGACCTACTCTGAAAAACTGAAAATCCCACAATGGAAACTAGGAGCAAGATATTTGTAAAAATGCCTTGCAATATGTGGATTCATCTCACAAAGTTAAAACTTTGTTTTGATTCTACAAGTTGGAAACGCTCTTTTCATAGGATCTGCAAAGGGACATTTTCTAGCCCATTGAGGACAATAGAAAAAAACACACAAATATCCCACGATAAAAACTAGAAACAAGCTATCTGTGAAAATGCTTTGTGATTTGGGGATTCATCTCACCGAGTTAAACCTTTCTTTTCATTCAACACATTGAAAACACTTTTTTTTAGAATCTATGAAGAGACATTTCTTGTAACTAACCTGCACAATGTGCACATGTACCCTAAAACTTAAAGTATAATAATAAAAGAAAAAAGAAAAAAAAAAAGAAGAGACATTTCTTATTTCATTGAGGCCTATAGTGAAAAACTGAATATCCTGTGATAAAAACTAGGAACAACCCTATCTGTAAAAATGCTTTTTGATGTGTGGAGTAGTCTCAAAGAGTTAAAGCTTTGTTTTGATTCAGCAGGCAGAAATACTCTTTTTGTGCAATCTACAAAGAGATATTCCTGAGCCCATTGAGACCTATGATGAAGAAACAAGTGTCCCATGATAAAATCCAGAAACAAGCTATCTGAGAAAATGCTTTGTGATGTGTGGATTCATCTCATAGAGATAAACCTTTGTTTTGATTCAACATGTAGGAAACACTCTTTGTAGAATCTACAATGGGACATTTCTAAGCACATCTAGGCCTATAGTTTAAAACCGAATATTTTGTGATAAAAGCTAGACACAAGCTATCTGTGAAAATGCTTTGTGATATGTGGATTTCTCTCACAGAATGGAATGTGTTTTGGTTTACCAGGTTCAAAACACTCTTTTTTGTATGATCTATGAAGGGACACTTCTGAACCACTTGAAGCAAAATGCAAAACCACATTTCCAATGATAAAATCTAGGAACAAGCTATCTGTGAAAGTTCTCTGTGGTGTGTGGATTTACCTGACAGAGATGAAACTGTGTTTTGATTCACCAGGGTCTAAAAAGTCTTTTTAAAAAAATCTATGATAGAACACTTCTTAGCACATTCAAACCTATAGTGAAAAACTGAATATAACTTGATAAAATCTAGAAACAATCTATCTGTTAAAATGCATGGTAATGTGCATATTCATCTCAGAGAATGGAAACTTTGTTTTCATTCAACAGGTTGGAAATACTCTTTCTGTAGAAATTACGAAGGGACATTTCTGAGCCCATTGAGGCCTATATTAAATAACCAAATATCCCGAGACAAAAACTATAAACAAGCTATCTCTGAAAATGCTTTATGACTTGTGGGTTAATCTCACAGAGTTAAAACTTTGTTTTGATTCAACAGGTTGGGTACACTTTTTTTGTAGAATCTAGGTAGAAATATTTCTGACACCATTGAGGCGTATAGTGAAAACCGAATATCCTGCAATAAAAACTAGAAACAATCTCTCTGTGAAAATGCTTTGTGATGTGTAGATTTATCTCACAGAGTTAAAACTTTGTTTTTATTCAAAAGGTTGGAAACACTCTATCTGTAGAATCTATGAAGGGACATTTGTGAGTCCACTGGGGCCTATCATGAAAAACTGAATATCCCCCTTAAAAACAAGAAACAAGCTATCTGTGAAAATGCCTTGTAGTGTGTTGATTCATCTCACAGAGTTAAATCTTTTTTTTGATTCAACAGATTGGAAACACTCTTTTTATAGAGTCTGCAAAGGGACATTTCTGAGCCCACTGAGCCCTGTCATGAAAAATTGAATATTCTGTGATAAAACCTTTAAAAAATGTATCTGTAGAAATCCTTTGTAATGTGTGGATTCCTCAAACTGAATAGAACCTGAGTTTTGATTCACCAGTTTGGAAACACTGGTTTCATAGAATTTACAGAGGGACATTTCTGGGGCCATTGAGGGCTATTGTATAAAACAATATTCCATGATAAACCCTAAAACAAAGCTATCTGTGAAAATTCTTTGTGATGTCTGGATTCATCTCACAGAATTAAACCTTTGTTTGATTCAACACTTTGGACAAACTCTTTTTTGAGAATCTTTGAAAAGACATTTCTGAGCTTTTTGAGGCCCATAGTGAAAAAGAAAATGTTTCATGTTAAATGTTAGAAACGAGCTACCTGTGAAAACTGTTTGCAATGTGTGGATTCATCTCACAAAGTTAAACCTTTCTTTTGATTCAACAGGTTGGAAATAGTCTTTTTGTAGAATCCCCAAAGGGACATTTCTGAGTCCACTGAGGCCCATAGTAAAAAACCAAATGTCCCACAATAAAAACTATAAACAAGCTATTTGGGAAAAATGCTTTATGATGTGTTTATTTATCTCACCCAATAGAACCTGTGCATTGATTCATGAGGTTGGAAACACACGTTTTGTAGAATAAATGAACAGACACTTCTGAGCCCATTTAGCCCTGTAGTGAAAAACTGAATATCACATGATAAAAACTAGAAGGAAGCTACGTGCGAAAATGCTTTGCAATGTGTGAACTCATCTTCCAGAGTTAAATCTTTAATTCAACAGGTTGGAAACACTTATTTTGTAAAATCTATGAAAATACATTTCTGAGCCCACTGAGACCTATAGTAAAATGCTGAATTTTCCACCTTATAAAGTGGAAACAAACTTTCTGTGAAAATGCTTTGTGATGTGTGGATTCATCTCAAAGAGATAAAACATTCTTTTGATTCAACAGGTTGGAAATGCTCTTCTTATAAAATCTCTGAAGGGACATTTCTGAGCCCATTAAGGCCCAATGTGACAAGCAGAATATCCCACAAGAAAAATTAGAAACAAGCTATCTCTGAAAATGGTTTATGAGGTGTAGATTCATCTCACAGAGTTAAGCCTTTGTTTTGATTCAATATGTTGGGTACGCTATTTTTGGAGAATCTACAAGAGGATATTTCTGAGCCCATTAAAGATTACAGTAAAAAACCAAATATCCCACCATAAAAACTAGAAAAAAGCTATCTGTAAAATGCTTTGCAACGTGTGGATTCATCTCAGAGCATTAAAGCTTTGTTTTGATTCAACAGGTTGAGAACACTCTTCTTGTAGAGTCTACCAAGGGACATTTCTTCACTTATTTAGGCCCATAGTATGAAACAGAATATACTATGTATACTCTGATAAAAATTAGAAAGAAGCTATCTCTGAAAGTCCTTTATGAGTTGTGGATTAATCTCCCAGAGTTAATTCTTTATTTCGATTGAGCAGGTTGGGTATACTCTTTTTGTGGAATCTCCACAATGATATTTCTGAGTCCATTGAGGTCTATAGTGAAAAACTGAATATCCCATAATAAAAAAGTAGAAACAATCTATCTGTGAAAATAATTTACAATGTGTCAATTGATCTTACAAAGGTAAACCTTTGTTTTGATTCAGCAGGTTGAAAACACTCTTTTTGTAGGATCTCTGAAGGGAAATTTCACAGTCCATTGAGGGCAATGTGAAAAACTAAATATCCTGGGATAAAAGCTAGAAACAAGCTACCTGTGAAAATGCTTTGTGGTGTGTGAATTCATCTCACACAGTTAAACCTTTCTTTTGATTCAACAGATTGAAAACAGTGTTTTTATAGAATATATGAAGGGACATTTCTGAGCTTATTGAGTTTGAAAAGTGTAAAACCAAATATCACACACACACAAAAAGAACAACAACAAAAAAAACTGTGAAAATGTTTTGAGATGTTTGGATTCATGACAGCAAGTGGAAACTGAGGTTTGATTCATCAGGTTAAATATGCTGTTCTTGTAGAATCTACAAAGGGACATTTCTGAGCCCATTGAGGCCAATAGTGGAAAAACTGAATATCCCACAATTAAAATTAGAAACAAGCTATCTGTTAAAACGCTTTGTGTTGTCTGGATTTGTCTCACAGAAATAAACCTTTGTTTTGATTCAACAGGTTGGAAACATTGTTCTTGTAGAATCTAAGAAGGAACATTCTGAGCCCATTTCTGCACCCATTGAAGCCTGTAGTGAAAATCTGAATATCTCACTAATAAACCAGAAACAAGCTATGTGTGAAAATGGTATGTGACCTGTGGATTCATCTCACAAAGTTAAATCTTTCTGTTAATTCAACAGGTCGGAGACACTTTTTTGTAAAATCTATGAAGTAATACTTCTGAGCCCATTGAGGCCTGCAGTGAAAAACTGAATATTCCATCTTATACAATAGAAACAAGCTATCTGTGAAAATGTTTTGTGATGTGTGGATTTATCTCACAGAGTTAAATCTGTGTTAATTCAACAGGTTGGCAACACTTTTTTTTGTAGAATCTACAAAGGGATATGTCTGAGTCCATTGGGGCCTATAGTGAAAAATCAAATGTTCCACAATAAGAACTAGTAACAAGCTATTTGGGAAAATACTTTATGATGTGTTTATTCATCTCACTGAATGGAACATGTGTTTTGATTCAACAGGTTGGAAACACAGTTTTTGTAGAATCTATGAAGGGGCATTTCTGAGCCCACTTTGTCTTGTAGCAAAGAACCAAATATCCCGCAATAAAAACTAGAGACAAGATATCTGTAAAAGTGCTTTGGAATGTGTAGATTCATATCACAGAGTGAAATCTATGTTTAATTCAATAGGTTGAAAACCTTCTTTTTGTAGAATCTACAAAAAGACATTTCTGAGCCCATTGATGCCTATAATAAATTACTGAATATCCCGTGATGAAAACTAGAAACAAGCTATCTATAACAATTCTTTGTGATGTATGGATTCATCACACTGAATGGAAATGCTGTTTTGATTCACCTGGTAGGAAACACTTTTCCTGTAAAATCTACTATTGGACATTATTTTGCCCATTGTGGACTGTAGTGAAAAACCGAATGTCCCATGGGGAAATTAGCAACAAGGTATCTGTGAAAATGGTTTGTGATATGTAGAATTATCTCACAGAGTTAAACCTTTCTTTTCATTCAGCAGGTAGCAAACACTCTTACTGTAGAATCTACAAAGGAAAATTTCTGAGACCATTGAGGCCTATAGTGAAAAATTGAAGTTCCAGCTATGAATACTAGAAACAAGCCATCTGTGGAAATGCTTTGCAATGTGTGGCTTCATCTCAAAGTGTTACACCTTTGCTTTGATTAAACGTCCCCTAAGTCTTTTAGTAGAATTCATGATGGGGCATTTCTGAGATTATGGAGTTCTAGAGCAAGATACTGAATATCCTGTGATAAAAACTAGAAACAAGCTATCTGTAAAAATGCTTTGTGATATGTGGATTCATCTCACAGAGTTAAGCCTTTTTTTAAATTATTCAAAAGGTCATAAATACTCTTTTTGTAGAATCTACAAAGGGACATTCCTGAGCCATTGAGATCTGTAGTGAAAAACCAAATTTCCCACAACGAAAAGTAGAAACAAGCTATCTTTGAAAATGCTTTGCTGTGTGTGGATTTATCTAAAGGATTTACACCTTTGTATTGATTCAAAACTTTGGAAAACCTCTTTTGGTAGAATCTATGAAGGGACATTTCTGAACCCTTTAAGTTCTAGAGTAAATAACTGAATATCCTTCAATAAAAAGTGAAACAAGCTATCTGTGAAAATGCTTTGCCATGTGTGGATTCATCTCTAAAAGATAAACCTTTGTTTGAGGCCTACAGTGAAAAACTAATATCCAGTGATAAAAACTAGAAATAATCTATCTGTGAAAATGTCTTGTGATGTGTGGATTCATTTCAGAGAGTTAAACCTTTGTTTTGATTCAGCAAGCTGGAAACACTCTTTTTGTAGAATCTACAAAGGGACATTTCTGAGCCATTGAGGCCTATAGTGAAAAACCAAATTTCCCAAAATAAAAAAAGTAGGAAAAAGCTATGTTTGAAAATGCTTTGCCATGTGTGGATTCATCTCAAAGAGTTAAACTTTGTTTTGATTAAAAAGGTTGGAAACACTTTTTTGGTAGAATCCACCAAGGGACATTTCCAAGCCCTTTAAGTTCTATAGTGAATAACTGAATGTCCTGTGATAAAAAGTAGAAACAAGCTATCTGTGAGAATGCTTTGCCATCTGTGGATTCATCTCAAAAAGTTAAACCTTTATTTTGGTTCACCAGGTTAGAAACACTCTATTTGTACCATTCAAGAAGGGACATTTCTGAACCCATTGAGGTCTATAGTGAAAAATTGAATATCCAGTGGTGAAAACTAGAAGCAAGCTATCTGTGAAAATTATTTGTAATGTGTGGATTCATCAAACTGAATGGAACCTGTTTTTTGATTCACCAGGTTGAAAACACTCTTTGTAGAATCAATGAAGGGACATTTCTTTGACCCTCGAAGCCTATAGTGAAAAACGAAATATCCAGTGATAAAATCTAGAAACAAGTTATCTGTGAAAGTGCTTTGGGCTGTGTGGTTTCACCTGACAGAGTTAAACCTGTATTTTAATTGACCTCATTGTAGGGATTCTTATTGCAGAATCTACGAAGGCACACTTCTGAGCCCATTGAGATCTACAATGAAAAACGGAATATGCCTGGATAAAAACTAGAATTAATCTTACTGTGAAAATGCATTGTGATGTGTATATTCATTTCACAGAATAGAACCTGTGTTTTGATTCACCAATTGGAAACGCTGTTTCTGTAGAATCTACGAGGGGACATTTCAGAGCCCACTGAAGCCTATAGTGAAAAACTGAATTTCACACAATTAAAAGTAGAAACAAGATAACTGTCTGAAGGCTTTCTGATATGTAGATTCATCTCACAAAACGTACTTGTGTTTGGATTCAGCATGTTGGAAACACTCTTTTAGAATAATCTACTAAGAGACATGTCAGAGCCCTTTGAAGCCTACAGTGAAAAATGAATACACTGCAATAAATACTAGAAGCAAGGTGTCTGTAAAAATGCTTTGTGATGTGTAAATATATCTAAAAGAATGGAACGTGTTTTCATTCAGCAGGTTGGTAACACTCTTTTTGTAGAATCTACAAAGGGAAATTTCTGAGGTCATTGAAACCTGTAGTGAAAGACAGAATATCCCATGACAAAAAGTAGAAATAATCTATCTGTGAAAGTGCTTTGTGATGTGTGAATTCATCTCACAGAGTTAAACCTTCGTTTTGATTCAACAGGTTGGAAACCCTTTTTTTTGTAGAATCTACGAGGGGACATTTCTGAGACTAATGAGGTCTATAGTTAAAAAACCAAATATCCTGCAATAAAATCTAGAAACAAACTTTGTGTAAAAACACTGTGTGATGTGTGGATTCATCTCACAGAGTTAAACCCTTGTTGTGATTCAACAGATTGGAAACTCCCTTTTTGTAAAATCTATGAAGAGACATTTCTGAGCCTATTGAGCCCTATAGTGAAAAACCAAATATCCTGCAGTCAAAACTACAAACAACTGGTGAAAATGCTTAGTGATGTTGGATTTATCTCACTGAATGCAGGCTTTGTTTTGATTTGCTGGTAGGAAACACTCTTTTTGTAGAATCTACAAAGGGACATTTCTGAGTTCCTTGAGGCATATAGTAAAAAACAGAATATACCATGGTAAAATCTAGAAACAGGCTGTCTGTGAACAGGCTTTATGATGTGTTTATTTATATGACCAACTGGAACCTGTGTTTTAATTCATCAGGCTGGAAACCCTTATTTTGTAGAATCTACAAATTGACATTTCTGAGCCCGTTGAAGCCTGTAGTGAAAAACCGAATATCCTGCAATAAAAACTAGAAACAAACTATCTGTAAAAATACTTTGTGATGTGTGGACTCATCTCACAGAGTTAAAGCTTTGTTTTGATTCAACAGGTTAGAAACACACTTTTTGTAGAATGTACATAGGGAGATTTCTGAGCCCAATGAGACCTATAGGAAAAACAGAAAATATTGTGATAAAAACTAGAAACAACCTGTCTGTGAAAGTGCTTCTTGATGTGTCGATTCCTCTCACAGAGTTAAACTTTTGTTTAGATTCAACAGGATGGAAAAACTCTTTTTGTAGAATCTATGAAGAAACATTTCTGAGGCCATTGAGGTCAACAGTGAAAAATCGAATACACCACATTAAAACCTAGACAAAAGCTACCTGTGAAAATGATTTGCAATGTGTGGATTCAGCTCAGAAAGTTACACTTTTGTTTGATTCAATAGATTGGAATTGCACTTTTTGTAGAGTCTACCAATTGGCATTTCTGAGTTTATTAAGGGCTAAAGTGGAAAACATTATCCCATGATAAAAACTAGACACAAGCCACCTGTGAAAATGCTTCATGATGTGTGGATTTTTCAGAGAACTACACCTTTGTTTTCATTCAACATGTTGGAAACACACTTTTTGTAGAATCTATGAAGGGTCACTTCTAATCCTATTAAGACCAGAAGTAAAAAGCAGAAAAACAAACAAACAAACAAACAAAAAACTAAAAAACTAAAACGAGAAACACGCTATCTCTGAAAATGCTTTACAAGGCATGGATAAATCTCACAGAGTTATATGTTTGTTTTGATTCAACAGGTTGGGTACACTCTTATTGTAGAATCTACATAGGGACATTTATTTGCCCCTTTAGGCCCATAGTGAAAAACAGAATAGCTTGTGATAGAAAGTATAAATAAGCTATCTGGGAAAATGCTTGGTGACGTGTAGATTCACCTTATGGAGTTAACCTTGTTTTAATTCAAAAGGTTGAAAACACTTTTTTTTTGTAAAATCTATGAAGGGACATTTCTGAGCCCATTGAGGAGCATAGTGAAAAACTGAATATCCCACAATAAAAACTAAAAACAAGCTATCTGTGAAAATGCTTTGTGATGTGTGGATTTATCTTACCAAATAGCACCTGTGTGGATTCACCAGGTTGGAATCACTCTTTTTGTAGAATCTCAGAAGAAGCATTTCTGAACCCATTAGGTTCCATAATGAAAAATTAAATATCCCACAATAAAAACTAGGAATAAGCTATCTGTGAAAATGCTTTGCAATGTGTGAATTCATTGAGAAGAGTTAAACTTTTGTTTTGATTCAACAGTTTGGAAACACTCTTTTTGTAGAATCTATGAAGGGACATTTCTGGGTCCGTTGAGGCCCGTAGTGAAAAACCAAATTTCATGTGATAAAAACTAGAAACAAGCTATCTGTGTAAATGCTTTTCAATGTGTGCATTCATCTCAAAAAGTTAAACCTTTGTTTTGATTCAACAGGTTGGAAACACTCATTTTTTAAAATATACAAATAGAAATTTCTGAGCCCATTGTGACCTGTAGTGAAAAACTGAATTATTTGCATAAAAACTAGAAACAATCTATCTGTGAAAATGCTTTGTGATGTGTGGATTTGCCTCACTGAATGGGACCTTTGTTTTGATTCACCAGGTTGGAAACACTCTTTTTGTAGAATTGATGAAGGTATATTTCTGAGCCCTCTGAAACCACAGTGAAAAAGTATATATCTTACAATGAAAATTAGAAACAAGCTGTCTGTGAAAACGCTTTCTGATGCATAAATTCATCTCACCAAATGAAACCTGTGTTTTGACTCAACAGGTTGGAAACACTATTTTTGTAGAATATATGAAGGGACACTTCTTACGCATTGAGTACAATAGTGAAAAACTGAATTTCCTGTGACAAAAAGTAGAAACAAGCTATCTGTGAAAATGCTTTGCAATGTGTGTATTCATCTCACAAAGTTAAACCTTTGTTTTTATTCAGCAGGTTAACACTCTTCTCATTGAATTTATGAAATAATATTTCTGAACCATTGAAACCTATAATATAAAATCAAATTTCCCATGATAAAAACTGGAAACAAGCTATGTGTGAAAATACTTTGCAATGTGTCAATTCATCACAGAATGTTAAACTTTGTTTTAATTCAACAGGTTGAAAACACTCTTTGTGTAGAATCTACAAAGGGACATTTCTGAGCCCTTTGAGGCCTGTAGTGAAAAATTAAACATCCTACAATAAAAACTAGAAACAAGCTATCTGTGAAAATGCTTTGTGATGTGTGGATTCATCTCACAGAATGGAACCTGTGTTTTAATTTACCAGGTTAGAAACACTCTTCTTGTAGAATTTACAAAGAAACATTTTTAGGCCATTGAGGCCTGTAGTGAAAAACTAATTATCTTGTATAAAAACTAGAAACAAGTGATCTGTGAAAATGCTTGGTGATGTGATTAATCCCACATAGTTAATCTTTGTTTTGATTCAAAAGGCTGGAAACACACTTCTGTAGAATGTACAATGGGACATTTTTGAAACCATTAAAACCTGTAGCTAAAAACGGAATATCTTGTGATAAAAACTAGAAAAACTCTATCTGTGAAAATGCTTTGCCATGTGTGGATTCATCACACAGATTCAAACCTTTGTTTTTATTCAACAGGTTGGAAATACTCTTTTTGTAGAATTTACAAAGGGACATTTCTGAGCCCATTGTGGCCTGTAATGAAAAACCAAATATCCCACAATATTAACTAGAAAGAAGCTATCTGTGAAAATACTTCTTGATGTGTTGGTTCGTCTTACTGAATGGAACCTGTGTTTTGATTCAGCAGGTTAGAAATACTCTTTTTATAATATCTACGAAGGAACATTTCAGAGCACACTGAGGCCTGTAGTGTAAAACCAAATATCCTGCAATAAAAAGTACAAACAAGCTATCTGTTGAAATGCCTTGAAATGTGTGGATTCATCTCATCGAATGGAACATGCGTTTTTACTCATCAGGTTGGAAACATTTTTTGTAGAATTTACGAATGAACATTTCTGAGCCCATTGATGCCTGTAGTGAAAAACTGAATATCCCTCAATAGAAATGAGAAACAAGCTATCTGTGAAAATGCTTTGTGATATGTGGATTTGTCTCACAGAGTTAAAAAACTTTGTTTTTATTCAACAGGCTGGAAACACTCTCTTTGTAAAATCAACAAAGAAGCATTTCTGAGACCATTGAGGCCTATTGTAAAAAATTGAATATACCATGATGAAAACTACAAACAAGCTATCTGTGGAAAGGCTTCGCAATATGTGGGTTCATGTCTCAGAATTAAACCTTTATTTTGATTCAACAAGTTAAAAACTATTTTGTAGAATCTACAAAGGGACGTTTCAGAGCCTATTGAGGCCTATAGTAAAAAAACAAATATCCCGTGATAAAATCTAGACGCAAGCTATCTGTGAAAATGCATTGGGATGTGTGGATTCATCTCACAGAGTTAAACCATTGCTTTGATTCAACAGGTTGGGAACACTGTTTTTGTAGAATCTACGTAGGGACATTTCTAATCCAATAGAAGCCTATAGTGAAACACCAAATATCCCACCTAAAAAAACTGAAAACAAGCTATCTGTGAAAATGCTTTGCAATGTTTGGATTCATCTCACAGAGTTAAACTTTGTTTTGATTTAACTGCTTGGAAACACCCTTTTTGTAGAATCTATGAAGGGATATTTTTGACCCCATGAAGGCCTATTGTGAAAAACAAAATTTTCAATAATAAAAACTAGAAACAAGCTATCTGTGAAAATGCTCTGTGATTTGTGGATCCATCTCACAGAATTAAACCTTTATTTTTATTCAACAGTTCGAGAACACTCTTTTTGTGAAATCTATGAAGGGATACTTCTGAGCCCATTCAGGTCTATAGTGAAAAACTAAATACCCTGAAATAAAAATTAGAAATAAGTTATCTGTGAAACTGCTTTGTGATGTGTGCATTCATCTCACAGAGTTAAACCTTTCTTTTGATTCAGCAGGTTGGAAACCCTCTTTTTGTAGAAACTGCGAAGGGACATTTGGGAGCCCATTGAGGCCTATAGTGAAAAACGGAATATCCCCCTATAAAAACTAGAAAGAAACTCTCTGTAAAACCATTTGTGATGGGTGGATTCATCTCACAGAGTTAAACCTTTGTTTTGATTCAGCAGTTTGGAAACACTTTTTTTGTAGAATATATGAAGGGACGTTTCTGAGCCCATTTAAGCCTGTAGTAAAAAAACAGAATATCTCACCATAAAACCAACAAACAAGCTATCTCTGAAAATGCTTTGTGACGTGTAGATTCACATTGCAGTTAAACCTTTCTTTTGTTGTGTGGATTTTTCTATTGATGTGTGGGTTCTTCTCACCATATAGAACCTGTGTTTTCATTTACCAGATTCGAAACCCTTCTTTTGTAGAATCTATGAAGGAACATTTTTGCTCTCAATGAGGCCTATACTGAAAAACTGAATATATTAATATAAAAACTAGAAACAAGCATTCTGTTGAAATGGATTAAATGTGTGGATTTCTCTAGCAGAGTTAAAGCTTTGTTTTAATTCAGCAGGTTGGAAACACTGTTTTTCCAGAATCTATGAATGGATGTTTCTAAGATCATTGAGGTCTATAGTGAAAAACCGAGTATACCAGGATAAGATCTACAAACAAGCCATCTATGAAAATGCTTTGTGATGTGTAGATTCATCTCCCCGAGTGGAACCTATTTTGCTTCACCAGGTTGGAAACACTTCTTGTAGAATCTACGAAGGGACATTTTCAAGCCCATTGACAGCTGTAGTATAAAACTGAATATACTGAAGATGGCCAAATGGCAACAGCTCTGGTCTGTAGCTCCCAGTGAGATTGATGCAGAAGATGGGTGATTTCTGCATTTCCAACTGAGGTACCTTGTTCTTCTCATTGGGACTAGTTGGACAGTGGGTACAGCCCATGGAGGGTGAGCTGAAGCAGGGTGGGTCATTGCCTCATCTAAGAAGCACAAGAGGTCCAGGGATTTCCCTTTCCTAGCCAAGGGAAGCTGAGAGAGATACCTGAAGGAGAGGCATACTCCTGCCCAAATACTGTGCTTTTCCCACAGTCTTCACAACCAGCACACCAGGAGAGTCCCTCCCATGCCTGGCTCAGCAGGTCCCACACCCATGGAGCATTGCTCACTGCTAATACAGCAGTCTGAGATTGACCTGGGATGCTATAGCTTGGTGTGGGGGGGCAGGCTGTCTGCCATTGCTGAGACTTGAGTAAGTGGTTTTATGCTCACTATGTGAACAAAGCAGCAGGGAAATGCAAACTGGACAAAGCCCACCACAGCTGAGCCAGGCCTACTGCCTCTCTAGATTCCACCTCTGTGGGCAGGGCATGTCTGAACAAAAGGCAGCAGACAGCTTCTGCAGACTTAAATGTTCCTGCCTGACAGCTCTGAAGAAAGCAGTTGTTCTCTTATCGTGGTGTTCGAGCTCTGATAACAGACAGACTACTTCCTCAAGTGGGTCCCTGACACCCATGTAGCCTGCCTGGGAGACACCTCCCAGTAGGGGTTGACAGACACCTCATACAGGCGGGTGCCCTCTGGGACTAAGCTTCCAGAGAAAGGAACAGACAGCAATATTTGTGGTTCTGCAGCCTCCACTGGGATACCCAGGCAAACAGTTTGGAGTGGACCTCCATCAACCTCTAAACAAATCTGCAGCTGAGAGGCCTGACTGTTAGCAGGAAAACTAACAAAGAGAAAGGAAGAGCATCAACATGAAAAAAAAAAGGACATCCACACCAAAACCCCATCCATAGGTCACCAACATCAAAGACCAAACATAGATAAAACCACAAAGATGGGGAGAAACCAGAGACGAAAGGCTGAAAATTCCAAAAACCAGAATGTTTCTTCTCCTCCAAAGGGCCACAACTCCTCACCAGCAACGGAACAAAACTGGACAGAGAATGAGTTTGACAAGCTGACAGAAGTAGGCTTCAGAAGGTCGGTAATATCAAACTTCTCCAAGCCAAAGGAGCATATTCTAACCCATTGCAAGGAAGCTAAAAACCTTGAAAAAAAGGTGAGATCAGTGGTGAACGAGAATAACCAGTGTGGGGAAGAAATTAAATGACCTGACAGAGCTGAAAACCACAGTACGAGAACTTTGTGAAGGATACAAACCTTCAATAGCTGATTCAATCAAAGGGAAGAAAGAATATCAGTGATTGAAGATCAAATTAATGAAATAAAGCAAAAAGACAAGATTAGAAATAAAAAACAGTAAAAAGAAATGAACAGTGCCTCCAAGAAATATAGGACTATGTGAAAAGAACAAATCTACATTTGATTGTTGTACCTGAAAGTGATGGGGAGAATGGAACCAAGTTGGAAAACACTCTTCAGGACATTATTCAGGAGAACTTCCCCAACCTAGCAAGGCAGGACAACATTCAAATTCAGGAAATACAGAGAACACCACAAAGATACTCCTTGAGAAGGGCAACCCCAAAACACATAATTGTCAGATTCACCAGGACTGAATTGAAGGAAAAAGTGTTAAGGGCAGCTAGAGATAACAGTCCAGTTACCCAAAAAAGAAGCCCATCAGACTAACAGCGGATCTCTTAGTAGAAACTGTACAATCCAGAAGAGAGAGAGGGCCAATATTTAACATTCTTAAAGAAAAGAATTTTGAAGCCAGAATTTCATATCTAGCCAAACTAAGCTTTGTAAGGGAAGGAGAAATAAAATCCTTTACAGAGAAGCAAATGCTTAGAGATTTTGTCACCACCAGGCCTGCCTCACAAGAGCTCCTGAAGGAAACACTAAACATGGAAAGGAACAACTGGTACCAGCCACTGCAAAAAACATGCCAAATTGTAAAGACAATCAATGCTATGAAGAAACTGCATCAATTAACAGGCGATATAACCAGCTAGCATCATAATGACAGGATCAAGCACACACATAACAATATTAACCTTAAATGTAAATGAGCTAAATGCCCAAATTAAAAGACACAGACTGGAAAGTTGGATAAAGAGTGAAGACCCATCATTGTTCTGTATTCAGGAGACCCATCTCACATGCAAAGACAAACATAGGTTCAAAATAAAGTGATGGAGACAGATCTACCAGGCAAATGGAGAAAGAAAAAAAGAGGGCTTGCAATCTTGGTCTCCATAAAACAGACTTTAAACCAACAAAGATCAAGAGATAAAGAAGGCCATTACATAATGGTAAAGGGATCAATTCAACAAGAAGAGCTAACTATCCTAAATATATATGTACCCAATACAGGAGAACCCAGATTCATAAAGCAAGTCCTTAGAGACCTGCAAAGATACTTAGACTCACACACAATAATAACGGGAGACAATACTAGACAGAGGAATGAGACAGAAAATTAACAAGGATATCCAGGACTTGAACTCAGCTGTGGACCAAGTGGACCTAATAGACATCTACAGAACTCTCAACCCCAAATCATCAGAATATACATTATTCTCAGCTCCACATTGCACTTATTCTAAAATTGACCACATAACTGGAAGTAAAACACTCCTCAGCCAATGGAAGAAAATGGAAATTACAACAAACTGTCTGTCAGACCACAGTGCAATCAAATTAGAGCTCAGGATTAAGAAACTCACTCAAAACCGCACAACTACATGGAAACTGAACAACCTGCTCCTGAATGACTACTGGGTACATAACGAAATGAAGGCAAAAATAACGATGTTCCTTGAAACCAATGAGAACAAAGATACAATGTACCAGAATCTCTGGGACACATTCAAAGCAGTGTGTAGGGGGAAATTTAAAGCACTAAATGCCCACAAGAGAAAGAAGACAGATCTAAAATCGACACTCTTAACATCACAATTAAAAGAACTAGAGAAGCAAGAGCAAACAAAATCAAAAGCTAGCAGAAGACAAGAAATAACTAAGATCAGAGCAGAACTGACGGAGATAGAGACACAAAAAAGCTTCCAAAAAAAATCAATGAATCTAGGAGCCAGTTTTTTTAAAAGATCAACAGAATAGACCGCTAGCAAGACTAATAAAGAAGAAAAAAGAGAAGAATAAAATAGACACAATAAAAAATGATAAAGGGGATACCTCCACTGATCCCACAGAAATACAAACTGCAATCAGAGAATACTATAAACACCTCTATGCAAATAAACTAGAAAGTCTAGAAGAAATGGATAAATTCCTGCACACATACACCATCCCAAGAATAAACCGGGAAGAAGTTGTTTCTCTGAATAGACTGACAACAGGTTCTGAAATTGAGGCAAGAATTAATAACCTACCAACAAAAAAAGTCCAGGGCCAGACGGATTCAGCCAAATACTACCAGAGATACAAAGAGGAGCTGGTTGCATTCCTTCTGAAACTATAACCAGAATCTACAATGAATAGAATCTACAATCAATAGAAAAAGAGGGAATCATCCCTAACTCATTTTATGAGGCCAGCATCATCCTGATAACAAAACCTGGCAGAGACACAACCAAAGAAAGATAATTTTAGGCCAATATCCTTGATTAATATCGATGCAAAAATCCTCAGTAAAATACTGGAAAACCTAATCCAGCAGAACATCAAACAGCTTATCCACCACGATCAACTTGGCTTCATACTTGGGATGCAAGGCTGGTTCAACATACACAAATCAATAAACATAATCCATCACATAAATAGAAGCAATGACAAAAACCACATGGTTATCTCAATAGATGCAGAAAAGGCCTTCAACAAAATTCAACAGCGCTTCATGCTAAAAACTCCCAATAAACTAGATATTGATGGAACATATCTCAAAATAATAAGAGCTATTTATGGCAAACCCACAGCCAATATCATACTGAATGGGCAAAAACTGGAAGTATTCCCTTTGAAAACTGGCACAAGACAAGGATGCCCTCTCTCACCACTCCTATTCAACACAGTATTGGAAGTCTTGGCCAGGGCAATCAGACAAGAGAAATAAATAAAGGCTATTTAATTAGAAAAAGAGCAAGTCAAATTGTATCTGTTTGCAGATGACATGTTTGTATATTTAGAAAACCCCATTATCTCAGTCCAAAATCTCCTTAAGCTGATAAGCAACTTCAGCAAAGTCTCAGGATACAAAATCAATGTGCAAAAATCACATTCCTATACACCAAGAGCAGACAAACAGAGAGCCAAATCATGAGTGAACTCTCATTCACAAATTCTATGAAGAGAATAAAATACCTCAGAATCCAACTTACAAGGGATTTTAAGGACCTCTTCAATGAGAACTACAAACCACTGCTCAATGAAATAAAAGAAGATACAAACAAATGGAAGAACATTCCATGCTCATGGGTAGGAAGAATTAATATCATGAAAATGGCCATACTGCCCAAGGTAAGTTACAGATTCAATGCCATCCCCATCAAGCTACCACTGACTTTCTTCACAGAATTGGGAAAAATTACTTTAAATTTCATATGGAATCAAAAAAAGCCCGCATCGCCAAGACAATCCTAAGCAAAAAGAACAAAGCTGCAGGCATCGAGCTACCTGACTTCAAACTATACGACAAGGCTACAGTAACCAAAAAAGCATGGTACTGCAACCAAAACAGGTATACAGACCAATGGAACAGAACAGAGGACTCAGAGATAACACCACACATCTACAACTATCTGATCTTTGACAAAGCTGAATAAAAAACATGCAATGGGGAATGGATCCCCTATTTAATAAATGGTGTTGGCAAAACTGGCTAGCCATATGTAGAATGCTGAAACTGGATCCCTTCCTTACAACATATACAAAAATTAACTCAAGATGGATTAAAGACTTAAATATGAGACATAAAACTATAAAAACCCTAGATGAAAACCTAGGCAATACCATTCAGGACATAGGCATAGGGAAAGACTTCATGACTAAAACACCAAAAGCAATGGCAACAAAAGCCAAAATTGACAAATGGTATTTAATTAAACTAAAGAGCTTCTGAACAGCAAACAAACAAACAAACAAACAAAAAAAACTATCCTAACATGATGAAACCTGTCTCTACTAAAAATACAAAAAATTAGCTGGCCCTGATGGCGGGCGCCTCTAGTCCCAGCTACTCGGGAGGCTGAGGCAGGAGAATGACGTGATCCTAGTAGACAGAGCATGCAGTGAGCCAAGATCGTGCCACTGCACTCCAGCCTGGGTGACAGAGCAAGAATCTGCCTGAAAAAAAAACAAAAAAAAAAAAAAAAGAAGAAGAAGAAAGAAGAAAGAAAGAAAGAAACTGTCATCAGAGTGAACAGGCAACATACAGAATGGGAGAAATTTTTTGCAATCTATCCATCTGACAAAGGGCTAATATCCAGAATCTACAAAGAACTTAAACAAATTTACAAGAAAAAAAGAAGAACTTTATCATAAATTGGGCAAAGAATATGAAAAGACTTCTCAAAAGAAGACATTTATGCAGCCAACAGACATATGAAAAAATGCTCATCATCACTGGTCATCAGATAAATGCAAATCAAAACCACAATGAGATACAATCTCATGCCAGTTAGCATGGCAATCATTAAAAAGTGAGAAAACAACAGATGCTGGAGAGCACGTGGAGAAATAGGAACACTTTTACACTGTAGGGAGTGTAAATTATTTCAACCATTGTGGAAGATAGTGTGGCAATTCCTCAAGGATCTAGAACCAGAAATACCATTTGACTCAGCAATCCCATTGCTGAGTATATACCCAAAGGATTATAAATCATTCTACCATAAAGACACATGCACACATATGTTTATTGTGGCACTGTTCACAATAGCAAAGACTTGGAACCAACCCAAATGTCCATCAATAATAAAGAAAATCATGCTACAATAAAGACACATGCACACGTACCTTTATTGTGGTACTGTTCACAATAGTAAAGACTTGGAACCAACCCCAATGTCCATCAATAATAAAGAAAATGTGGCACGTATACACCATGAAATACTATGCAGCCACAGAAAAGGATGAGTTCATGTCCTTTGCAGGGACATGGATGAAGCTGGAAACCATCATTCTCAGCAAACTGTCACAAGGACAGAAAACCAAACATTGAATGTTTTCACTCATTAGTCGGAGATGAACAATGAGAACACATGGACACAGGGAAGGGAATATCACACACCAGGGCCTGCCAGAGGGTGGAAGCCTGAGGGAGGGATAGCATTAGGAGAAACACATAATATAAATGATGAGTTGATGAGTGCAGCAAACCAACATGGCACATTTATACCTATGTGACAAACCTGCACATTGTGCACAAGTACCCTAGAACTTACAGTATAATAAAAAAAGAAAAAAATACCCAAATGACCTTGAAAAAAATTGAATATACAAAGATTTGAAAAAAGCAGTCTGTGAAAATGTTTTCTGTTGTCTGGATTTGTCTCATTGAATAGAACCTTTGTTTTGATTCACCAGGTTGGAAACACTTTTTGTAGAAATGAGAAATGTCCATTTCTGAGCCCATTCGGGCCTGTAGTGAAAAGGAATATCTTGTGATAAAAACTAGAAACAAGCTACCTGTGAAAATGCTTTGTGATGTGCAGATTCATCTTATAGAGTTAAATCTTTCTGTTTCAACAGGCTAAAAATACTCTTTTTGTAGAATCTACAATGGGACATATCGGAGCCCATTGAGGCCTATTGTGAAAAACGGAATTTTCTGCATTAAAACTAAAAAATTCTCTGCAAAAATGCTGAGTAATGTGTGGATGCATCCCACATAAATAAACCTTTGTTTTTATTTAACAGTTGTAAACACTCTTTTTAAAGAATTTCTGAAGGGACATTTCTGAGACAATTGAGGCCGATAGGGAAAACCCAAATTTACAATAATGAAAACTAGAAACAAGCTATCTGTGAAAAAGCTTTGTGTCATGTGGATTCATGTCAAATAATTAAACCTTTTCTTCAATTCAATGTGTTGGAATCACTTTTTTTTTTGTAGAATCTGTAAAGAAAAATTTCAGAGCCCATTAAGGTCTATAGTGAAAAATGAAATACCTCATGATAAAAATTAGAAACAGGCTATTTTTGAAAATCCTTTGTGATTTGTGGATTCACCTAACTGAAGGGATATGTGGATTCATCTCACACAGTTACATCTTGGTTTTCATTTAACGCATTGGAAACGCTCTTTTTCTCAAATCCAGAAAGGGACATTTCTGAGCCCATTGAGGCCTGCAGAGAAAAACGAAATATATCACAATAAAAACTAGAAGTAAGTTATCTGTGAAAATGTTTTGTGAAATGTGGATTCATCTCACAGAGTTGAATCTGTCTTTTAATTCAACAGCTTGGAAACACTTATTTTGTAGACTCTACAAAGGGGCATTTCTGACCCATTGTGGTCTATATTGAAAAACAGAATATCCCATCAGAAAAGCTAGAAATGAGCTATCTGTGAAAATGGTTTGTGATGGGTGGATTCATCTCACCAAAGAGAACCTTCCTTCTGATTCAACAGGTTGGAAACATTCTATTTCCAGAATGAAGAAAGGGTCATTCTGAGCCCACTGACTCCTATAATGAAGAACTAAATATCCAGCAATATAAACTAGAAAATGCCTACCTGTGAAAATGCTTTGTGATGTGTGGATTCATATAACTAAATGTAATCTCTAGGTTGATTCACACAGTTGGAAACACTGTGTGTGCAGCATCTACAAAAGGACATTTCTGAGCCCATTGAGGCCCATAGTGAAGAACAAAATTTCCCGCTACAAAAACTAAAAACAAGCTACAAGTGAAAATGCTTTGTGATATGTGGATTCATCTCACAAAGTAAAACCTTCGTTTTGACTCAACATTTTGGAAACACTCTTTTTGTAGAATCAATGAAAGAACATTTCTAAGCCCATCAAGGCCTATAATAAAAAAACGAATGACCCTCAATAAAAAGTAGAAACCAAGTATCTGTGAAAATGAACACTCTGTGTAGAAACTATAAATGGATATTTCTGAGCCCATTGAGGCTTGTAGTGAAAAATCGAATTTCCCACTACAAAAACTAAAAACAAGCTACCAGTGAAAATGCTTTGTGATGTGTGGATCCATCTCACAACATAAAATCTTTGTTGTGATTCAACATGTTGGAAATACTCATTTTGTAGAATCAATGAGGGAACATTCCTGAGCCCATTGAGGTCTATAATGGAAAACTGAATAACCCATGATAAAAAGTAGAAACTATGAAAATGCTTTGTGAGAAGGGTCTATTCATATCCTTCACCCACTTTTTGATGGGGTTGTTTTTTTCTTGTAAATTTGTTTGAGTTCATTGTAGATTCTGGATATTAGCCCTTTGTCAGATGAGTAGATTGCAAACATTTTCTCCCATTCTGTAGGTTGCCTGTTCACTCTGATGGTAGTTTCTTTTGCTGTGCAGAAACTCTTTACTTTAATTAGATCCCATTTATCAATTTTGGCTTTTGTTGCCATTGCTTTTGGTGTTTTAGACATGAAGTCCTTGCCCATGTCTATGTCCTGAATGGTATTGCCTAGGTTTTCTTCTAGGGTTTTTATGATTTTGGGTCTAACATTAAAGTCTTTAATCCATCTTGAATTAATTTTTGTATAAGGTGTAAGGAAGGGATCCAGTTTCAGCTTTCTGAATATGGCTAGCCAGATTTCCCAGCACCATTTATTAAATAGAGAATCCTTTCACCATTTCTTGTTTTTGTCAGGTTTGTCAAAGATCAGATAGTAGTAGATATGTGGCATTATTTCTGAGGGCTTTGTTCTGTTCCATTGGTCTATATCTCTGTTTTGGTACCAGTACCATGCTGTTTTGGTCATTGTAGCCTCATAATATAGTTTGAAGTCAGGTAGTGTGATGCCTCCAGCTTTGTTCTTTTGGCTTAGGATTGACTTGGCAATGCGAGCTCTTCTTTGGTTCTATATGAACTTTAAAGTAGTTTTTTCCAATTCTGTGAAGAAAGTCATTGGTAGTTTGATGGGGATGGCATTGAATCTATAAATTACCTTGGGCAGTATGGCCATTTTTATACTTCTCAAAAGAAGACATTTATGCAGCCAAAAGACACATGAAAAAATGCTCATCATCACTGGCCATCAGAGAAACGCAAATCAAAACCACAAGGAGATACCATCTCACACCAGTTAGAATGGTGATCATTAAAAAGTCAGGAAACAACAGGTGCTGGAGAGGATGTGGAGAAATAGGAAAATTTTACACTCTTGGTGGGACAGTAAACTAGTTCAACAATTGTGGAAATTAGTGTGGTGATTCCTCAGGGATCTAGAACTACAAAGGGATATTTCTTAGCCCATTGAGGCCTATAGTGAAAAACAGAATAAAACGCATAAAAACTAGAAATAAGATACCTGTATAAATGCTTCGTGGTGTGTGCATTTATCTCACAGTTTAACATTCACCAGGCTGGAAATGTTTTCATTCACCAGGCTGGAAATACGATTTTTGTAAAATCTACGAAGGCACATTTCAGAGCCCCTTGAGGCCTGTAGTGAAAAGCCAAATATCCAGCAATAAAAACTAGAAAGAAACTATTTGTGAAAATGCTTTATGATGTGTAGATTTATCTCACAGAGTTTAACTTTTTTTTCATTCAACAGGTTGGAAACATTCTTGTTGTTGAATCTATGAAGGGACATTTCTGAGACAATTGAGGTCTACAGTGAAAAACAAGATATCCTGCAATAGAAACTAGAAACAAGTTATTTGTGAAAATTCTTTGTGATATGTGGATTCATATCACTGAGTTTAACTTTTGTTTTTATTTAACAGGTTTGGCAACACTCTTCTGTAAAATCTACAAAAGACATTTCTGAGATTATTAAGGTGTACTGAATAACAAAATATCCCATGATAACAACTAAAAACAAGCTATTCGTGAAAATGCTTTGTGATGTGTAAATTCATCTTACAGAGTTAAACTTCTGTTTTGATTTGACAGGTTAAAAACACTCGTTTTATACTATCAGCAAGCAGACATTTCTGAGTCCATCGAGGCCAACAGTGAAAAACTGAAATTTCCATGATAAAAACCAGAAACACCAGCTATCTGTGAAAATGGTTTGTGATGTGTGGATTAATCTCACTGAAAGAAATCTGTGTTTCCATTCAACAGGTTGGAAAAAATCTTATTGTAAAGTCTGCAAAGGGACATTTCTGAGCCATCTTGGGATAAGGGAAAAACCAAATTTTCTACAATAAAAAGTAGAAACAAGTTATTTGCCAAAATGCTTTAAGATGTGTGGATTCATCTCACAGAGTTAAACCTTTGCTTTGATTCAACAGGTTGAAAATACTGTTTCTGTAGAATCTACAAAGGGACATTTTTGAGCCCAGTAAGAGCAATAGTGAAAAACTGAATATCACACCTTAAAAACTACAAACAAGGTATCCATAAAAACGTGTTGAGATGTGTGGACTCATCTTACAGAATTAAACCTTTATTTTGATTGAATGGATTAAAAACCACTAGTTTAGTAGAACCTACAAAGGGACATTTCTGAGCCCATTGAAACCTATATTGAAAAATGGAATATGTCTCCTCAAAAACTAGAAACAAACAATCTGTGAAATTGCTCTGCAATATGTGAATACATCTCATAGAGTTATACCTTCGTTTCGATGTGACAGGTTGTGAACATTCTTTTTTTGTAAAATCTATGAAGGGACATTTTTGAGCCCATGAGGCCTATATTTGAAAATTGAATTTCCCTTGATAATAACTGGAAACAAGTTACCTGTGAAAATGCTTTCAATGTATGGATTCATATAACAGAGTTAAATATTTCTTTTGATTAAAAAAATTGTAAACCATGTTTTTGTAGAATCTACAAAGGATCATTGCTGAGCCCCTCGAAGGCTATAGTAAAATGGGAATGTCTCACGATAAAAAGTAGAGACAAGCTATCTGTGAAAAAGCTTCCTAATGTGTGAATTCATCTTACCAAATGAAACCTGTGTTTTGATTGACCAGGTTGGAAACACTCTTTTTGTAGAATCTATGAAGGGACATATCAAGCCCATTGAGGCCTACAGTGAAAAACAGAATTTTGCATGATAAAAACTAGAAATAAGCTATTTGTGAGAATGCTTTCGTATGTGTGGATGCATCCCAAATAGTTAAACTTCTGTTTTTGTTTGCCAGGTTGGAAAAACTATTTTCGTAGAATCTACAAAGGGATATTTCTGAGACCATTGAGGCCTGTAGCAAAAAGTGAATATCCTGTGAGACAAAATAAAAGCAAGCTATCTGTGAAAATGATTTGTTATTTGTTCATTCATCTCATTGAATGGAACCTGAGTTTTTATTTACTGGGTTTGAAAAAGTATTTTGGTAGAATCTATAAAGAAAAATTTCTGAGCATATATAGACCCATAGTGAAAAATCAAATATCCCGTAACATGAACTAGGTTGAATCTACCTGTGAAAAAGCTTTGTGATATGTGGGTTCATCCCACAGAGTTAAACTTTTGTTTTGATTCAATAGGTTGTAAACACTCTTTTTATAGAAGCTACAAAAACTCATTTCTGAGCCAATTGAGGCTTACAGTGAAAAACCAAATATCATGCGATAAAAAACTTGAAATAAGCTACCTGTAAAAATTCTTTGTGATGTGTGGATTCATCTCACTGAATAAAACCTGTACATTGATTCACCATGTTAATAACACTTATATAGAATCTATGAAGGAACATTTCTAAGCCCATTGAGGCTTGTAGTGAAAAACAATATTCCATGATAAAAACTAGAAAAAAAAATCTGTGAAAGTGCTTTGTGATGTGTGAATTCGCCTCACAGAGTTAAACCTTTTTTTGATTCAACAGGTTGGGAATTCTCTTTTTGTAGAATCTATGGAGGGACATTTCAGAGCCCATTGAGGCCTATAATATAAAACTGAATATCCCATGAGAAAAACTAAAAACAAGCTATCTCTAAAAATGCTTTGTGATGTGTGGATTTATCTCATGGAGTTAAAAGTTTATTTTGATTCAACAGGTTGGAAACACTCTTTTTGTAGAATCTACAGATGGACATTTCTGAGCCCACTGATGCCTACAGTGAAAAACCAAATCTCCTGTAATAAAAACTACAGACCAGCTATCTGTGAAAATGCTTTGGGATGTGTGGATTTATCTCACAAAGAAAAACCTTTGTTTTCATTCAACAGATTGGAAACACTCATTTTGTAGAATCTACGAATGGACATTTCTGGTCCCATTGAGGCCTGTAGTGAAAAATTGAATATCCTGTGAGAAAAATTAAAAACATGAAATCTGTGAAAATGCTTTGTGATATGTGGATTCAACTCACAGAATGCAAACTGTGTTTTGATTCCCTATTTGGAAACACACGTTTTGTAGAATCCACAAAGGGACATTTCTGAGCAAACCAAGGCTTATAGTGGAAACTCGAAAATCTCAAGACAAAAACTAAAAACAACCTTTCTGTGCAATGCTTTGTGATGTGTGCATTTATCTCACCGAATGGAACCTGTGTTTTGATTTACCAGGTTGGAAACACTCTTTTTGTAGAATGTACAAAGAAACACTTCTGAACCCATAGAGGACTATAGAGAAAAAACAAATTTTCTACTATATAAACTAGAAACAAGCTATCTGTGAAAATGCTGTGGGATGTGTGAATTCATCTCACAGATGTAAACCTTTGTTTAGATTCAATAGGTTAGAAATACTCTTTTTGTAGAATCCATGAATGAATATTTCGGAGCCCATTGAGGCCTATAGTGAAAAACGGACTATCCATCAATGAAAAGTACAAGCTATCTGAGAAAATGCTTTTGTGATGTGTGGATTCTTCTCACAGACTTAAACCTTTGTTTTAATTTAACAGGTTGGAAACACTCTTTTTGTAGAATCTACAAAGGAACATTTGTGAGTTCATTGAGTCCTATAGTAAAAAACAGAATTTCCCCCAATAAAAACTAAAAACAAACTCTCTGTGAAAATGCTTTGCATTGTGTGGATTCATCTCAGAGTTAAACCTTTGTTTTGATACAACAGGTTGTAAGCACACTTTTTTTGTAGTATCTACGAAGGAACATTTTGTGGCCCATTGATAACTACAGTGAAAACCTGAATTTTCCACAATAAAAACTAGAAATAAGCTATCTGTGAAATGCTTTGCAATGTGTAGATTCATCTCACAGACTTAAAACTTGTTTTAATTTAACAGGTTGGAAACTCTGTCTTTGTTAGATCTACCAAGAGACATTTCTTAGCCCATCGAGAAGTATAATGAAAAAACAAATTTCTCACTATAAAAACTAGTAACAACCTATTTGTGAAAATGCTTTGCAATGTGTGGAATCATCTCACAAATTCAAACCTTTTTTTTTTGATTCAACAGGCTGCAGACACTCTTCTTATACAATAAACAAATGGACATTTTGAAGCCCATTAGGCCTATAGTGAAAAACCGAATTTCCCGTGATAAAAATTAGAAACAAGCTGTCTGTGAAAATGCTTTGCAATGTGTGGATTCATGTCAAAGCAGTAAACCTTTGGTTTTTTTCAACAGTCTGGTAACACTCTTTTTATAGAATTTACCAGAAGACATTTCTGAGACCATTGAGGCCTCTAGTGGAAAACTGAATATCCTGCAATAAAAACTACAAACAAGCTATGACAATGCTTTGCAATTTGTGGATTCATATAACAGAGGTAAGCCTTTGTTTTGATTGAACACTTTGGAAACACTTTTATTGTAGAATCTACAAAGGCATATTTTTGACCCATTGAGGCCTATACTGAAAAAAACCAAATATCTCATGATAAATACTAGAAAAAAGCTATGTGTGAAAATGCTTTGTGATTTTTGGATTCCTCTCACTTAATAGAACGTATGTTTTTATTCACCAGGTTGGAAACACTTTTTGTAGAATCCACAAAGTGACATTTCTGGACACAATAAAACCATGGTGAAAAAGTGAATATCTTGTTATAAAACCTAGAAACAAGCTATCTGTGAAAATGCTTTGTGATATGTGGTTTCATCTCTCATAGTTAAACCTTTGTTTTGATTCACAGGGTGGAAACACTTTTCTTGTGGAATCTATGAAAAGATATTTCTGACCTGTTGAGGCCTATGCTGAAAACACAAATTTCCCATGATAAAAACTAGAAAAGAGCTATTTGTGAAAATCCATCGTGATTTGTTTCTTCTCAAGGAATTACACCTTTGTTCTGATTCAGTAGGTTAGAAACACCTTTTTTGTAGAATCTATGAAGGGACATTTCTGAGCCCATTGAGGCCTCCAGTGAAAAACTGAATGTCCTGCGATAAAAAGTAGAAACAAGCTGTCTGTGAAAATACTTTGTTATGTGTGGATTCATCTCACTGAATGGAATCTGTATTTTGATTAACCAGGTTGGAAACACTTCTTTTGTAGAATATATAAAGGTACATTTCTGAGCCCATTAAGGCCTATGGTAAAAAATCAAATATCCCACCACAAAAATTAGAAACAAGCTCTCTGCAAAAATGCTTCATGCTGTGTGGCTTTATCTCACAGAGTTAAGCTTTTATTTTGGTTCACCAGGTTGGAAACATTTTGTTTTTATTTGTAGAATCCAAAAATAAACATTTCTGAGCCCATTGATGCCTGTAGTGAAAACTGGAAATTTTCAAAATTGAAACTAATAACTAGCTATTATTAAAAATGCTTTGAGATGTGCGGTTTCATCACAATGACTTCCACCTTTGTTTTGATTCAACAGGTTGTAAACACTCTCTTTGAAGAATCTATGAAGGGATATTTTTGAGCCCATTCAGGCCTATAGTGAGAAACTGAATATTATGCGATAAAAAGTCAAAACAAGATGTCTGTGAAAATTCTTTGTGACAGGTGGATTCATTTCACCAAATAGAAGCTGTGTTCTTATTCACTAGGTTGGAAACCCTACTTGTAGAATCTACAAAGGGACAGTTTTGAGCCCACTTAGGTCTATACTAAAAAAAAAACAACTGAATATCCCATGAAAAAAGGTAGAAAATATGGTGAAAAATCAAATATCCCACTATCAAAACTAGAAACAAGCTGTCTCTGAAAATACTTGTGATGTGTGGATTCATCTCACCAAATGGAAACTGTGTGTCAATTTACCAGGTTGGAAACACTCTTCTTGTAGAATCAACAAAGGGATATTTCAGAACCCTTTGAAGACCATTGTAAAAAATGGAATATCCCTCGATAATAACTAGAAACAAGCTACCTATGAAAATGCTTTGTGGTGTATGGATTCATGTAGCCGAATGGAACCTGTGTTTTGATTCACTGATTTGGAAACACTCTTTTTATAGAATCTATGAAGAAACATTTGAGAGCCCATTGAGGTGCATCATGTAAAGCCAAATATCCATGATAAAAACTAGAAACAAACTATATGTAAAAATGCTTTGTGATTTGTGGACTCACCTTGCAGATTTAAACATTTATTTTGATTCCACAGCTTGGATACCCTTTTTTTGTAGAATCTACAAAGGGACATTTCTGGTTCCATTCAGGCCCATAGTGAAAAATTAAATTTCCTGTGATAAAAACTAGAAATGAGATATCTGTGTAAATTCTTTGTTATGTGTGGATTTATCTCAAAGTGTTTTACCTTTATTTTGATTTAACAGGGTGGAAACACTCTTTTTGTAGGATTTATATTGGGGCATTTCTTACTCCATAGAGGCCAGTTGTGAAGAACTGAAATTTTCACTATATAAACTAGAAACTAGCTATTTGTTAAAATGCTTTGTGATGTGTGTATTCATCTCAAAGAGTTAATGCTTTGTTTTGATTTAACAGGCTGGAAACACTCTTTTTGTAAAATTTATGAAGGGACATTTCTGACCCCCTTTGGGGCCCATCCTAAAAAAACAAATTTCCCAGGATTAAAACTAGAAACAAGCAATCTAGGAAAATGCTTTGCAATGGGCAGACCCATCTCAAAGAGTTGAACTTTTGTTTGCATTGTACAAATTGGAAACACTCTTTTTGTAGAATCTACAAAGAGACATTTTTTAGCCTGTTGAGGACTATAGTGAAAAACTGAATATCCTACGATCAAAACTAGAAACATGCTATCTGTCAAAATGCTTTGTGATGTGTGGATTCATCTAATTAAATAGATCCTCTGTTTTGATTCACCAGGTTGGAAACCCCCTTATTGTAGAATTCGAGAAAGTGACATTTCTGAACTTACTGGAGCCATGTTGAAGAAGCAAATATTTTGTAATAAAAACTAGAAAAAAAGCTGTCTGTGAAAATACCTTATAATGAGTGTATTCATCTCATCAAATGTTACCGGTGTTTTGATTCACCAGGTTGGAAACACGTTTTTTATAAAATCTACAAAGGTATATTTCTGAGCCCTTCAAAGCCTGCAGTAAGAAACTGAATATCATGTGATTAAAAATTAAAAGCAAGCTCTTTGTGAAACTGCTTTGTGAGTTATGGGTTCTTTTAGATGTATAGATTCATCTCACAGAGTTAAAATTTTGTTTTTATTACACAGCTTGGAAACACTCTTTTTTGTAGAATCTATGAAGAAATATTTCTGAGCACATTGAAGCCTATACTGAATAGCTGACTATCCCACAAAATAAATGAAAACTGTAGTGAAAAATCGAACATCCCATGATGAAAACTAGAAACAAGCTATCTCTGAAAATACCTTGTGATATGTGGATTCATCTCACTGAATGAAACCTGTATGTCAATACACCAGGTTAAAACACTCTTTTTGTAGAATCTACCAAAGGATATTTCAGATCCCTTTGAGGCCCATTGTGAAAAACCAAATATTCTCTGATAAAGGCTTGAAACAAGCTATCTGTGAAAATGCTTTTGGATGTGTGGATTCATCTCAGAGATTTAAACCTGTGTTTTAATTCAACTGGTTGGAAACACCTTTTTGTACTATCTACAAAAAAATTTCTGAGCCCATTGAGACCTATAGCAAAAAAATGAATATCCAATGATAGAAACTAGAAACAAGCTATCTGTAAAAGCTTTGTGATGTGTGGGTTTATCTAACGGAATGAAGCCTGCGTTTTGATTCACCAGGATGGAAACACTTTATTGTACAATCTGCAAAGGGACATTTCTGAGCCCACTGAGGCCTATAGTGAAGAATCTAATTTTTGCTACAAAAACTAGAAAGAAGTAATCTGTGAGAATGCTTTGGAATGTTTGGATTCATCTCACAGAGTTAAACTTTGTATTGATTCAAAGAGTTAGAAACACTTTATTTGTAGAACTTACTAATAAACATTTCTGGGCCCTTTGAGGCCTATGATAAAAAAACTGAATATCTCCTGATAAAAAGTAAAAAGAAGCTATCTGTGAAAATGCGTTGTGATATGTGGATTAATCTCACTGAATGAAACCTGTTTTTTGATTTACCAGGTTGGAAACACTCTTTTTGTAGAATCTACGAAGAAACGTTTCTTAGCTCATTGAAGCCTATAATGAAAAACTGAATTTCCTGTGATAAAAACTAGAAACAAGCTATCTGGGAAAATACTTTGCAATGTGTAAATGTATCTCACAGAAATAAACCCTTTTTTAATCCACAGGTTGTAAACACTCATTTTGTGGAATCTATGAAGGGACATTTCTGAGCAATTTGAGGTCAACAGGAAATAACTGAATTTCCCAGAATAAAAACTACAAAAAAACTATTGGCAAAAATGATTTGTGATGTGTGGATTTACCACAAAGAATAAAATATTTGTTTTGATTCAACAGGTTGGAAACACTTTTTGAACAATCAACAAAGGAATATTTTAGAGCAAATTGAGGCCTTTCATGAAAAACTAAATGTCCCACGATAAAAACTAGAAACAAGCTATAAGTAAAAATTATTTGTGATGTGTGGATTAATCTCACCAAATGGAACCTTTATGTTGATTCACCATGTCAGAAACACACTTTTTGTACTCTCTATGAAGGGACACTTCTGATATGCCTGATGCAAATAGTGAAAAACAGAATATCCCACTATTAAAACTGTAAACAAGCTATCTGTGAATATGCTTTGGAATTGATGGATTCATATTACAGAGTTAAATTTTTGTTTTGATTTAAAAGGATGGAAACACTCTTTTTGTAGAATCTATGGAGAAACTTTCCTGAGCACATTGAGGCCTATGATAAAAACAAGTGTCTCACAATAAAAACTAAAAACAATCTGTCTGTGAAAATGTTATGTGCTGTGTGGATGCATCTCACCAAATGGAACCTGTGTTTTGATTCACCATCTTGAAAACACTTTTTTGTAGAATCTATGAAGAAACATTGCTGAGCTTTTTGAGGCCTATAGTGAAAAAACGAATGTCTCATGATATAAATTAGAAACAAGCTATATGTGAAAATGCTTAGTGATATGTGGATTCCTCTCACAGAATTACACCTTTGCTTTGATTCAGCAGGTTGGAAACTCTCTTTTTGTAGAATCTACAAAGACATTTCTTAGCCTACTGGGTCATATAGTGAAAAATTGCATATCCCAAGATAAAAACTAGAAACAAGCTATCTGTGAAAATGCTTTGCAATGTGTGGATTCATCTCACAGGCTTAAACCTTTGTTTTGATTCAGCAGGTTGAAAACCCTCTTTTTGTAGAATCTAGGAAGGAACATTTCTGAGTCCATTGGGGTCAATACTGAAAAACTGAATATCCCCTTAGAAAAACTAGGAACAAGCATCAGTGAAAATATTTTGCAATGCGTGAATTCTTCTATCAGTTATGTTTTGTTTCAGCAGGTTGGAAACACTCTTTTTGTAGAATCTACAAAGGGACATTTTTCAAGCCCATTAATGCCTATAGTGAAAAATGGAATATCTCAAGATAAAAACTAGCAACAAGCTTTTTGTGAAAATGCTTAGTGATGTGTGGATTTATCTCACTGAATGGAACCTGTATGTTGGTTCATTACTTTAGAAACATTCTTTTTGTAGAATCTAAGAAGGGACATTTCTGAGACTACTCAAGCTTGTAGTGAAAAATGGAATATCCCACGATAAAAGTTAGAAACAACCTATCTGTGAAAGTGCTTTGTAATCTGTGGATTAATCTCAAAGAATTAAACCTCTGTTTTGATTCCACAGGTAGGAAACACTCATTTTGTAGAATCTATCAAGGAACATTTCTGAGCCCATTGAGGCCTATAGTGAAAAATCGAGCTTCCCACAATAAAAACTAGAAAGCTATATCTGTAAATGCTTTGTGATGTGTGGGTTCATCTCACTGAATGAAACATATGTTTTTATTCAACAGGTTGGAAACACTCTGTTTGTATTATTTTTGAAGGGACATTTCTGAGACCTTTCTAGACAGCTGGGGACAGTCAGGAGTCTCTGCCATTAAAAATGCCTGAGGTCGCCCAGGTATCTCTATCGTTAGAATGCCTGGGTTTGGTCGGTAGTCTCTCCCATTAGAATGCCTGGGGTAGCTCAAGTGTTCCTATAATTAGACTGCCTGGTGATGGCCAGGAAACTCTCATTAAAATCAAAATTTTATGCCATTAACTAATTTTATGCCATTAGGATGCCTGGGGTTGTCCAGGTGTCTCAACCTTTAAAATCCCAGGGGTTGTTCAGGTGTCTCTATTATTAGAATGCTTGGAGTCGGCCAAACGTCTCTTCCATTAGAATGCCTGGTGTTGCCCAGGTGTCTCAATCATTAGACGGCCTGTGGTAAGCAGGGAGTCTCTCCTACTAGAATGCCTAAGGTCACCCAGGTGTCTGTATTATAAGAAGGCCTGGGGTTGGCCAGGAGTCTCTCCCATTAGAGTCCCTGGGGTTGGCCAGGCGTGGTGGCTCACATCTGTAATCCCAGCACTTTGGGAGGCTGAGGCAGGCAGATCACGAGGTCAGAAGATCAAGACCATCCTGGCTAACACAGTAAAACCTCATCTTTACTAAAAATATAAAAAATTAGCCAGGCGTGATGGCAGGAGCCTGTAGTCCCAGCTACAGGGGAAGCTGAGGCAGGAGAATGGCATCAACCCAGGAGGCAGATCTTGCAGTGAGCCAAGATTGCACCACTGCACTCCAGCCTGGGGGTCACCCAGGTGTCTTTATCATCTGACTGCCTGGGGTGGGCAAGGAGTCTCTCCCATGAAAATGCCTCAGGTCAGCCGAGAGTCTCTCCCACTAAAATGTCTGGTGTCGTCCAGGTGTCTCTATTATTAAACTGTCTTGGGTTGGCCAGAAGTATCTCCTATTAGAATGCCTGGGGTCGCCCAGTTGCCTCTACCCTTAGACTGCCTGGCATCAGTCAGTAGTCTCTCCCATTAGAATGTCTGGGGTCAGCTGAGGGTCTTTCCCATTAGGATAACTAAAGTCGACCAGGTGTCTCTATCATAAGAATGCTTGGGGTCAGCCAGGAGTCTCTCCTATTAGAATGCCTGGGGTCGACCAAGTGTCTCTACCATTAAACTGCCTAGGGTTGGCCAGGAGTCTTTCCCATTATAATGCCTGGTATTGCTTAGGTGTCTCATTCATCAGACTGCCTGGGGTTGGTCAAAATTCCTTCCCATTAGAATGCCTTTGGTTGCTCAGGTGTCTCAATCATTAGACTGCCTGGGGTCAACCAGGAGTCTCTCTTATTAGAATGTTTGGGGTTGGCCAAAAATCTCTCCCATTAGAATGCCTGGGGTCACCCAGGTTTCTCTACCATTAGACTGCCTACCAAAAGTCTCTTCCATTAGAATGCCTGGGGTTGCCCAGATGACTCTATCAGTAGAATGCCTGGGGTTGCCAAGGAGTCTCCACCATTAGAATGCCTGGGTTTGCCCAGAACTCTCTCCCATTAGAATGCCTGGGTTTGCCCAGATGTCTCTGTCATTCTAATGCCAGAGGTCGCCCAGGTTTCTCTATCATTAGAATGTTTGGGATCAGCCATGAGTCTCTCCCATTAAAACACCTGTGGTCACACAGGTTTCTCTAACATTCCACTACCTTTGGTCAGCCAGGAGTCTCTACCATTATAATGTCAGGAGTCACACAGGTGTCTGTATAATTAGAATACCTGGGGTTGGCTGGGAGTCTCTCAAATTAGAATGCCTGGGGTCACCCAGGTGTGTCTATCCTTAGACCACCTGGGGTTGGCCCAGAATCTTTCTCATTAGAATGCCTGGGATCGCCCAATAGTCTCATCCATTAGAATGTGTGGGATCATTCTCATGTCTCTATCATTAGACTGCCTGGGCTCAGCCAGAAGAATCTCCAATTAAAAAGCCTGGGGTCACCCAGCTGTCTCTATCCTTAGACTGCTTGGGGTGGGCCAGGAGTGTCTCCCATTAAAAAGACTGGAGTCAGCTGAAAGTCTCTCCCATTAGAATGCCTGGGGTCACCCAGGTGTCTCTATCATAAGAATGCTTGGGGTCTGCCAGGAGTCTCTCGCATTGAAAAGCCTGGATTTGCAACGGTGTCTCTATAATTAGATTGCCTGGGGTAAGCCAGGAGCCTCTCTCATTAACATGCCTGAAATCGTCCAGGTGTATCTATCATTAGACTGCCTTATGTCGGCTGGGATTCTCTCCCATTAGAATGCCTGGAGTCCCCCAGGAGTCTCTAGCATTAGACTGCCTGGGGTCAGCAAAACGACTCTTCCATTAGAATGCCTGTTGTCGGCCGGAAGTCTCTCCCATTAAAATGCCTAAGGTCGCCAAGGTGTCTCTATCATTACACTGCCTGGGGTTGGCCAGAAGTCTATCTTATTAGAATGCCTGGGGTTGGCTGTGAGTCTCTCCTATTAGAATGTCTGGGGTCTGCCAGGTGTCTCTATTGTTAGAATGCCTGGAGTCGGCCAGGTTTCTCTATCATTAGAATGCATGGGGTCGCCCAGGTGTCTGTATTATTAGAATGCCTGAGGTCGGCTGGGAGTCTCTCCCATTAAAATGCCTGGGGTCACCCAGGTTTCTCTAACATTAGACTGCCTTGGGTTGGCCAGGAGTCTCTCCCATTAGAATGCCTGAGGTTGCCCAGGTGTCTCTATATTTAGACTGCCTGGGGTTGGCCAGGAATCTCTCCCATTATAATGTGTGTGTTTGCCCAGGTGTTTATATCCTAGACTGCCTGAGGTTGGCCAGGACTCTCTTCCATTAGAATGCCTGGGGTCACCCAGCTGTCTCTATCATTAGAATGCCTAGGGTTGGCCAGGTGTCTCCCATTAGAATGCCTGGGGTGACCCAAGTTTCTCTATCATTACATTGCCTGGCCAGGAGACTCTCTCATAATGCCTAGAAATACCAAGGTTTCTCTAACATTAGACTGTCTTATGTTGGCCGGGAGTATCTCACATTAGAATGCCTGAGGTCACCCAGGTGTCTCTAGCATTAGACTGCCTGGGATTGGCAAGGAGTCTCTCCCATTAGAATGCCAAGTGTCAGCCGAGAGTCTCTCCCATTAGAATGCTTGGGATCGTCGAGTTGTCCCTATAATTAGAATGCCTGCGCTAGCCCAGGTGTCTCTATAATTACACACCCTGGGGTATTCCGGAGTCCCTTTCATTAGAAAGCCTTGTGTCCCCCAGGTGTCTCTAGTGTTAGACTGCCTAGGGTCAGCTATAAGCCTGTCTCATTAGAATGCATAGGGTCGCACAGATGACTCTATCATTAAACTGCTGGTGGTCAGCCAGGAGTCAATCCCATTAAAATGCCTGGGACGCCGAGGTCTATCATTAAGCAGCTTTACATTGGCCGGAAGTCTTTATCATTAGAATGCCTGAGGTTGCCCAGATGTCTCTATAATTAGACTTCCTGGATTTGTCCCAGCATCTCTCCCATTAGAATGTCTGGGGTGGCCCAGATTACTCTATCATAAGAATGCCTGGGGTTGGCCAGGAGTCTGTCTCATTAGAAGGCCTGGGTTCACTCAGAAGTCTCTATCATTTGAATGCCTGGGGTCACCAGGTGTCTCTATTATTAGAATGCTTGGGGTCAGCCTGGGAGTCTCTCTCATTACAATACCTGGAGTTGCTCAGGTATCTTTATCATTCAGCTGCCTGTGGTCAGCCAGGAATCTCTCCCATTAGAATGCCAGGGGTTGCCCAGGTGTCTGTATCATTAGAATGCCTGGGGTCGGCCAGGAGTCTCTCAAATTAGAAAGCCTGGGGTCGCCCAGGTGTCTATACTTAGACTGCCTGGGGCTGGCTGAGAGTCTTTCTCATTAGAATCCCTGGGGTCAGCCAAAAGTCTCTTCCATTAGAATGCGTGGGGTCGTTCCAGTGTCTCTATAATTAGACTGCCTGGGCTCGGCCAGAAGACTCTCCCATTAAAACTCCTGGGGTCGCCGTGGTGTCTCTATTTTTAGACTGCCTGGGGTGGGCAAGGAGTGTGTCCCATTAGAATGACTGGGGTCACCCAGGTGTCTCTTTCATACTAATACTTGGGGTCCACTGGGAGTCTTTCCCATTAGAATGCCTGGGGTCACCATGGTATCTCTGTAATTAGATTGCTTTGGGTAGGCCAGGAGTCTCTTCCATTAGAATGCCTGGGATCAATCAAGCCTCTCTATTATTAGACTGCCTTAGGCTGGCCAGGAGTCTCCACCATTAGAATGCCTGGGGTCGCCCATATATCTCTAGCATTAGACTGCCTGGGGTGGGCAAAGAGTCTCTCCCATTAGAATGCCTGGTGTTGGTTGGGAGTCTCTTCTATTAGAATGCCTGAGGTCACCAAGGTGTCTCTATCATTATACTGCCTGGGGTCAGCCAGCAGTCTGTCTTATTAAAATGTCTGGGGTTGCCCAGGAGTCTCTTTCATTAGAATGCCTGGGGTTGGCCAGGTGTCTCTATTATTTGAATGCCTGTGGTCGGTTTGAAGTCTCTCTCATTAGAATGCCTGGGGTCGCCCAGGTTTCTCTATCATTAGACTGCCTGGGGTTGGCAAAAAAAAAAAATCTCTTATTAGAATGCCTGAGGTCGCCCAGTTGTCTCTATAATTAGACTGCCTGTGGTTGGCCAGGAGCCTCTTCCATTATAATGCTTGTGGTCGCCAAGCTGTCTCTGTACTAGATGGCCTTGGGTCAGCCAAGACTCTCTCCTATTAGAATGCCTAAGGTCGTCCAAGTGTCCCTGTCATTAGAATGCCTGGGGTTGGCCAGGAGTCTTTCTTATTAGAATGCCTGGGGTCACCAAATTGTCTCTACTATTAGACTTCCTGCTGTTGGTTAGGAGACTCATTAAAATGCCTAGGTATACCAAGGTTTCTCTATCATTAGACTGCCTAATGTTGGCTGGGAGTCTCTTTCATTAGAATTCCTGTGGTTACCCAGGTGTTTCTATTATTAGATTGCCTGGGGTTGGCCAGGAGTCTCTCCCATTTGAGTGTCTGGGGTCACCCAAGTTTCTCCATCACTAGACTGCCTGGTGTGGGCCAGGAGTCTCTCCCATTAGAATGCCTGGGGTCGCCCAGGTGTTTCAATCGTTAAAATGCAACAGGTGGTTCAGATTTCTTTATTATCAGGATGCTTGGGGTCAGCCAGGAGTCTCTCCCATTAGAATGTCTGGGGTTGAGCAGGTGTCTCTCTCATTAGACGGCCTTTCGTCAGACAGTGGTCTCTCCCACTAGAATGCCTAAGGTCACCCAGGTGTCTGTATCATTAGAATGCCTGGGATTGGCTGGGAGTCTCTCTCATTCGAATGCCTGGGGTCGCCCAGGTATCTCTATCATTAGAATTCTTGAGGTAGCCCAGGTGTTTCTATCATTAGACTGCCTATGGTTGGGCAGGAGTCTCCCCCATTAGAATGCCTAGGATCACCAAGGTGTCTTTATAATTACACTGCCTGTGGTCAACCAGGAGTCTCTCCCATTAAAATGCCTGAAATCGCCCAGGTGTCTCATTCATTAAACTGCCTACCGTCGGCTGGGAGTCTCTCCTTTTAGAATGCCTAGGGTCGCTCTGGTGATTCTATCATTAGACTGCCTGGGGTCAGCTAGGAGTCTCTTTTATTAGAATGCCTGGAGTCAGCCGAAGTCTCTTTCATTAGAATGCCTGGGTTCACCCAGGTGTCTCTATCATTAGAAAGCCTGGGGTCACCCAGGTTTTTCTATCTTTAGACTGCCTGGGGTTGGCTGAAAGCCTCTTCCGTTAGAACACCTGGGGTCACACAGGCATCTTTATAATTACACTGCCTGTGGTCGGCAAGGAGTCTCATTATAATGCCTGGGGTCGCACAGGTGTCTCCATCATTAGACTAGTTGTGGTCATCCAGAAGTCACTTCTATTAGAATGCCTGGGGTTGCATAGGTGTCTCCATCATAAGACCGCCTGCGTTCAGCCAGGAGTCTCTCTCATTAGAATGCTTGGTTCGCCCAGGAGTCTCTCTCATTAGAATGCCTGGGGTCACAAAGATGCCTCTATTATTAGAATTCCTGGGTAACCCATGGGTCTCATTAGAATGCCTGGGGTCGGCTGGGAGTCTCTCCCATTAGAATGCCTGGGGTTGCCCAGGTGTCTCTATCATTTGGCTGCCTGGGGTCGGCCAGGAGTCTTTTTCATTAGAATGCGTGGTTTCAGCCAGGCATTCTAATGGTCTTTCCCATTAAAATGCCTGGTATCACCCAAATGTCTCTATCATTATACAGCCTGGGATCAGCTGGAAGTCTCTCTCATTAGAATGTCTGGGATTGACCAGGTGTCTCTATTTTAGACTGCCTTGGTTCAGAGAAGAGTCCCTTTCATTAGAAAGCCTGCGGTCAGTTGGTAGTCTTTCCCACTAGAATGCCTTGGGTCGCCTGGGTGTCTAAATAATTAGGCAGCTTATGGTCTGCCAGGAGACTCTCCCATTCGAATGCTTGGGATCGCCCAAGTGTCTCTGTCATTATACTGCTTGGGGTCGGCCGGGAGTCTCTCTCTTTAGAATGTCTATGTTCATCCAAGTGTCTCTATTTTTACACTGCTTGGGGTCAGCCGGGAGTCTCTCTCTTTAGAATGCCTATGTTCATCCAAGTGTCTCTATTTTTACACTGCTTGTGGTCGGCCGGGAGTCTCTAACATTAGAATGATGTGGGTCACCCTGGAGTCTCTCCCATTAGAATGCCTGGTTCCACCCATGTGTCCCTATCATTGGACTACCTTGGGTTGGCTGGGAGTCTTTTCCATTAAAATGCCTGGGGTTCCCTCAGGTGTGTCTATCATTAGAGTGTCTGGGGTCAGCTGGGAGCCTCTCATTAGAATTTCTGGGGTCACCCAGGGGTCTCTATGATTAGTCTGCCGGGGTCTACCAGGTCTCTCTCCCATTATGATGTCTGGGGTGGCCTAGGTGTCTCTATCATTAGAGTACCAGGGGTTGGCCAGGAATCTCTTGCATTAGAATGTCTGGGGTTACCCAGGTGTCTCTACTATTAGACTGCTTTGGGTAGGCAGAGAGTATCTCCCATTAGAAAGCCTGATGTTACCCAAGTGTCTCTATCATAAGACTGCTTGGGGTCAGCCAGGAGTTCCTGTCATTACAAAGCCTGGTGTCACCCATGTGTCTCTATCATTAGACTGCCTCGGGTCGGCCAGGAGATCCTGCCACTAAAATGCCTTGTGTCACCCAGGTGTCTCTATCGTCAGACTGCCTGGGGTCAGCCGGGAGTCTCTCCCAGTAGAATGCCTGTGGGTCGCCCATGGGTTTCTATCCTTAGACTGCCTGATGTCAGACAGGAGATTCTCCATTAAAATCATTGGGTTCTCTCTGGTGTCTCTCTCATTAGAATGCCTGTGGTCGCCCGGGAGTCTCTCCCATTAGAATGCCTGGCATGGCCCATGTATCTCTATCACTAGAATGCCTGGAGTCGGGGGGAGTCTCTTGCATTATAATTCCTTGGGTCATCAAGGTGTCCCTATCATTAGACTGCCTGGGGTTGGCCAGAAGTTTCTCCCGTTAAAATACCTGTGGTGGCCAAGTTGTCTTTATTAGACTGCCTGCGGTTGGCCAGGAGTCTCTCCTATTAGATTGCCTGGGGTCGCTCAGATGTCTCTATCCTTAGACTGCCTTGCGTTGGCAAGAAATCTTTCCTGTTAGAATGCCTGGGGTAAGCCAGAAGTCTCTTTCATTAGAATGCCTGCAGTCGCCCAGGTGTCTCTATCATTAGACTGCCTGGGGTCAGCAAGGAGTCTCTCCCATTAGAATGACTGTGGTCGCTCACTTGTCTCTATCATTGCACTACCTGGGGTTGGCTAGGAGTCTCTCCCATTAGAATGCCTTGGGTCACCCAAGAGTCTGTATAATTAGACCGCCTGAGGTCAGCCAGGGGTCTCTCTCAGTAGAATGCTTGGGGTTCCCCAGGTGTCTCTCTCATTAGATTGCCGGGGTCAGCCTGGAGTTTCTCTCATTGAAATGCTGGGGGTCGCCCAGGTGTCTCTATCATTAGACTGCCTGGAGTAGGTGGGAATCTACCAACTCGAATGCCTAGGGTCACCCAGGTGTCTCTATCATTAAATTGCCTGGGGTTGGCCAAGAGTCTCTCCTATTAGAATGCCTAGGGTCTTCAAGGTGTCTCTATAATTAGACTGCCTGGGATTGGCAAGGAGTTTCTTCTATTTGAATGCTTGCTGTCGCCCAGCTCTCTCTATCATTATACTGCCTGATGTCAGTGGGAGTCTCTCCCATTAGAATGCCTTGGGTCCCTCATGTGTCTCTATCATTAGACTGCCTGGCGTTGGCGAAGAGTCTCTCCATCAGAATGCCTTGGGCCGTCCAGGTGTCTCTGTCATCATACTGCCTGGTGTTGGCAGGAATCTCTTCCATTAGAAGGCCTTGGGTCACCCCTCTGTCCCTATCATTAGAATGCCTGGGATTGGCTGGGAGACTTTCCCATTAGAATTCCTGGGTTTTAACAGGTGTCTCTAACATTAGACTTTTTAAGGCTTGCTGGGAGTCTTTCCCATTCGAATGCCTGGGGTAGACCAGGTGTCTCTATCATTAGACTGCCTGGGATTGGCCAGAAATCTCTCCCATTAAAATGGCTGGGGTCACCATTAGAATATCTGAAGTTGCCCTGATGCCTCTATCATTAGACTACCTGGGGTCAGCCAGTAGTTCCAATTGGAATGTCTTGGGTCATCCGGGTGTCTCATTAGAATGTCTAGGGTCACCCAAGTGTCTCTATCATTAGACTTCCCAGGGTTGGCCAGGAGTCTCTCCTATTAGAAAGCCTGGGGTCACCGAGGTGTCTTTATTATTAGACCGCCTGGGGTTGGCCAGGAGTCTCTCCTATTAGAAAGCCTGGGGTAACCCAAGTATCTTTATTATTATACCGTCTGGGGCTGGCCAGGAGTCTCTTCCACTGGAATGCCTGAAGTCATCCATGTGTCTCTATTATTAGACCACCTGGGGTTTGCCAGGAGTCTCTTCCATTAGAATACCTGAAGTTGCTCAGATGTCTCTATTATTAGACTGCCCAGGGTTAGATGGGTGTCTCTCCCATTATGATTCATGGGGTCACCCAGGTGTGTCTGTAATTAAACTGCCTCAGTTTGGTGGGAGTTCCCCGTGTTAGCATGCATGTGATGGCCCTGGTCTCTCTATCATTAGACTGTCTTAGGTTGGTGGGAGTCTCTCTCATTAGAATGTCTGTGGTCACCCAGGTGTCTCTATAATTAGACTGCTTCTGGTTGGCCAGGAGTCTCTTTCGTTAGAATGCCGGTGTTCACCCAGGTGTCTTTATCATTACACTGCCTGGGGTCAGCCAGCAGTCTCTTCCATTAGAATGCCTGGGGCCCACTGGGAGTCTTTTTTAATAGAATATCTGGGCTTGCCTAGGTGTTTGCATTATTAGACTGCCTGGGATCGACTGGGTGCCTCTCTTGTTAGAATGTCTGGTGTCATTCAGGTGTCTCCATAATTAGACTGCTGAACTCGGCCAGGAGTCTCTCCCATTAGAATTTCTGGGGTTGCTCATGTGTCTCTATCATTAGACTGCCTGAGGTCCACAGGAAGTCTCTCACATTAAAATACCTGGGATTGCTGAGGTATATCTATAATTAGACTGCCTGGGCTCAGCCAGTAGTTTCTCCCATTAGAATGCCTGGGGTTCTCCAGGTGTCTCAATCATTAGACTGCCTGGCATCGGCCGGGAGTCTCTCCCATTAAAATGCCTGGTGTTGCTTAGGAGTCTCTATCATTAGACTGTCTGGGGTAAGCAGGAGTCTCTGCCATTAGAATGCCTGGGGTCACCCAGGTGAGTCTATAATTAGACTGCATGAGGTTGGCAGAGATTCCCTGTTATTAGAATGCCCAGGGTTTCCTAGGTGTTTTTATCATTAGACTGCCTGAGGTCTGTGGGAGTCTCTCTTATTCAAATGCCTGGGGTCCCCGAGATGTCTCTATAATTAGACTGACTGGGCTCACCCAGGAGTCTAACTTATTAAAATGCCATGAATCACCCATGTTTCTCTATGGTTTGACTCCCTGGTGTCGGTCGGGATTCTCTCTCATTATATTACCTGGGGTCACCTAGTTATCACTATAATTAGACTGCCTGGGTTGGGTTAGAAGTTTCTCCCATTAAAGTACCTGGGGTCTCGAGGTGTCTCTATCATTATATTGCCTGGGGTCAGCCGAGAGTCTCTCCCTTTAGAATGCCTTCGGTCACCCAGGTGTCTTTAACATTTGACTTCCTGGGGTCGGCCAGGAGTCTCACACATTATAATATCTGGGCTCCCTCAGGTTTCTCTATAATTAGACTTCAGCAAATGGCCAGGAGTCTCTCCCATTAGAATGCCTGGGGTCAGGTGAGAGTCTCTCTTATTAGAATGCCTTTGGTTGCCCAGGTGTTTCTATCATTAAAATACGTGCAGTTGCCCAGTAGTCTCTCCCATTTGAATGCCTGGGGTCACCCAGGTGTCTCTCTCATTAGAATGCCTGTTTTTGGCTGAGAGTCTCTTTCAGTAGAATGCCTGAGGTTGCCCAGGTATCTCTATCATTAGACCATCTGGGATCAGCTAGGAGTCTCTCCCATTAAAATGCCTGGGGTTGCCAAGGTGTCTCTATCATTAAAATGCCTGGGGTTTTCCAGGTATCTCTATCATTAGGATGCTTGGGGTCAGCCAGGAATCTCTCCCATTAAAATGGCTGGGGTTGGTGGGGGTTCTTTCCCATTAGAATGCCTTGGTTGGCCCAGGCATCTATCATTAGACTGCCTGGTGTCAGCCTGGAATATCTTCCATTAGAATACCTGGGATGATCCAGGTGTCTCTATCAATAGACTGCCTGGATACCACCAGGAGTCTCTCCCATTAGGATGCCTGGGGTCCCAAAGGTGTCTCTATAATTAGACTTCCTGGAGTCAGCCAGGAGTCTCTTCCACTAGAATGCTTGGAGTTGCCCATTGTCTCTACTTTTAGAGTGCCTGGAGTCCGCCAGGAGTCTCTCCCAATATATTAGCTCGGGTGGGCTGGTAGTCTATCTCATAAGAATGCTTGGGGTCGCCCAGGTGTCTTTATTATTAGAATACCTGGGGTCAGCTGGATATCTCTCCCCTTAGAATTACTGGAATCACCCAGGTGTCTCTATCATTACACCACCTGGGGTGGCCAGGAGTCTCTCCAATTAAAATGCCTGGATTTTTCTGGGCCTCTCTCCCATTAAAGTGTCTGGGGTCGCTGAGGTTTCTCTATCATTAGGCCACCTGGGGTCCGCCAGAAGTCTCTATTATTAGATTGCCTGTGATTGGCTAGAAATATTTCATCAGAATGCCTGGGGTCGTCTGAGTAACTCTATAATTAGACTGCATGGCTTGCCAGGCATCTTTCTTGTTAGAATGCCTGGGTTGCCCAGTTGTCTCTATCATTAGGCACTCTGGGGTTGGCTGAAAGTCACTCCCATTAGAATGCTGGGGTCGCCCATGAGCCTCTATCATTAGACTGCCTGACGTTGGCCAATGGTCTCTCCCATTAGAATGCCTGGGGTGGCCCAGGTGTGTCTATCATTAGAATGCCTGGGGTCACCCATGTGTCTCTATAATTAAACTGTCTGGATTTGGCCCTGAGTCTCTCTCATTAGAATGCCTGGGGTGGCCCAGGTGTCTCTATCACTAGATTGCCTGGGTTCAGCCAGGAGTCTCTCCCATTAGAAGGTCTGGGATTGCCCATGTGTATCTATAATTAGACTGTATAGACTCAGCTAGGAGTTACGCCCATTTGAATGCTTGGGTTTGCCCAGGTTTCTCTATAATTAGACTGTCAGGGGTCGGCAGGAGTCTCTGCCATTAGAATGCCTATTGTCACCCATTTGTCTCTATCACTAGAACGCCTGGGGTCGGCCAGCAGTCTCTCCCATTAGACCGCCTGGTGTTGCTCAGGTATCCCTATCCTTAGACTGCCTAGGGTCAGCCAGGAGTCTCTCCCATTACAATGGCTGTGGTTGCCCAGGTGTCTCTATCATTAGATTGTGTGGGGTTGGCCGAGAGTCTCTCCCTTTAGAATGCCAGGGGTCAGATAGGGTTCTCTCCCATTAGAATGCCTGTGGTCACCCAGGTGTTTCTATTATTGTACTGCCAGGGTTCAACCAAGAGTTTATCCGATTAGAATGCCTGGGGTGGTACAGGTGTCTCTATTATTATACTGCCAGGGTTCAGCCAAGAGTTTATCTGATTAGAATGCCTGGGGTGGTCCATGTGTCTCTATTATTAGACTGCCTGTGTTTGGCCAGGAGTCTCTCTGCATTAGAATACCTGGGGTCAGCCGAAAGTCTCTCCCATGAAAATTGTTTGCAATGTGTGGATTCATCTCACAGAGTTAAATCTTTGTTTTCATTCAACAGGTTGCAAACACTCTTTTTGTAGAACCCAGGAAGGAACATTTCTCAGCCCCTTGAGATCTATCGCCAAAAATCAAGTATCCCATGATAAAAACTAGAAGCAAGCTATCTTTGAAAATGTTTTGAGATGTGTGGAAATCATCTCACAGAGTTAACAGGTTTTTTTCCTTTTTTTTTATTCAACAGGTGGGAAACACAATTTTTAAAGCATCTGCGAAGGGATATTTCTGACCTGATTGAGGCCTGTTGTGAAGAAACAAATATCCAATGATAAAAACTGGAAAGAAGCTGTGAAACTGCTTTGTGATGTATGGATTCATCTCACAGAATTAAACCTTTCTTTGATTCAGAAGATTGGAAACATTCTTTCTGTAGAATCTACAAGGGGACATTTTGGAGCCCATAGAGGCCTATAGTGAAAAACTAAATACCCCATGATAAAAAGTAGAAAGAAGCTATCTGTAAAACTGCTCTGTGATGTGTGGATTCATCTCACAGAGTTAAATCTTTCTTTTGATTCAGCAGGTTGGAAATACTTTTTTTTTTTTTGACGGAGACTTGCTCTCTCACCCAGGCTGGAATGCAGTGGCTCAATCTCGGCTCACTGCAAGCTCCACTTCCCAGGTTCACACCATTCTCCTGCCTCAGCCTCCCGAGTAGCTGGGACTACAGGGGCCCATAACCACTCTTGGCTAATTTTTTTGTACTTTTAGTAGAGATGGGGTTTCACTGTATTAGCCAAGATGGTCTCGATCTCCTGATCTCGTGATCTCCCTGCCTCAGCGTCCCAAAGTGCTGGGATTACAAGCGTGAGCCACCATGCCCAGCTGGAACACTCTTCTTGTAGAATCTACAAAGGGAAGACTCCGAGCCCATTTAGGCCTATAGTGAAAAACTGAATACCCTGCGACAGCAACTAGAAACAAGCTTTCTGTGGAAATGCTTTGTGATTTGTAGATTCATGTCACCAAGTTAAATTTTTATTTTCATTCAACAGGATGGAAACACTCTTTTTTTTACAATCTACGAAGGGAGATTTCTGGAAGCCTTGAGTCCTACAGTGAAAAATTGAACATTGTATGGTAAAAACTAGAAACAAGCTGTCTGTTAAAACTGATAAAAACTACAAACAAGCCATCTGGAAAAATGCTTTGTGATGGTGTGGATTAATTTCAGCAAATGGAACCTGTTTTTGATTCACCAGATTGGAAACACACTTTTTATAGAATCTATAAAAAGACATATCTGAATGTCTTGAGTAGTAGAGTAAAAAAACAAATATACCACAATTAAAGCTGGAAACAAGCCATCTGTGAAACTGCTTTGTGATGTGTGGACTCATCTCACAGAGTTAAACCTTTCTGTTGATTCATCAGATTGGAAACACTCTTTTTGTGTAATCTCAAAAGGGACATTTCTGAGTTTATTAATCAGTAAAAACCAATATCCAGCAATAAAATCTAGAAACAACTCTTTGTGAAAATGTTTGTGATGTGTGGATTGATCTCACAGAGCTAAACCTTGAGTCCGATACTGAAAAACCAGATATCCTGTGATAAAAACCAGAAACAAGATACCTGTGAAAATGCTTTGTGATGTCTGGATTTATTTCACAGAGCTAAACCTTTTATTTGATTCAACAAACTAGAAAAACACTTTTTGTATAATCTATGATGGAACATTTCTGAAAACCTTGAATCCTGCAGTTAAAAACCTAATATCCCATGACAAAAACTGGAAACAAGCTATCTGAAAATACTTTGTCATATGTGGATTCATCTCACAGAGTTAAACTTTTGTTTTGATTTAACAGCTTGGAAACATTCTTTTTTCTAGAATCTACAAAGGGACATTTCTGAACTTATTGATGCAGTAGTGAAAAATTGAACATCCTACAATAAAAACTAGAAACTAACTGTGAAAATGCTTTCTGATATGTGGATTCATCTCACAGAGTGAAACGTTTGCTTTGATTTTCCAGGTTTGAAGCACTATTTTGTTAAATCTATGAAGGGACATTTCTGAGTGCTTTGAGTCCTATAGTGAAAAATCAAATATCCCATGATAAAAACTAGGAATATTTTATTGAGGATTTTTGTATCAATGTTCATCAAGGATATTGGTCTAAAATTCTCTTTTTTGGTTGTGTCTCTGCCCAGCTTGGGTATCAGGATGATGCTGACCTCATAAAATGAGTTAGGGAAGATTCCCTCTTTTTCTATTGATTGGAATAATTTCAGAAGGAATGGCACCAGTTCCTCCTTGTACCTCTGGTAGAATTTGGCTGTGAATCCATCTGGTCCTGGACTCTTTTTGGTTGGTAAGCTCCTGATTATTGCCACAATTTCAGAGCCTGTTATTGGTCTATTCAGAGATTCAACTCCTTCCAGGTTTAGCCTTGGGAGGGTGTATGTGTCGAAGAATTTATCCGTTTCTTCTAGATTTTCAGGTTTATTTGTGTGGAGGTGTTTGTAGTATTCTCTGATGGTAGTTTGTATTTCCGTGGTATCAGTGGTGATATCCCCTTCATCATTTTTTATTGCATCAATTTGATTCTTCTCTCTTTTCTTCTTTATTAGTCTCGCTAGTGGTCTTTCAATTTTGTTGATCCTTTCAAAAAACCAGCTCCTGGATTCATTAATTTTTTGAAGTGTTTTTTTGTGTCTCTATTCCAGCAGCACAACAAAAAGCTTACCCACCATGATCAAGTGGGCTTCATCCCTGGGATGCCAGGCTGGTTCAATATATGCAAATCAATAAATGTAATCCAGCATATAAACAGATCCAAAGACAAAAATCACATGATTACCTCAACAGATGCAGAAAAGGCCTTTGACAAAATTAAACAACCCTCCATGCTAAAAACTCTCAATAAATTAGGTATTGATGGGACGTATCTCAAAATAATAAGAGCTATCTATGACAAACCCACAGCCAATATCGTACTGAATGGGCAAAAACTGGAAGCATTCCCTTTGAAGACTGGCACAAGACAGGGATGCCCTCTCTCACCACTCCTATTCAACATAGTGTTGGAAGTTCTGGCCAGGGCAATTAGGCAGGAGAAGGAAATAAAGGGTATTCAATTAGGAAAAGAGGAAGTCAAATTGTCCCTGTTTGCAGACGACATGATTGTATATCTAGAAAACCCCATTGTCTCAGCCCAAAATCTCCTTAAGCTGATAAGCAACTTCAGCAAAGTCTCAGGATACAAAATCAATGTACAAAAATCACAAGCATTCTTAGACACAAATAACAGACAAACAGAGAGCCAAATCATGAGTGAACTCCCATTCACAATTGCTTCAAAGAGAATAAAATACCTAGGAATCCAACTTACAAGGGATGTGAAGGACCTCTTCAAGGAGAACTACAAACCACTGCTCAAGGAAATAATAGAGGTTAAATGGAAGAACATTCCATGCTCATGGGTAGGAAGAATCAATATCTTGAAAATGGCCATACTGCCCAAGGTAATTTACAGATTCAATGTCATCCCCATCAAGCTACCAATGACTTTCTTCACAGAATTGGAAAAAACTACTTTAAAGTTCATATGGAACCAAAAAAGAGCCCGCATCACTAAGTCAATCCTAAGCCAAAAGAACAAAGCTGGAGGCATCATGCTACCTGACTTCAAACTATACTACAAGGCTACAGTAACCAAAACAGCATGGTACTGGTACCAAAACAGAGATATAGATCAATGGAACAGAACAGAGCCCTCAGAAATAACGTCACATATCTATAACTATCTGATCTTTGACAAACCTGAGAAACACAAGCAATGTGGAAAGGATTCCCTATTTAATAAATGGTGCTGGGAAAACTGGCTAACCACAGGTAGAAAGCTGAAACTGGATCCCTTCCTTACACATTATACAAAAATTAATTCAAGATGGATTAAAAACTTACATGTTAGACCTAAAACCATAAAAACCCTAGAAGAATACCTAGGCATTACCATTCAGGACATAGGCATGGACAAGGACTTCATGTCTAAAACACCAAAAGCAATGGCAACAAAAGCCAAAATTGACAAATGGGATCTAATTAAACTAAAGAGCTCCTGCACAGCAAAAGAAACTACCATCAGAGTGAACAGGCAACCTACAAAATGGGAGAAAATTTTCACAACCTACTCATCTGACAAAGGGCTAATATCCAGAATCTACAATGAACTCAAACAAATTTACAAGAAAAAACAAACAAACCCATCAAAAAGCGGGCAAAGGATATGAACAGACACTTCTCAAAAGAAGACATTTATGCAGCCAAAAAACACATGAAACAATGCTCACCATCACTGGCCATCAGAGAAATGCAAATCAAAACCACAATGAGATACCAGCTCACACTAGTTAGAATGGCAATCATTAAAAAGTCAGGAAACAACAGGTGCTGGAGAGGATGTGGAGAAATAGGAACACTTTTACACTGTTGGTGGGACTGTAAACTAGTTTAACCATTGTGGAAGTCAGTGTGGCAATTCCTCAGGGATCTAGAACTAGAAATACCATTTGACCCAGCCATCCCATTACTGGGTATATACCCAAAGGACTATAAATCATGCTGCTATAAAGACACATGCACACGTATGTTTATTGTGGCACTATTCACAATAACAAAGACTTGGAACCAACCCAAATGTCCAACAATGATAGACTGGATTAAGAAAATGTGGCACAGATACACCATGGAATACTATGCAGACATAAAAAATGATGAGTTCCTGTCCTTTGTAGGGACACGGATGAAATTGGAAATCATCATTCTCAGTAAACTATCACAAGAACAGAAAACCAAACACCACATATTCTCACTCATAGGTGGGAATTGAACAATGAGAACACATGGACACAGGAAGGGGAACATCACACTCTGGGGTCTGTTGTGGAGTGGGTGGAGGGGGTAGGGATGGCATTAGGAGATACACGTAATGCTAAATGATGAGTTAATGGGTGCAGCACACCAGCATGGCACATGTATACATATGTAACTAACCTGCACATTGTGCACACGTACCTTAAAACTTAAAGTATAATAATAATAAAATTCAAAAAATCAATAAACAGGATATTTTTCCCAGTAAAAATAAATAACTAAATAAATAAATAAAAATTAGGAATAAGTTATCTGTGAAAATGTTTTGTGATCTCACCGAATGAAACCTGGGTTTTGATTCACCAGGTTGGAGACATTGGTTCTGCAGAATCAACAAAGGGCTATTTCTGAGCCCATTAAAGCCTATAGTGAAAAATAAAATATCCGAAAATAAAAAAATAAAATAAGCTACCTGTGAAAATTCTTTGTGATATGTGGATTCGTCTCACAGATTTAAACCTTTATTTTGATAAAACATGTTGGAAACACTGTTTTTGTAGAATGTACAGAAGGACATTTCTGAGCCTATTGAGGCATATAGTGAAAGACGAAATATCCCCTGATAAAAACTACAAAGAAGCTGTCTGGGAAAATGCTTTGCAATGTGTGGATTCATCTCACAGAGTTAAACATTTGTTTTGATAAAACACGTTGGAAACACTCTTTTTGTAGAATGAATGGAGGGATATTTCTGAGCCTATTGAGGCATATAATGAAAGCCCAAATATCTCCTGATAAAAACTACAAAACAAGCTATCTGCAAAAATGCTTTGTGATGTATGGATTCATCTTACAGATTTAAACGTTTGTTTTGATTCACCAGGTTAGAAACACTCTTTTTGTGGAATCAATGAAGGGACATTTCTGCATCCATTGAGACCTGTAGTGAAAAAGTTGAATATACCATGATAAATACAACAAAAAAAGCTATCTGTCAAAATACTTTGTGATGTGTGGATTCATCTTGTCGAATGGAACCTGTGTTTTGATTTGCCAGGTTAGCAAGAAGCTTTTTGCTTAATCTGTACAGGGACATTTCTGAGTCAATTGAGACCTATAATGAATAAACAAATATCCCATGAAAAAAACTAGAAACAAGCCATATTTGAAAATGCTTCATGATGTGTGGATTCATCTCACAAACTTAAACGTTTGTTTTATTTTACAGGTTGGAGACACTCTTTTTGTAGACTTGATAAAAGGATGTTCCTCAGTTCATTGAAGTTTATAGTGAAAACAGAATATCCTGCAATAAGAACTAGAAACATGCTATGTGTGAAAATGCTTTGTGATGTGTGGATTTATCTCACAGAGTTAAATTTTGATTTTTATTCCACAGGTCGGGAAGACTTTTTTTTATAATCTGCAAAGGGACGTTTCTAAGCTTATTGAGGCCTCTAGTAAAAAAACAAATATCCCACCAGAAACACTAAAAACAAGCTATCTGTGAAAATCCTATGTGATGTGAAGATTAATCTCACAGAATTAGACTTTTTTTAAATTAAATAGGTTGGAAACACTTTTTTTATAGAATCTAGGAAGGGATATTTCTGAGGCCATTAAGGCCTGCAGTGAAAAACTGAGTATACAGTAATAAAAACTAGAAACAGGCTATCTGTGAAAATGTTTTGCAATGTGTAGATTAATCTTACAGAGTTGAACCTTTTTTATTCAAAAGGTTGGAAACACTCTGTAGAATCTAAAAAGTGTCATTTCTGAGACCGTTGAGGCCTAGAGTGAACAACCGAATTTCAGGTCACAGAAAGTAGAAAAAAACTATCTGTAAAAATGCTTTGCAATGAGTGGACTCATCTCACAGATTTAAAACTTTGTTTTGATTCAACATGTTGGAAACACTCTTTTTGTAGAACTTTTGAACAGACATTTCTAAGGCCATGGAGGCCTATAGTAAAAAACTGAATATTGCAAGAAAAAAACTAGAAACAAGCTAACTTTGAAAATGCTTTGTGATGTGAGGATCCATCTCACAGAGTTAACCCTTCAGATTTTTTATTTTTTTTCAGAGTCTCACTCTGTTGCCTAGGCCCGAGTGCAGTGATGCTGTCTCTGCTCACTGCAACCTCTGCCTCCCAGGTTCAGCCAGTCTCCTGCCTCAGCCTCCCAATTAGCTGGGACTACAGGCACCTGCCACCACACCTGGCTAATTTTTTTTTTTTTTTTGTATTTTTAGTAGAGACGAGGTTTCGCCATGCTAGCCGGGATGGTCTAGATTTCCTGGCCTCGTGATCCATCCACCTCAGCCTCCAAAAGTTCTGGGATTAAATTTTTGTTTTGATTCAACTCATTGGAAACACTTTTTTTATTTTGGTAAATTCTACGAAGGGACATTTCTGAGGCTTTAGTAGCATATAGTGAGAAACAGAATATCCCATGGTAAACACTGGAAACAAGCTATCTATGAAAATGGATTGTGATGTGTGAATTCATCTCAGAGATTTAAACCTTTGTTTTCATTCAAGAGGTTGGAAATACTCTTCTTGAACAGTCAATGAATGGAAACTTATGAATGCTTTCAGTCCTACATTGAAAAACTGAACATGCTGCAATGAAAACTAGAAACAATCTATCTGTAAATATGCTTGGTAATGTGTGGATTTGTCTCACTGAATGAAGCCTTTGTTTTGATTCACAGGGTTGAAAACACACCTTTTGTAGAATCTACAAAGGGATATTTCTGAATGCTTTGGGTCCTGCAGTGAAAAATGAAATAAAGTCTTTGTTTTGATTTACCAGATTGGAAACATCCTTTTTGTAGAATCAACATAGGGACACTTATGACTTCATTGAAGTCTATGGTGAAAAAGATGATCCCTCGTGGTAAAAACTAGAAACAAGTTATCTGTGAAAATGGTTTGCAATGTGTAAATTCATCTCACAAAACGGAACTTGTGTTTTGATTCACTGGGTTGGAAACACTCATTTTATACAGTCTACAAAGAAACATATGTGACCCCATTGTGGCATACGGTGAAAAATGAAACATCTTATTGTAAAAAGGAGAAACAAGCTATCTGTGAAAATGCTTTTTGATGTGTGGACTCCTCTCACAGAGTTAAACTTTTATTTTGATTCAACAAGTTGAAAGCCCTCATTTTGTAGAATACACAAAGGGATATTTCTGAGCCCATTGAGGCTTATGGTGAAAAACAGAATATCCCATGATAAAAACTAGAAACAAGCTATCTGTGAAAATACTCTCTGGTGTGTGGATTCATCAAACAGAGTGGAACCTGTGTTTTGATTCAGCAGCTTGGAAACACTCTTTTTGTAGGGTATACGAAGGGACATTTCTAGGCCCATTAAGGTGAATGTTGAAAAACCGAATATTCTGACATAAAAACTAGAAACAAACTATCTGTGAAATTTCTTTGTGATGTGTGGATTTATCTCAAAGAATGGAACCTGTGTTTGTATTCACCAGGTTTGAAACACTTTTTTTTGTAGAATCTGCAAATGGACATTTCTGATCCCAGTGAGTTTTATGGTGAAAAGCTGAATATCTCATGATAAAAACTAGAAACATGCTATCTGTGAAAATACATTGTGAGGTGTGGATTTATTTCACATAATGGAATCTGTGTTTTTATTCACCAGGTGGAAAACACTCTTTTTGTAGAATCTATGAAAAGGCATTTCTGAAACCATTGAGGCCTGTTGTGAAAAACTGGATATCCCATTGTAAAAGGGAGAAATAAGCTATCTGGGAAAATGCTTTGTGATGTGTGGATTCACCTCATCGAATGGAATCTGAGTTTTTATTCACCAGGTTGAAAACACACTTACTGTGGAATCTACAAAAAGACATTTCTTAGCCCATTGTGGTGTATGGTATGACATCCAATATCCCACAATGAACACTGTAAACAAGCTATCTTGAAAACACTGGTGATGTGTGGATTAATCTCACAGAATGGACACTGTGTATTGATTCACCAGTCTGGAAATACTATATTTTTAGAATCTATGAAGGGACATTTTTGAGTCCATTGAGGCCTATAGTGAAAAACAAAATGTCCCACAATATAAATTAGAAAAAGCTATGTGTAAAAGTACTTTGCAAACTGTGGATTCATCTCACAGAGTTAAATGTTTGTTTAGATTCACCAGGTTGGAGACACTGTTTTTTGTAGAATCTGTGAAGGGACATTTCTGAGCCCATTGAGGACTGTAGCAAAAAATCTAATATCCAGCGATAAAGACTAGAAACAAGCTATCTGTGCAAATGATTCATGATTTGTGGATTCATGTCACAGAATAAAATCTCTGTTTTGATTCACCAAATTGGAAACACTCTGGAGGTAGGATCTATGAAGGAACATGTCTGTGTCCATTTATGAGTATGGTGAAAAACTAAATTGTCAGCAATAAAAACTGTAGACAAGTTATCTGTGAAAATTCTTGGAGATGGCTGGGCATGGTGGCTTAAGCTGTAATCCCAGCACTTTGGGAGGCCGAGGTAGGTGGATCATGAGGTCAGGAGATCGAGAACATGCTGGCTAACACAGTGAAACCCCGTCTCTACTAAAAATTAAAAAAATTAGCCGAGCATGGTTGCAGGTGCCCATAGTCCCAGCTACTTGGGAGGCTGAGGCAGGAGAATGGCCTGAACCCAGGAGGCGGAGCTTGCAGTGAGCCAAGATTGTGCCACTGCACTCCAGCCTGGGTGACAGAGCGAGACTCCATCTCAAAAAAAAAAAAAAAGAAAGAAAATTCTTTGAGATATGTGCATTCATCCTACAGAATAAAACCTGTGTTTTAATCAAAACACAGGTTTTGATTACCAGGTTGGGAATGATCTTTTTGTGGAATGTAAAAAGGGACATTTCTGAGCCCATTGAGGTCTATGGTGAAAAACCAAATATCCTGCAATAAAAACTAGAGAAAAGCTATCTGTGAAAATGCTTTGTGATGTATAAATTTGTCTCACACAGTTAAACCTTTAATTTTATTCAAAAAGTTGAAACCACTCTTTTCGTAGAATCTATGAGGAAACATTTCTGATCCCATTGGGTCCTAGGGTGTAAAACGAAATATTCTGCATGAAAAACTAGAAACTAGCTATCTGTGTAAATGCTTTGTGATGTGTGGATTCATTTCACAGAATGAAACCTGTGTTTCTATTTCACCTTGTTGGAAATACTCTTTTTGTAGAAGCTCTGAAGGGACATTTTTGAGTCCTTTGAGGCCTCTGGTGAAAAACTGAATATCCTATGATAAAAACTACAAACAAGCTATCTGTGAAAATGATTTGTGTTGTGTGGATTCATCACCAAGAAAGAAACCTGTGTTTTATTTTTCATGTTAAAAACTCTATACTTTGTAGAATTCCCAAAAGTACAATTTCAGAGCCCATTTGTGCCTATGGTGAATAACTGAATACCCTGCAAAAAAACTAGAAGCAAGTTATCTCTGAAAATGCTTTGTGATGTGTGGATTCATCTAAGAGTATGAAACGTGTTTTTATTCACCATGCTGGAATTACTCTTTTTGTAGAATCTACAAAGAAACATTTTTGAGCTAATTGAAGCATATGGTGAAAAACAGAATATCCCACGATAAAATCTAGAAACACACTATCTGAGAAAATGCTTTGTGATGTGTGGATTCATCTCCCAGGAAGAAACCTGTGCTTATATTCAACATATTGAAAACTCTCTTTTGAAGAAGCTACGAAGGGACGTTCCAGAGCCCACTGAGGCCTATAATGAAAAACATAATATCCAGTGAAGAAAAACTAGCAACAAGCTATCTGGTAAAATGCTTTCTAATGCGAGGATTTATTTCACAGAATGAAACCTGTGTTTTCATTCATCAGGTTGGAAACGCTATTTTTGTAGAATCCAAGTGGGAACATTTTTGAGTCTATTAAAGTGATGGTGAAAAATTGAATATCTTGTGATGAAAACTAGAAAGACCTATCTGCAAAAATGCTTTGTGATGTGTGGGTTTATCTCACCGAATGGAACCTGTGTTTTGATTCATCAAACTGGAAATATTCTTTTTTTGTTTCGTTTTTAAAAATTATGAAGGAATATTTGTGAGCCCATTGAGGCTTATGTTGAAAAACCAAATGTCCCGTGATATACACCAGAAACAAGCTACCTGTGAAAATGCTTTCTGTTGGTTGGATTCATCTCACAGAATGCAAACTGTATTTTTTTTCACCAAGTGGAAAAACTTTTTGAAGAATCTTGAAAAGGACTTTTCTGAGCTGATTTAGGCCTGTGGTGATAAACAGAATATTCCGTGATAAAAACTAGGAAGAACCTATCTGTGAAAATAGTTTGTGATGCATCTATTCATCTCACAGAATGAAAGCTGCCTTTTGATTCAACAGGTATGAAAAAATCTTTTTGTAGAATCTATGAAGAAACTTTTCTTAGCGCATTGAGGCATATGATTAAAAACCGAATATACCACAATAAAGACTATACACAAGATATCTGTGAAAATGCTTTGTCATGTGGGGACTAATCTCACAGAACAGATCCTGTGTTTTGATTCAACAGATTGGAAACACTTTTTTTGTAGAATCTATGCAGTGACATTTCTGAGCCCAATGAGGCCTGTGTTGAAAAAACAAATATCTCACAAAAGTAATAGTAACAAGCTATCTGTGAAAATGCTTTGTGATGTGTGCATTCATCTCATAGAATGGAACATGTGTTTTGATTAACCAGGTTGGAAACTCCTTTATGTAGAATTTAGAAGCTACATTTCTGAGCCCATTGAGACCTGTTGTAGAATATTGAATATCCCGTGATAAAATGTAAAAACAAGCTGTTTTTGTAAATGCTTAATGATATGTGGATTTCTCTCACAGATTGAAACCTGTGTTTTTATTCACCACATTGGAAACACTCTTGTTGTAGAATCTATGAAGGGGCATGTCTAAGCCCATTTATGACTATGGTGAGAAACTGAATATCCCTTGATAAAAACTAGAAACAACCTCTCTGCGAAACTGCTTTGCAATGTGTGGATTCATCTCAGAGAGTTACACTTTTGGGTTGATTCAACAGCTTAGAAACAGTTTTTTGGTAGAATCTATGAAGGGACATTTGTGAGCCCACTGGGACCTATGGTGAAAAATGGATTATCCTGCAACAAAAACTACAAACAATCTGTGAAAATGCTTTGTGATGTGTGGATTCATCTCAAAAAAATGGAACCTGTGTTTTGATTCACCAGGTAAAAACTCTCTTGTTGTAGAATCTATGAAGAAACATTTCTGAGACCTGTCATTTAACAAAAAATATCCTGCAACAAAAACTAGAAACAAGCTACCTGTGAAAATGCTTTGTGATGCAGGGATTCATCTCACAAAATGAAACCTGTGTTTTTATTCACCATGTTGGGAAAACTATTTTTGTAGAGTCTACAAAGGGATATTTTTGAGCTGTCATAGGCGTACACTAAAAAACTAAATATGCCATGATTAAAACTAAAAACAAGCTATCTGTGATAACGCTTTGTGATGTGTGGATTTATTTCCCACAAAGGAGCCTGTATTTTATCTACCATGTTGAAAACTCCTTTTTCAAATAAACTATGAAGAAACATTTCAGAGCCCATTGAGATCTATGGTGAAAACCATAATATCCCATAAAAAAACCACAAACAAGCTATCTGTGGAAATGCTTTGTGATGTGTAGATTTATCTCACAGAATGAAACCCCTGTTTTGATTAACCTAATTGCAAACACTCTTTTTTTACCATCTATAAAGAGCTATGTCTGAGCCTATTTATAAGTATGAAAAGAAACCGAACTTCCCACAATAAAAACTAGAAACAAACTTTCTGTGAAAATGCTTTTAAATGAGTGGATTTATCTCACAGAAGGGAACTTGTGTTTTGATACACCACGTAGGAAACACTCTAATGTTGAATCCATGAAAAGACATTTCTGAGCTTATTGAGGTCTATGGTGAAAAACTCAATATTTTGTGATAAAAACTAGAAACAAGCTATCTGTGAAAATGCTTTCCAATGTGTGGATTCATCTCACACAGTTAAACCTTTGCTTTTATTCAACTGTTGGAAACACTCTTTTAGTAGAAGCTACAAAGGGACATTTTTGAGCCCACCGAGGCCTATGGTAATAAATGGAATATCCTGCAATAAAAACTAGAAACGAGCTATTTGTGAAAATGTTTTCTGATGTGGGAATTCATCTCAAAGAATGAAATCATATTGTCATTCACCAAGTGGAAACGCTTTTGTTGTAGATTATATCAAGGGACATTTCTGAGCCCATCGTGATCTATTGTTTAAAAATGAATATTTCAGAATAAAAACCAAAAACAAGCTATCAGTGAAAATGCTTTGTGATATGTGGATTCACCTAACAGAATAGAACCTGTGTTTTGATACACCAGGTTGAAACCACTGTTTTTGTAGAATCTACAAAGGAACATTACTTAGCCTACTGAGGCGTACAGTGAAAAACCGAATATCCTGTGATAAAAACTAGAAACAAGCTATAGATGAAAGTGATTTGGGATGTGTGGATTGATCTCAGATAGTTAAACCTGTGTTTCAATTCACCAGGTTGAAAGACTCTTTTTGTAAAATTGACGATAGGACATTTCTGAGCCCAATGAGGCCTTTGGTGAAAAACGAAGTATCCCACATTATAAACTAGAAACAAGCTGTCTGTGAAAATGCTTTCTGATGTATGGATTCACCTCACATAATGGAACTTTTATTTTGATTCAGCATGTTGGAAACCCTTTTTTTGTAGAATCTATAAAGGGACATTTCTTAGCCTATTGAGGACTATAGTGAAAAACTGAATATCTTGCTATAAAAACTAGAAACAAGCTATCTGTGAAAATGCTTTGTGATGTGTGGATTCATCACACAGAGTTAAACCTTTGTTTCAATTCAGCAGGTTGAAAATACTCTTTTTGTGGAATCTACAAAAGGACATTTCTGACCCCATTGAAGCCTATGTTGGAAAAATGAATATCCCACAGCAAAAACTAGGAACAATCTATATGTGAAAATACTTTGTGATGTGTGAATGCAGCTCACAGAGTTAAACCTTTGTTTTGATTCACTACGTTGGAAACACTCTTTCTGTAGAATCTTCGAAGGGATATTACTGATCCCTTTGAGAACTATAGTAAAAAACTGAATACATCGCTATTAAAACCAGAAACAAGCTATCTGTAAAAACGCTTTATGATGTGTGGATTCGTCTCAGATTTAAACGTTTGCTTTGATTCAACAGGTTGGAGACACTTTTTTAATAGTATATCTGAAGGGACGTTTCTGAAGCCATTGAGGCCTATAATGAAAAACGGAATATCCCTCCATAAAACTTACAGACAAGCAATTTGTGAAAATGCTTTGTGATGTGTGGATTTATCTTACTGAATGGAACCTCTATTTTAATTCACCAGGTTGGAAACACTCTTTTTGTAGAATCTGCAAAGTGAAATTTCTGAGTTCATTGAGTCTTATAGTGAAAAATGAAATACACTGCGATAAAAACTAGAAACAAGCTATATTCAAAAATGCTTTGAGATGTGTGGATTCATCTCACACAGTTAAATCTTTGTTTTCATTCAACACTTTGGAAACCCTCTTTTTGTAGAATCTATGAAGGGACATTTCTGATTCCATTGAGGCCTATAGTGAAAAACTAATTAACCCACAATAAAAGCTGTAAAAAAGGTCTCTGTGAAAATGCTTTGCAATGTGTGGATGCATCCCACAGAATTAAGCCTTTGTTTTGATTCAACAGGTTGGAAATACTCTTTCTGATAGCTTGTTTCTACAAAAAGAGTGTTTTTATCCTGTTGAATCAAAGCAAATCTTTAACCCTCTGAGGAATCCACACATCACAAAGCATTTTGACAGACTTTTTTTAAGTTTTCATTGCGAAATATTCAGATTTTCACTCTAGACCACAATGGGTTCAGTAGTATTTCTTTGTAGATTGTAAAAAGAATGTTTTCAATTTGTTGAATCAAAACCAAGGTTTAACTCTGTGAGATGAAATACACATCATAAAGCATTTTCACAGATAACTTGTTTCTAGTTTTAATCTTGGAGTATTCTATTCTTCCTTATAGGTGTCTCTATCATTAGACAGCATGGGGTGGGCCAGGAGTCTCTACCATTAGAATGCCTGCTGTAGTCCAGATGTCTCCATCATCAGAATGCCTGGAATCAGCCAGGTGTCTCTATCATGAGAATGCTTGTGTTGTCTGAAAGTCTCTTCCATTAAAATGCCTGGAGTCACCTTGGTGTCATTATCATTAGAATGCCTGGTGTCGGCCAGGTGTCTCTCCCATTAGAATGCCTGAAGATGTGAATGTGTCTCTATCATTAGGATGCCTGGGGTTGGCCAAGAGACACTTTCATTAAAATCCCTGGGTCTTCCAGGTGTCTTCATCATTAGACTCCCTGGGTTCATTCGGGAGTCTCTTTCATTAGAATACCTGGGGTGGCCAAGCTGTCTCTATCATTAGACTGCCTAAGGTAGGCTGAGAGTCTCTTTTACTAGAATGTCAGGGGTCACCCAGGTGTCTATGTAATTAGACTGCCTGAGGTCTAGCAGGAAGCTATCCCATTTGAGTGCCTGGGGTTGCATATGTGTCTCTACAATTAGACTGCCTAAGCACCGCCAAAAATCTCTCCTATTAGAATGTCTGGGGTCACCCAGAAGACTGTACTATTAGATGGCCTGGGGATGGTCGGGTTTCTCTCCCATTAAGATGGCTGTGTTTGCCCAGGTGTCGCTATCATTAGGCTGCATGGGGTAAGCTGGGAGTTTCTTTTATTAGAATGTCTGGGGTCGCCCAGGTGTCTCTATCATTTGACTGTCTGTTGTCAGCCAGGATTCTCTCCCATTAGAATGCCGAGGGTCAGCTGGGATTCTCTTTATTTAGAATGCCTGTGGTTCCCGAGGTTTCTCTATTATTAGACTGCCTAGGGTGTTGCAGGAGTTTCTCCCATTACAATGCCCGGCGTCACTCAGGTGTTTCTATAGTTAGACTGCCCGGGCTCAGCCAGAAGTCTCTCCCATTGAAATGCCTGGGTTTGCCTGGGTGTCTTTACCCTTAGTCTGCCTGGTGTCAGCCAGGAGTCTCTCCCATTAGAATGCCTAGGTACAACCAGATGTTGCTATAATTAGACTGCCCAGGCTTGGCCTAAAGTTTCTCCCATTAGGATGCCTGGGTTCATCCAGGTGTCTCTATTCTTAGAATGCCTGAGGTCTGCCAGGAGTCCTTCCTATTAGAATGCCTGGGTTTGCCGAGGTGTCTCTATAAATAAACTGCCTGGTGTTGAGCAGGAGTCTCTATTTTTAGAATGCCTAAGGTTCCCCAGGTTTCTCTACTCTTAGAATGCCTAAGGTCGGCCAGGAGTCTCTCCCATTAGAATGCCCAGGATCACCAGTTGTTTCTATTATTAGAATGACTGGGTTCGCTCAGGTGTCTCTATAATGGGAATGCCTGAGTTGGCCGGGAATCTCTCCCATTAAAATGCCTGGGAACGCCCCTATGTCTGTATTATTAGAATGCCAGGGGTCAGTCAGGCGTCTCTGTCATTAGAATGCCTGGGGTCACCCAGGTGTCTCTATTTTTAGACTGACTGGTGTCAGTTGGGAGTTTCTCCCATTAGAATGACTGAGGTCACCCAGATGTCTTTATCATTCTAATGCCTGGGTTTGGCCAGGGGTCTCTATCATGAGAATGCCTGGGTTGGCCAGGAGTCTCTCCCATTAAAATGCCTGGGGTCACCAAGGTATTTCTATTATTTGAATGCCTGGTGTCGGCCTGGAGTCCCTTTTATTAGAATGCCTGGGGACTCCCTTGTGTCTCTATCATTAGAATGCCTGGGGTCTGCCAGGAGTCTCTCCCATTAGAATGCTTTGGTTCGCCTGATGTCTTTATCATCAAACCAACTGGGGTTTGTGGGGTGTCTCTACCATTAGAAAGTTTGGGTTCACCCAGGGTGTCTCTATCATTAGACTGCCTGGGGTCAGTCAGGAGTCTCTCCTATTAGAAGGCCTGGGGTCGTTCAGGTGTCTCTACAATTAAACTGCATGGGGTTGGGCAGGAGTCTCTCCCATTAGAATGCCTGGAGTCACCCAGGTGTCTCTATCCTTAGACTGTCTGGGGTCGGAGGGAGTCTCTTCTATTAGAATGCCTGGAGTCGCCCAGTTCTCTCTTTAATTGGACTGCTTATGGTCATCTAGGAGTTTCTTCCATTAAAATGCCTGGGGTGGCCCAGATATCTCTATCATTAGACTGCCTCTGTTCAGCCAGGTGTCTCTCCCATTAGAATACCTGGAGATGGACAAAAGTGTCTCCCTTTAGAATGCCTTCAGTCACCCAGTTATTTTTATCATTACTCTGCGTGTGGTCTGCCGGGAGTCTCTCAAATTTGAATGCCTAAGATCATTCTGGTGTCTCTATAATTAGACTGCCTGGGGTCAACCAGGAATCTCTCCCATTAGAATGCCTGGGGTGAGCCAGGAATCTCTCCCTTTAAAATGCCTGGGGTCCCCCATGTTTCTCTAACATTGGAATGCCTGTGGTCAGCCGAGTGTTTCTCCCATTAGAATGCCTGGGGTCACCCAGGTGTCTCTAACATTAGATTGTCTGGGGTTTGCCAGGAGTGTCTCCATTATAATGCCTGGCATCGGCCTGGAATCTCTCCCATTAGAATGCTTAGGTTCTCCCAGATGTCTGTATCATTAGAATGCCTGGGGTCTTTCAGGAATCTCTCTTAATAGAATGCCTGGGGTTGCCCAGGTGTCTCTATCATTAGACTGCCTTGGTTCAGCCAGGAGCCTCTCACATTAAAATGCCTGTGGATGCCCAGGTGTCTCTGTAATTAGAATTATTTGGGTCATCTGGGAGTCTCTCTCATTGCAATGCCTAATGTCTCTATCATTAGACTGCCTGGGGTAGACCGGAATCTCTGACATTAAAATGCCTGAGGTTGCCCAGGTTTCTCTATCATTAGACTTCCTGGGATGGTCCAGGAGTCTCTTCATTAGAATTCCTGGGGTTGGCAGTGAGTCTCTCCCATCAGAATGCCCAGGTGTCTCTATTTTTAGACTGCCTGGCATTGGCCAAAAGTTTCTCTTATTAGAATGTCTGGGGTCAGTTGGAAATCTCTCCAATTAAAAGGCCTGGAACCACCCAGGTTTCTTTATCATTAGAATGCCCTGTGTCAGCCAGGAGTGTTTCCCATTAGAATGCCTAAGGTCTCCCAGATGTCTCTATAATTAGACTGCCTTGTGTCAGGAAAAAATTCTAATGGGAGTCCTTCCCATTAGAATGCCTGGGGTCACTCAGATGTCTCTATTCTTAGAGTGCCTGGGGTTGGCCAGGAGTCTCTCCCATTAGAATGCCTGGGGACAGCCTGGAATCTCTCCCATTAAAATGCCAGGGGTCACCCAGGTGTCTTTATCATTAGAATTCCCAGAGTTTCCCAGGTGTCTCTACCATAATAATGCTTAAGATCAGCTGAGAGCCACTCCCATTAGAATGCCTGGAGTCCCCCGTGTGTCTTTATTATTAGACCACCTGGGGCAACCAGAATGCTCTTCCATTATAATGGCTGGGGTCGCCAAGGTGTCTCTATCATTAGTATGCCCGGGGTCGGCCGAGAGTCTCACCCATTATAATGCCTGGGATTGCTCAGGTGTCTCTATTATGAGATTGGCTGGGTTCAGCTAGGAGTCTCTCCCATTAGAATGCCTGGGGTCACTGAGGTGTCTCTATTATTAGACTGCATGGGGTTGGCCGGGAGTCTCTCCCATTAAAATGCCTAAGGTCTCCCAAATGTCTCTATAATTAGACTGCCTTGTGTCAGCCAGGAATCTCTCCCAATAGAATGCCTGAGGTTGCTCAGTTGTCTCAATCCTTAGAGTGCTTGGGGTTGGCCAGGAGTGTCTCCCATTAGAATGCCTGGGACAGCCGGGAGTCTGTCCCACTAAAATGCCAGGGATCACACAGGGGTCTCTATCATTAGAATTCCTGGAGTTGCCCAGGTGTCTCTACTATAAGAATGCTTAAGGTTGGCTGAGAGCCACTCCCATTAGAATGCCTGGAGTCGCCCAGGTGTCTTTATTATTAGACAGCCTGGGGTTGGCTGGGAGTCTCTTCCATTATAATGCCTAGGGTCACACAGTTGTCTCTATCATTAGTATGCCTGTGGTCAGCCAAGAATCTCACCCACTAGAATGCCTGGGATCACTCGGATGTCTCTATTATTAGATTGCCTGGGTTTAGCTAGGAGTCTCTCCCATTAGAATGCCTGGGGTCTCCCATGTGTCTCTATTATTAGACTGCTTGGGGTCAGCCAGGAGTGACTTACATTAGAATTCTTACGCTAGAATTCCTGGTGTTGGTCTGGAGTCCTCTCATTAATATGACTGGAGTCATCCAGTTGTCTCTATCATTAGTGTTATAAGTAAAATATTTATTCAGAAATAGAATGCTTGTTAGTAGGAACTGCAAGGAAAAAAATAGCATTTAGACAATTTTCTCAGCAAGCCAATTTTACTTTTTGCAGAAAGGGTGCTCCTCGCAGATGGAACAATGGCAAGAGCACACCTGAACAAAGGAGGGAAGCAACTTTTATCCCTTACACAGCTTGTCCCTGCTAATGTGTCCTGTCTCCATTGGCTGAAGCCGGACCACACACTCTAAGCTAACCTGACTGGCTAATAATTTAATACTTTCCTAACTATGTAAAGGCAAGGGAGAACAAAGGAAAAGAGGAAGTTAGTTATGCCAAATAGAGAAGGGGCATAGGCTGCGAGCTGGGATGTGCCTGTGAGCATGCCCAGCACAAATATCTTGGTTAAAGTACAAGGACATAGAATGTACTCATTCTCTGACATCTAACAGCTACATAGGGTAGGGCTTAACAAAGAATTTTTTGCACAAAATGACGAGGCTTGAAGGAAGTTAGTCTTATTTATATATATAATATATATAAATATATATAATACTTTAGTATATATAATACTTTAATATATATACTTTATATATATACTTTATATATATACTTTATATATACTTTATATATATAAAGTATTATATATACTTTAGTATATTTTATATATATTATATATAGTATATATAATACTTTATATATACTATATACACTTTAGTATATATAATACTTTAAGTTCTGGGGTACATGTGCACAAAGTGCAGGTTTGTTACATATGTATGCATGTGCCATGTTTGTGTGCTGCACCCATTAACTCAACATTTACATTAGGTATATCTCCTAATGCTATCCCTTCCCCCTCCCCCCACCCAAAGACAGGACCAGTGTGTGATGTTCCACTTCCTGTGTCAAAGTGTTCTCATTTTTCAATTCCCACCTATAAGTGAGAACATGTGGTGCTTGGTTTTTTGTCCTTGCGAAAGTTTGCTGAGAATGATGGTTTCTAGTTTCATCCATGTCCCTACAAAGGACATGAACTCATCCTTTTTTATGGCTGCATAGTATTCCATGGTGTATATGTGCTACATTTTCTTAATCCAGTCTATCATTGTTGGACATTTGGGTTGGTTCCAAGTCTTTGCTATTGTGAATAGTGCTGCAATAAACATACGTGTGCATGTGTTTATAGCAGCATGATTTAAATTCCTTTGGGTATATACCCAGTAATGGGATGGCTGGGTCAAGTGTATTTCTAGTTCTAGATCCCTGAGGAATCGCCACACTGACTTCCACAATGGTTGAACTAGTTTACAGTCCCACCAAGAGTGTAAAACATTCCTATTTCTCCACATCCTCTCCAGCACCTGTTGTTTCCTAACTTTTTAATGATTGCCATTTTAACTGGTGTGAGATGATATCTCATAGTGGTTTTAATTTGCATTTCTCTGATGGCCAGTGATGATGAGCATATTTTTCATGTGTCTGTTGGCTGCGTAAATGTCTTCTTTTGAGAAGTGCCTGATCATATTCTTATCCCACTTTTTGATGAGGTTGTTTGTTTTTTTCTTGTAAATTTGTTTGAGTTCTTCATAGATTCTGGATATTAGCCCTTTGTCAGATGAGGAGATTGCAAAAATTTTCTCCCATTCTGTAGGTTGCCTGTTCTCTCTGATGGTAGTTTGTTTTGCTGTGCAGAAGCTCTTTAGTTTAATTAGATCTGGTTTGTCAATTTTGGCTTTTGTTTCCACTGCTTATGATGTTTTAGACATGAAGTCCTTGCCCATGCCTATGTGCTGAATGATATTGCTTAGGTTTTCTTCTAGGGTTTTGATGGTTTTAGGTCTAACAATTAAGTCTTTAATCCATCTTCAATTAATTTTTGTATAAGGTGTAAGGAAGGGATCCAGTTTCAGCTTTCTACATATGGCTAGCCTGTTTTCCCAGCACTATTTGTTAAATAGGGAATCCTTTCCCTATTTCTTGGTTTTGTCAGCTATGCCAAAGATCAGATAGTTGTAGATATGGGACATTATTTCTGAGGGCTCTGTTCTGTTCCATTGGTCTATATCTCTGTTTTGGTACCAGTACAACACTGTTTTGGTTACTGTAGCCTTGTAGTATAGTTTGAAGTCAGGTAACGTGATGCCTCCAGCTTTGTTCTTTTGGCTTAGGATTGACTTGGCAATGTGAGCTCTTCTTTGGTTCCATATGAATTTTAAAGTAGTTTTTTTTCAATTCTGTGAAGAAAGTCAGTGGTAGCTTGATGGGGATGACATTGAATCTATAAATTACCTTGGGAAGTATGGCCATCTTCAAGATATTGATTCTCCCTATCCATGAGCAGAGAATGTTCTTCCATTTGTTTGTGTCCTCTTTTATTTCTTTGAGCAGTGGTTTGTAGATCTCCTTGAAGAGGTCCTTCACATCCCTTGTAAGTTGGATTCCTAGGTATTTTATTCTGTTTGTAGCAATTGTGAATGGGAGTTCACTCATGATTTGGCTCTCTGTTTGTCTGTTTTTGGTGTATAAGAAGGCTTGTGATTTTTGTACATTGATTTTGTATCCTGAGACTTTGCTGAAGTTGCTTATCAGCTTAAGGAGATTTTGGGCTGAGACAATGGGGTTTTCTAGATATACTATCAGGTCATCTGCAAACAGGGACAATTTGACTTCCTCTTTTCCTAATTGAATACCCTTTATTTCCTTCTCCTGCCTGATTGCCCTGGCCAGAACTTCCAACACTATGTTGAATAGGAGTGGTGAGAGAGGGCATCCCTGTCTTGTGCCAGTTTTCAAAGGGAATGCTTCCAGTTTTTGCCCATTCAGTATGATATTGGCTGTGGGTTTGTCATAAATAGCTCTTATTATTTTGAGATATGTCCCATCAATACCTAATTTATTGAGAGTTTTTAGCATGCAGGGTTGTTGAATTTTGTCAAAGGCCTTTTCTGCATCTATTGAGAAAATCATGTTTTTTGTCTGGTTCTGTTTATATGCTGAATTACGTTTATTGATTTGTGTATGTTGAACCAGCCTTGCATCCCAGGGATGAAGCCCACTTGATCATTGTGGATGAGCTTTTTGATGTCCTGCTGGATTTTGTGTGCCAGTATTTTATTGAGGATTTTTGCATCAATGTTCATAATGGATATTGGTCTAAAATTCTCTTTTGTGTGTGTGTGTCTGTGCCAGGCTTTGGTATCAGGATGATTTTGGCCTCATAAAATGAATTAGGGAGGATTCCCTCTGTTTCTATTGATTGGAATAGTTTCAGAAGGAATGGTACCAGCTCCTCCTTGTACCTCTAGTAGAATTCAGCTGTGAATCCGTCTGGTCCCGGACTTCTTTTGGTTGGTAAGCTACAAATTTTTGCTTGAATATCAGATCCTGTTATTGGTCTGTTCAGAGATTCAACTTCCTCCTGGTTTATGTGGGTGGAGGGGTGTATGTGTCCAGGAATTTATCCATTTCTTCCAGATTTTCTAGTTTATTTGCATAGAGGTGTTTATAGTATTCTTTGATGGTAGTTTGTATTTCTGTGGGATTCGTGGTGATGTCCCCTTTATCATTTTTTATTGCATCTGTTTGATTCTTCTCTCTTTCCTTCTTCATTAGCCTTGCTAGAGGTCTATCAATTTTGTTGATCTTTTCAAAAAACCAGCTCCTGGATTCATTGATTTTTTGAAGGGTTTTTTGTTTGTTCATTGATTGTTTGAAGGGTTTTCTCTATTTCCTTCAGTTTTGCTCTGATCTTATTGAATTCTTGCCTTCTGCTAGCTTTTGAATGTATTTGCTCTTGCTTCTCTAATTCTTTCAATTATGATGTTAGGGTGTCAATTTTAGATCTTTCCTACTTTCCCTTGTGGGCATTTAGTGCTATAAGTTTCCCTCTACACACTGATTTAAATGTGTCCCAGAGATTCTGATGTGTTGTATCTTTGTTCTCATTGGTTTCAAAGAACATCTTTATTTCTGCCTTCATTTCGTTATGTACCCACTAGTCATCCAGGAGCAGGTTGTTCAGTTTCCATGTAGTTGAGCAGTTTTGAGTGAGTTTCTTAATCCTGAGTTTTGGTTTATTCACACTGTGGTCTGAAAGACAGTTTGTTTTAATTTCTGTTCTTTTACTTTTGCTGAGGAGTGCTTTACTTCCAACTATGTGGTCAATTTTGGAATAAATGCAGTGTGGTGCTGAGAAGAATGTATATTCTGTTGATTTGTGGTGGAGAGCTCTGTAGATGTCTATTAGGTCCGCTTGGTGCAGAGCTGAGTTCAATTCCTGGATATCCTTGTTAACTTTCTGCTTGTTGATCTGTCTAATGTTGGCAGTGGGGTTTTAAAGTCTCCCATTATTATGTGTGGGAGTCTAAGTCTCTTTGTAGGTCTCTGAGGACTTGCTTTATGAATCTGGGTGCTCCTGTATTGGGTGCATATATATTTAGGATAGGTAGCTCTTCTTGTTGAATTGATCCTTTTACAATCATGCAATGGCCTTCTTTGTCTCTTTTGATTTTTGTTGGTTTAAAGTGTCTTTTATCAGAAACTACGTTTGCAACCCTGCCTTTTTTTGTTTTCCATTTTCTTGGTAGATCTTCCTCCATCCCTTTATTTTGAGCCTATATGTGTCTCTGCACGTGAGATGGGTTTCCTGAATACAACACACTGATGGGTCTTGAGTCTTTATCCAATTTGCCAGTCTGTGTCTTTTAATTGGACCATTTAGCCCATTTACATTTAAGGTTAATATTGCTATGTGTGAATTTGATCCTGTCATTATGATGTTAGCTGGTTATTTTGATCATTAGTTGATGCAGTTTCTTCCTAGCCTTGATGTAAAGGCATGTAAACATGCCTTTACAATTTGGCATGTTTTTGCAGTGGCTGGTACCAGTTGTTCCTTTCCATGTTTAGTGCTTCTTTCAGGAGCTCTTGTAGGGCAGGCCTGGCAGTGACAAAATCTCTCAGCATTTGCTTGTCTGTAAAGGATTTTATTTCTCCTTTACTTATGAAGTTTCTTTTGGCTGGATATGAAATTCTGTGTTGAAAATTCTTTTCTTTAAGAATGTTGAATGTCAGCCCACACTGTCTTCTGGCTTGTAGAGTTTGTGCCAAGATATCAGCTGTTAGTCTGATAGGCTTGCCTTTGTGGGTAACCCAACCTTTCTCTCTGGCTGCCCTTAACATTTTTTCCTTCATTTCAACTTTGATGAATCTGACAATTATGTGTCTTGGAGTTGCTCTTCTCGAGGAGTATCTTTGTGGCATTCTCTGTATTTCCTGAATTTGAATGTTGGCCTGCCTTGCTAGGTTGTGGAAGTTCTCCTGGGTAATATCGTGCAGAGTGTTTTCCAACTTGATTCCATTCTCCCTGTCACTTTCAGGTACACCAATTAGATGTAGATTTGGTCTTTTCACATAGTCCCACATTTCCTGCAGGCTTTGTTGGTTTCTTTTTATTCTTTTTTCTCTAAAATTCTTTTCTCACTTCATTTCATTCATTTGATCTTCCATCACTGATACCCTTTCTTCCAGTTGATCAAATCAGCTACTGAAGCTTGTACTTTCATCACATGGTTCTCATTCCATGGTTTTCAGCTCCATCAGGTCCTTTAAGGATTTCTCTGCATTGGTTATTCTAGTTATCTATTCATCTAAATTTTTTTCAAGGTTTTTAACTTCTTTGCCATGGGTTTGAACTTCCTCCTTTAGCTCAGAGAAGTTTGATCATCTGAAGCCTTCTTTGCTCATCTCGTCAAAGTCATTCTCCATCCAACTTTATTCCATTGCTGGTGAGGAGCTGTGTTCCTTTGGAGAAGGAGAGGTGCTCTGATTTTTAGAATTTTCAGTTTTTCTGTTCTGTTTTTTTTCCCATCTTTGTTGTTTTATCTACCTTTTCTCTTTGCTGATGGTGACGTACAGATGGGATTTTGATGTGGATGTCCTTTCTGTGTCTTAGTTTTCCTTCTAACAGCCAGGACCCTCAGCTGCAGGTCTGTTGGAGTTTGCTGGAGTTCCACTCCAGACCCTGTTTGCCTGAGTATCAGCAGCAGAGACTGCAGAACAGCAAATATTGCTGAACAGCAAATGTTGCTGTCTGATTATTCCTCAGGAGGTTTCATCTCAGAGGGGTACCTGGCCATGTAAGGTGTCTGTCTGCCCCTACTGATGGATGCCTCCCAGATAGGCTACTCAGGGGTCAGGGATCCATTTGAGGAGGGAGTCTGTCTTTTCTCAGATCTCAAACTCCTTGCTAGGAGATCCACTACCCTCTTCAAAGCTGTCAGACAGGGACATTTAAGTCTACAGAGGTTTCTGCTGCCTTTGTTCAGTTATGTCCTGCCCCCAGAGGTGGAGTCTACAGAGGCAGGCAGGCCTCCTTGAGCTGCCATGGGATCCACCCAGTTCGAACTTCGCAGCCACTTTTTTTACCTACTCAAGCCTCAGCAATGGCTGGTACCACTCCCCCAGCCTCACTGCTACCTTGCAGTTCAATCTCAGACTGCTGTGCTAGCAATGAGTGAGGCTCAGTGGGTGTGGGACCCTCTGAGCCAGGCATGGGATATAATCTCCTGCTGTGCCATTTGCTAAGACCACTGGAAAACTGCAGTATTATGGTGGGAGTGACCCAATTTTCCATGTGCCATCTGTCACAGCTTTGCTTGGCTAGGAAATGGAATCCCCTGACCCCTTGCTCTTCCTGGGTGAGGTGATGCCTCACCCTGCTTCAGCTCATGTTCAGTGCACTACACCCACTTTCCTGCACCTACTGTCCAACAAGCCCCAGTGAGATGAACCTGGTACCTTAGTTGGAAATGCAGAAATCACCCGTCTTCTGCGTTGCTCATGCTGGGAGATGTAGACTGGAGCTGTTCCTATTCGGCCATCTTGGAAATGCCCTGAAGGGATTTAGTCTTTAAAAGAAACTATTATTTCTAGCACTTATGATTTATTATTTAACAAGAAGGAAAACTTTAAGAGGAACCTTTTTACTTTCTACAATTTCCCCCTTTTGATTGTATAGTTTTCATCTTCAAACTGTCTTAATAATTCTTGGCTTAGTTGTTTTGATTAACTCCTGGGTGTATGGTATAACACAACACCTAAGAAGAAGGAGTAAACTTATTATAGTTGTTAAAGAGGTAAGAATTGAGGCTACAGTTTTTTTATTCTTTTTCTGGTTGATGAAATGCCAGGGTCTTGGAAGGCCTGCTTGAGGAAATTCAACATGGATTTCTGAAGTGCTGCTCATTGTGGAATACACTGGACTCCAGGATGGGGACCAGGGCTGGGACCGGGACTGGGACTGGGGCTGGGGCCAGAAGAGATGTTAGTGCTACTGGGACCTGATGCCCTTAATTCAACATCCAGCCTGTGCTCCACAGAGATGGATGAGCCTGAACTCCTTTAAATAGTCACATCTGCAACATCCATATCAGTTTCCATTTCTTCTCCTTCTGGTCTTTCCCTTGCTATATATTAAATGTTTGAGTAAGCTCCTCGTTTTGGGGTATGGATTGTTTAATCTCCTTTATTATCAATTTTCTAAGGTAGATACTCTGGATCCTACCTCTTTCTTCCCTCAAGGAGAGAAGAACGGGAAGTTCTGAATATCTTTCCTACTACTGGAGGTGTGTGTAAGTCTCAATCTCCTCCCCAATAGGGACTTCTCACCTCTCTTTATGAACTTCCAAGACATCATGACTAAGGAACACTTCCCTGCGCCCCATGGATTTTCTTTTCTTAGTCATAAGGAATGCCTTACCACCCCTGCAGCTTCTCTTTCCTTGATATGTCCTAACCAAGGAATGCTTCATCACCTCATGGTTTTTCTTTCCTTAGTCCCAACCACCAAGGACATACTTTACTGGCTCCTCCAGTGTTTCCTTCCTTGTCTCATGCATGAGGTTACCTGGTCCAGTTGGTATGTGAGGATCCTTTACTTCAGATCATTGGCCGGTTTCTTTCTGCATTGCTGAGAGTTCAGGTTTATTTGTCACACCCAGTGGTTCTCAATTCCTTAACCCTGAGGCCACTGCAATGAGGCAATGGGGTGCCTCCTCATGAGAGAGGACCAGAGACCTCTCTGAGAGGAGAATGTATCCTTATACAGGCCACCATTTTTTTATAAGTACAATGTCTATTTAGAAACAGAATGCTTGTTTATTGGTACCACAAGGGAAAATTAACATTCAGACAAAAAGTTTTCTCAGCAAGGCAGTTTTACTTTCTGTAGAAAGGATGCTCTCACCATTTTTCCATCTGCAAGGAGCACCCTTTCTGCAGAAAGTAAAATTACCTTACTGAGAAAACTTTTTGTCTGTTAATTTTCTTTGTAGTCCCAAGAAACAAGCATTCTGTTTCTAAATAAACATTTTACCTATAAGAATTAGAATGCCTGGGGGCAGCCAGGAGTCTTTCCCATTAGAAGGCCTGTGATCACCCAGGTGTCTCTACTGTTAGACTGCCTGGGGTTGGCCAGTCGTCTCTGCCATTAGAATGCCTGCTGTCACCCAGGTGTCTGTATCTTTAGACTGCCTGGGGTTGGCAGGGAGGCTCACCCATTGAAATGCCTACTGTCTCTATCAATAGAATGCCTTGGGTCAGCCAGGTGTCTCTCCACAGAATGCCTGGCATTGCCCAGTTGTCTCTGTTATTAGCCTGTGTTTGGCCAAGAGTTTCCCCTATTACAATGCCTGGGGTTGGCCAGGAGTTTCTTCTATTAGAATGCCTGAGGTTGACCAGGTGTCTCTACTATTAGACTGCCTGTTGTCGGCCAGTAGTCTCTTTCCTTAGAATGCCTGGTGTTACACAGTTGTCTCTATAGTTATAATGCTTGGGATTGGCCAGGAGTCTCTCCCATTGCAATGCCTGGTGTCAACTGGGTGTCTCTCTCATTAGAATGCCTGGGGTCACACAGGTGTCTGTATCCTTAGGCTGCCCATGGTTGGTCAGGAGTTTGCCTTAGTAGAATGCCTGGTGTTGGCCAGTAGTATGTCCCATTAGAATGCCTGGGGTTGCCCAGGTTTTTCTATTATTAGAATGCCTGGGGTCGATGGGGAGTCTCTTCCATTAGTATACCCAGATGTCTCTATCATTAGACTCCCTGGGGTCAGCCAAAATCTCTCCCATTAAAACGTCTGTGATCACCCAGGTGTCTGTATCATTAGACTCCCGGGGTCAGCCAAGAGTCTCTCCTATTAAAATGCCTGGGGTGGCCCAGGTGTCTCTATCATTAGACTGCCTAGGGTCAGTCAGGATTCTATTTCGTTATAATGACTGTGGTCACCTGAAAGTCTCTCACATTAGAATGCCTTGGGTCATCTAGGTGTCTCTATCATTAGAATGCCTAGGTTTGCCTAGTTATTTCTATTAATAAAATGCCGGCGGTTTGCTAAGAGTCTCTCCCATTTTGATGCCTGGGGTCTCCCAGGTGTCTCCATCATTAGACTTACTGGGATCACCCAGGAATATCTCCCTGTTAAATGCCTCAGGTCTCACAGCTGTCTCTATCATTAGAAAGCCTGTGGTCAGCCAAAATTCTCTCCAATTGGAATGCCTGGGATTGCCAAGCTGCCTCTATCATTAGATAGAAGGGTCATCACAGAGTCTCTCCTATTAAAATGCCTTGGGTAGGCCAAAAGTTTCTCCCATTAGAATGACTGGGGTCGCTCATATGTCTCTATAATTAGACTCACTGAAATCTGTCTCATTAGAATGCCTGGCATCGCTCAGCTCTCTCTATTATTAGACTGCCTGGGGTCTGTTGGGAGTCTCTTCTTTAGAATGTCTGGGGTCGACCAGATGTCTCTGTCCTTAGACTGCCTGGGGTCTGCCAGGAGTCTATTTTATTAGAATATCTGGCATCAGCTGGGAGTCTCTCCCATTAAAATGCCTGGGTCACGCAGGTGTCCCTATTATTAGACTGCTTGGGGTCAGTCAGGGGTCTCTCCTATTAGAATGCCTGGGGCCAGCTGGCTATCACTTTGTTAGAATGCCTGAAGTCGCCAGGTGTCTTTATCATTAGACTGCCAGAGGCCAGCCAGGAGTCTCTCCAATTAGAATGCCTGGAGTTGTCCAGGTATCTCTATCATTAGTCTTCCTGGGGTCAGCCTGGAGTCTCCCACATTAGAAAGCCTGATGTGGCCCAGGTGTCTCTATCATTAAACTGCCTGGAATTGGCCAAGAGTCTCTTAAATTGGAATGCCTGTAGTTGGCTGGAATCTCTCCAATTAGAATGCCTGGGGTTGCCCAGGTTTCTCAATCATTAGAAAGCCTTGTGTCAGCAAGGGATATCTCCCATTAGAATGCCTAGGGTCTTCCGGATGTCTCTATAATTAGACAGCCAGGTATCTCTCCCATTAGAATGCCTGGGGTCGCTCAGGTGTCTCTATACTTAGAGTGCTTAAGTTTTGCCAGGAGTTTCTCCCATAAGAATGCCTGGGTATGACCAGAAGTCTCTCCCATTTAAATGCCAGAGTCTCCCAAGTGTCTTTATCATTAGAATGCCTGGGGTCGCCCAGGGTCTCTACCATTAGAATGCTTAAGGTCAGCTGAGTGTCACTCCCATTAGAATGCCTGGGGTCCCCCAGGTGTCTTTATTATAAGACTACCTGGGGTTGGCTGAGAGTCTCTTCCATTATAATGCCTTGGGTCGTCCCGGTGTCTCTATTACTAGAATGCCCATGGTCACCCAGGTGTCTCTATTATTAGACTGCCTGGGGTCGGCTGGGACTCTCTCCCATTAGAATGCCTACGGTTACCCAGATATCTCTATAATTACACTGCTTGGGTTCAGCAAGGAGTTACTTCCATTAAAATTCCTGTTGGCCTGGAGTTTCTCCTGTTAGAATACCTGAGATCACCCTGGTGTTTGTATCGTTAGAATGCCTGGGGTCAGCCAGGAGTCTTTTCCATTAGAATGCCTATGGTTGCCCAGGTGTTTCTATCATTAGACTGCCTGGGGTCAGCCAGTAGTCTCTGCCGTTAGACTGCCTGCTGTCGCACAGGTGTCTCTATCATTAGACTGCCTGGGTTTGGCAGAGGGACTCACTCATTGAAATGCCTAAAGTCGCCTAGGTGTCTCTAAAATTAGAATGCTATGTGTCGGCCAGCTGGCTCTCCCATTAGAATGTCTGGGGTTGCCAAGTTGTCTCTATAACTAGACTGCCTGTGGTTGGCCAGGAGTTTTTCCCATTAGAACGCCTGGAGTGGACCACAAATCTGTCCAGTTAGAATACCTGGGGGTCACCTGGGTGTCTCAATTATTAGAATGCCTGGGGTTGGCTGGAGTCTCTCCTATTAGAATGCCTGAGGTCGAGCAGGTGTCTCCATCATTATACTGCCTGTGCTCAGCCAGAAGTCTCTCCCCTTTGAATGCCTGGTGTCACCCAGGTGTCTCTATAGTTAGAGTGGTTGGGGTAGGTCAGGAGTCTCGCCCATTACAATGCCTGGTGTCTGCCAGGAGTCTCTCCCATTAGAATGCCTGGGGCCACCCAGGTTTCTCTATCATTAAAATTTGTGGGGTCAGCCTGAAGTCTTTCCCATTACAATGCCTGGCATTGCTAAGGTGTCTCTATCATCAGACTCCCTGGGATTGGCCAGTAATCTCTCCCATTAGAATGTCTGCAGTCAACCATGTGTCTCCATAATTAGACTCTCTGTTGCTGTCTGGCAGTCACTTCTATTATCATACTTGGGTTCACCCAGGTATCTCTATCATTAGACTGCCTGGGGTCGGCCAGGAGTCTCTTCCATTAAAATGCCTGGGGTAGCCCATGTGTCTCTATCCTTAGACTGCCTGTGGGCAGCCGGGAGTCACTCCCATTAGAATGCATGGGTTCACCCAGGTGTCTCTATCATTAGAATGCCTGGGGTGGCCAAGGTGTCTTTATGATTACACTGCCTGGGGTCTGTGGGAGTCTCTCCCATTAGAATGTCTGTGGTCACCCAGATGTCTCTATCTTTAGAGCAACTGAGGTCAGCCAGGGGTCTCTACCATTAGAATGCCTTGGGTTGGCCAGGAGTCTCTCAGATTAGAATGTCTGGCGTAGCCCAGGTTACTTTATTATTAGACTGCATGGGATCGAATGGGAGTCTCTCCCATTAGAATGCCTCAGTTCTCCCAGGTGTCTCTACCATTAGAAACTCTGGGGTCGACCTGGAGTGTCTCCCATTCGAATGCCTGGAATTGCCCAGGTGTCTCTATAATTAGACTGTCTGGGGTTGGCCAGAAGTCTCTCCAGTACAATGCCAGCGTTCACCCCTTTGTCTTTATTATTAGACGGCTGGGATCAGCAAGGAGTCTCTCCTATTAGAATGCTTGAGATTGGCCGAAAGTCTCTCCCATTAGAATGCCTGGGGTACCCCAGATGTCTCTATAATTAGACTGCCTGGGGTGCACCAGGAGTCTTTCCCATTAGAATGCCTGGGGTCACCCAGGTGTCTCTATCCTTAGACTACCTGGGGTCAGCCAGGGGTCTCTCTCATTAGAATGCCTGGGATCAGCTGGGAGTCTCTCAGATTAGAATGTCTGGCATTGCCCGGGTGTCTTTATTATTAGACTGCATGGGATTGGGTAGGAATCTCTCCCATTAGAATGCCTCCAGTCGTCCAGGTGCCTCTGTAATTAGACACCCTGGGTTTAGGAGTCTCTCCTCTTAGAAAGCCTGAGGTCACCCAGGTGTCCTTATCATTAGACCGCCTCGGGTAATTCGGGAGTTTCTCTCACTAGAATGTGTGGGGTTGCCCAGATGTCCCTATCATTAGCTGGGAGTTTGCCCCATAAGAATGCCTGTGGAAATTCAGGTGTCTCCATCATTAGACTGCCTAGAGATGGAGGGAGTCTCCCCCATTAGAATGCCTGGAGTTATCCAGGTGTCTCTATCATTAGAACACCTGGGGTTGGCCAGAAATCTCTTTCATTGAAATGCCTGGAGTTGCCCATGTGTCTCTGTAATTAAACTGCCTAGTATCAGCAAGGAGTCTCTCTTATTAGAATGCCTTGGGTTGACCAGATGTCTGTATGCTTAGACTGCCTGTGGTCAGCCAAGAGTTTGCCTTAGTAGAATGCCTGGTGTTGGCCAGGAGTATGTCCCACTAGAATGCCGGGGTTTGTCCAGGTGCCTCTATCATTAGAATGCCTCGGGTGGCTGGAAAGTCTTTTCCTTTAGAATATCTGGGTCGCCCAAATGTCTCTAATATTCGGCTGTCTGGGGTTGGCCAAAATCTCACCCATTAAAATGCCTGTGGTTGCCTAGATATCTCTATCATTAGACTGCCAGGGGTTGGCTTGGAGTCTCTCTTATTAAAATGCCTGGGGTGGCCCAGGTGTCTCTATCATTAGACCGTCTGGAGTAAGTCAGGAGTCTCTTTCATTAGAATGGCTGGGGTCACCTGAAAGTCTCTCCCATTGGAATGCCTAGAGTCACCTAGGTGTCTCTATTATTAAGTGCCTGGGGTCGCCCAGTTATTCCTGTCACTACAATGCCTGCAGTTTGCTGAGGGTCTCTCCCATTAGAATGTCTGGGGTCACGCAGTTGTCTTCATTATTAGGCTTGCTTGGGTCACCCGGGAATATCTCCATTTAGAATGCCTGGGGTCTCCTAGTTGTCTCTATCATTAAAATGTCTGGGGTCGGCCTAGAGTCTCTCTAATTAGAATGCCTGAAATTGCTCAGGTGTCTCTATCATTAGACTGGCTGGGTTTTGCTGTGTGTCTCTTCCATTAGAATGCCAGTGTTTGCCCAGGTGTCTCTATTATTAGACTGCCCTGGATTGCAAAGGAGTCTCTCTTATTAGAATGATTTGGGTCGGGCAAAAGTCTCTTTTATTAGAATGCCTGGGGTCGCCCATGTGTCTCTATTAGACTAACTGAAGTCAGCCAGGAGTCTCTTCCTATTGAATGCCTGGTGGCAAAAAGCATTCTCTATTATTAGACTGCCTGGGGTCTAATAATAGTTGTAGTCTCTCCTATTAGAATGCCTGGGGTCAACCAGGTGTCTCTATCCTTAGACTGCCTGGGGTTGGCCAGGAGTCCCTTTTATTAGAATGCTTGGTGTTAGCTGGGAACCTGTCCTATTAAAATGCCTGGGATCGCCCAGGTGTCTCTATCATTAGACTTCCTGGGGTCAGCTGGGAGTCTCTCCCATTAGAATGCCTGGCGTTGCCCAGATGTTCCTATAATTTGACTGCTTGGGGTCAGTCAGGAGTCTCTAGCATTGGAATTCCTGGAATCATTCATGTGTCTTTATCATTAGACTGCCTGGTTTGGCCAGTAGTCTTTCCCATTAGAATGCCTGGGGTCTGCCATCTGTCTTTCTCGTTAGACTGCCTGGGGTTGCCCAGGTGTCTCTATCATTAGACTGCCTGAGGCCAGCCAAAAGTCTCTCCAATTAGAATGCCTGGGGTCACCCAGGTGTTTCTATCATTAGACTTCCTGGGGTCGGCCATGAGTCTTTTCCATTGCAATGCCTGTGGTTGCCAAGATGTTTTTATCCTTAGATTGCCCGGGGTTGGCCAGGAGTCTCTCTTATTAGAATGCCCATGATGTGAGACATTGTATAGAATGCCTATAATGTGAGGGGTGTCTCACATTAGATAGCCTAGGGTCACTTAGGTGTCTCTGTCATTACGCTGCCTGCAGTAGACCAGGAGTCTCTCCCATTAGAATCCCTGGGGCTGCCCAGGTGTCTCTATCATTAGGCTGCCTATGGTCGGCGAGGACTGTATCCATTTAGAATGCCTGGTTTCATCAGGGATTTGCTCTCATTAGGTTGTCTGGATTCACTCAAGTGTCTCTATCATTAGACTGCCTGGGATTGGCCAGGAATCTCTCCAGTTGAAATGCCTGTGGTCAGCCAGGAGACTCTCCCATTAGAATGCCTGTGTTCTCTCAGATGTATCTATCATTAGAATGCCTGGGATCGAATGGGAGTCTCTCCAAGTAGATTTCCTGGGGTGGCCCAGATGTCTCTATAATTGAACGGCTTGTGGTCAACCAGGAGTTTCTTCCATTATAATTCCTGGGGTCACCAAGCTATCTATATTATTAGACTGCCTGGTATTGGCCAGCAGTCTCTTTCATTAGAATGCCTGTTGTCGCCCAGGTGTGTCTATCATTAGAATGGTTTTGGTCAGTTGGGAGCCATTAGAATGCCTGAAGTCACACAGGTGTCTCTATTATTAGTCTGCCTGGGGTTGGCCAGAAGTTTCTCCCATTAAAATACATGTTGTTGCAGATATGTCTCTGTCATTATAATGCCTGGGCTCGGCCTGGAGTGTCTGGCATTAGAATGCCTGCTGTCAAACAGGTGTCTCTATCATTAGATTGCCTGGGGTTAGCCAGAAGTCTCTCCCATTAAAATGCCTGGGGTCGCCAGCTGTGTGTATTATTAGACTTGCATAGTGTCGTCCAGGAGTCTCCCCATTAGAATACCGAGGGTAGGCTGGTAGTCTCTCCCATTAGAATGCCCCAGTGTCCTTATCGTTAGACTGCCTGGGGTAGGCCTGGAGTCTCTCCCATTAGCATGCCTTGGGTTGCAAATGTGTCTCTATCATCAGAATGCCAGGGGTTGACTGGAAGTTTCTTTCAGTAGAATGCCTAAAGTCGTTTAAGTGTCTCTATTATTAGACTGCCTGGGGTTGGACAGAGTCTCTTCCATTAGAATGCCTGGAGTCAACCAGGTGTCTTTATCCTTAGACTGGCTGGGGTTGGCCAGGAGTCTCTCTCATTAGAATGCTTGGGTTCAGCCAGGAATCTCTCCCATTAGAATGTCTTTGGTCACCTGGTGTCTCTATAATTTAAATGCCTGGGGTCAGCCAGGATCCTCTCCCATCAGAATGCCCATAGTCACCCAGGTGTCTTTATTATTAAACTGTCGGGTCTGCCAGAAGTCTTTCTCATTAGAATGCCTAACGTCACCCAGGTGTCTTTATCGTTAGACTACATAATATCAGCTGTAATTCTCTTCCATTGCAATTCCTTCAGTGGCCCAGGTGTCTTTATCCTTCGACTGCCTGGGGTTGGCCAGAAGCCTCTCTCATTAGAATGTCTGGGGTCGGCTTGCAATGTCTCCATTAGAAAGCCTGTGGTCACCCAGGTATCTCTCTCATTAAAATGCCTATGATGCGCTGGGGGTGTCTAACATTAGAATGGTTAAGGTCAATCAGGTATCTCTGTCATTACACTGCCTGTGGTCAACTGGGAGTCTCTCCCATTATAATGCCTGGAGTCACTCGGGTGTCTCTATAAGTAGACTGCCTGTGGTCAGCGAGGAGTTTCTCTCATTACAATGCCTGGGGTCAACAGGGATTTCCTCCCGCTAGAATGTCTGGGTTCACCCAGGTGTCTCTATCATTAGACTGCCTAGGGTCAGCCAAAACTCTCCCATTAGAATGCCTGGGGTGGCCCAGGTTTCTCTATCCTTAGACTGCCTGGGTTGAGGAGAAAATCTCTCCCATTAGAATGCTGGGGTCACTTACATGTCTCCATTATTAGACTGCCTGGGGTCAGCTGGGAGTCTCTCCCATTAGAAAGCCTGAAGTCTCCAAGGTGTCTCTGTAATTAGACAGCCTGGCGTCAGCAGGAGTCTCTCCCATTAGAATGTCTGGGGTCACCCAGGAGTCTTTATTATTAGACTGTGTGTGGTCAGCCTGGATGCTCTCCCATTAGAATGCCTTGCGTCGACCAGGTTTCTATAGTTAGACTGCCTGTGGTCGGCCAGGTGTCTCTCCCATTAGAATTCCTGGGGTGGGCCGGGAGTCTCTCCCATTACAATGCCTGGGGTCCCCCAGGTGTCTCTATTATTAGAGTGCCTTGGGTGGGCCAGGTGCCACTCCCATTAGAATTCATGTGGTTGCCCATATGACTCTATTTTTAGACTGCCATGGGCCGGTCAGGAGTTTCTCCCATTAAAATGCCTGGGATCGGCCAGGTGTCTCTAGACACCTGGGATTTATCCCTTAAGAATGCCTGGGGTCGGCTGGCTTTCTCTTTTGATAGAATGCCTGGGGTTGCCCATGTGTCTCTATCATTAGGCTGCCTGTGGTCTGCCTGGAGTCTCCCACGTTAGAATGCCTGATATCGCCCACGTGTCTCTATCATTAGACTACCTGAGACAGGGCAAGAGTCTCTCCAATTGGAATGCCTGTGGTTGGCCGGAAGTCTCTGTTATTAGAATGCCTGTGATCGCCTGTGTGTCTATTACTAAAATGCCTGGTGTCGGATGGGAGTCTCTCCCAATAGAATGCCAGGGGTCACCCAGGAGTCTCTATAATTACACTGCTTGTGGTCGGCCAGGAGTCTATCCCATTATAATGCCTAGGGTCGCCAAGGTGCCTCTATAATTAGACTGCTTGGTGTTTGCCAGGTGTCTCTCCTATTAGAATGCTTGGCGTCGGCCAGGAGTCTCTCCCATTAGAATACCTGGGGTTGCCAAGGTGTCTCCTTAGACTTCCTGGGGTTGGCCAGAAGTCTCTCTTATTAAAATGCCTGTGTTGCCGAGTTTTCTCTGTCATTATACTGCCTGGGGTTGACAGGGAGTGTCTGGCATAAGAATTCCTGGGGTCGCACAGTTGTCTCTATCATTAGACTGCCTGGGGTCATCCAGGAGTCTCTCTATTGGAATATCTGGGGTTGGCCAGTAGTCTCTTCAATTAGAATGATCAGGTGTCTATATCATTAGACTGCCTGGGGTCGGTCGGGGGTATCTCCCATTAAAATGTCTGGGGTCACATAAATGTTTTTATAATTAAACTGCCTGGGGTCGAACAGTAGTCTCTCCCATTAGAATTACTGAGGTCACCCAGGTGTGTCTATCTTTAGACTGCCTGGCGTCGGCCTGGAGTCTCTTATTTGAATACCTAGGGTCTGCTGGGAGTCTCTCCCATTAGAATGCCTGAGGTCCCCCTGGTGTACTTATCATTAGAGTGCCTGGGTCAGCTGGGAGTCGCTCCCATTAAAATGCCTCTGGTCGACCAGATGTCTTTATCCTCCTTATCCTTACATTGCCTTGGGTTGGCCAGGAGTGTCTCCTATTAGAATGCCTCAGTTTGCCAAGGTGTCTCTATTTTTAGACTGCCTATGGTTTGCCAGAAATCTCTTCCATTGGAATGCCTAGGTTCAGCTGGGAGTCTCTCCTATTAGAATGCCTCAGTTTGCCAAGGTGTCTCTATTTTTAGACTGCCTATGGTTTGCCAGAAATCTCTTCCATTGCAATGCCTGGGTTCAGCTGGGAGTCTCTCCTATTAGAATGCCTGTTGTTGCCAAGGTGTCTGTATCATTTGAATGCCTGGGATCATCTGGGAGTCTCTTATTGGAATGTCTGGAATTGCCAAGGTGTCTCTACCATTAGACTGCCTGGGGTCATAAGCAAGTCTCCCTTATTAGAATGCCTGACGTCATCCAGGTGTTTCTATCATTAGACTGTCTGGGTACAGCATGAGTCTCTCCCATTAGAATGCCTAAGGTGGCCCAGGTGTCTCTATTCTTTGACTGCCAGGGGTTATACAAGAGTCTGTCCCATTAAAATGCCTGGGGTCACCCAGGTGTCTTCATCATTAGACTGTCTGGAGTCAGACAGGAGTCTCTCCCATTAGAATGACTGGGTGGCCCAGGTGTCTCTATCATTAGACTGCTGGGGGTCGGCAAGAACTCTCTCCCACTAGAATGCCTGGGGTGGCCCAGGTGTCTGTATCATTAGAATACCTGGGGTCGCCCAGGTATCCATATCATTAGAATGCCAGGAGTCAGCCTGGAGTCTTTCCAATTAGAATGCCTGGGGTCACCCAGGTGTCTGTCATTAGACTTCCTGTGGTTGGCAAGGAGTGTCTTCCATTAGAATGCCTGGAGTTGAACAAATATCTTTATCATTAGACTGCCTGCTGTTGGCCAAAATTCTCTTTCATTATAAGGCCTAAGAGGGTTGGAGGCTTTTGGCTTCCCACTCCCTTCTCACTTTCCCCTGTTTGTGGTCCCGCTTCCCAACAGCCAACTGATTCCCTGGCTCCCACTTTTTACCTGCCTGTGCCCCGCCATGACCCGGGGCCCCCCTTGGACCGCCCTGGCAGCCCCCAGTGTCATATCAGCCTGACGGTGCCCCAGCTTGAAAGTAAAGTAGGGTCAGGACTGGCTGGAGCTTGGATGAGGGACAGCATGGGGAGACCAGCGGCTGGAGGCTTTTTGCTTCCTGCTCCCTTTCCACTTTATCCTGCTTGTGGTCCCACTTCCCAACTGCCCGGTGACTCTCAGGCTCCCCATTTCCCGCTTGCCTCCACCCCTGCGGTGCCCCATGGTCTCCGCTTGGGGGCCCGCCCTGGCAGCCCAGGTTCCATTGCAGCCTGAGGTCACCCCATCCCGGAAGCTAAGTAGGGTTGGGCCTGACTGTGTGACTTGGATGGTGGGCCACCTGGGGAGACCAGAGGCTGGAGACTTTTGGCTTCTGGTTCCCTTCCCGCTTCCCCCAACTTGTGGCCCCGCTTCCCAACCACCCCTGACTCTAACTCCCCCTTTCCTGCCCGCTTGCACACACACCACGGCCCGGGGCCTTCCTGTGGGACCCATCCCGCCAGCCCCTGGTGCCACAGCAGCCTGAGGGCACCCTAGCTGGAAAGCTAAGCAGGCTCAGGCTGGCTAGGGCTTAGATGGGGGGCCAAATGGGAAGACAGGGGGCTGGAGGCTTTTGGCTTCCTGCTCCCTTCCTGCTTGTCGCTTTCCAGCTGCCCCCTGACTCTCTGGCTCCCCCTTTCCCTCTCTCCTGGGCCCCCCTCCGCCTGGGGCCTTCCTGTGGGGGCCCACCCTGGCAGCCTCTGGTGTGATAACAGCCTCAGGGTACCCCAGTTCGGAAGCTAAGCAGGGTCGGGTCTGGCTGGGGCTTGGAGGGAGGACAGCCTGGGGAGACTGGGGGCTGGAGGCTTCAGTTTCCCACTCCCTTCTCGCTTTACCCACTTGTCCCCCACTTCCCAACCGCCCCCTCACTCTCTAGCTGCTTCTTTCCCGCCTGCCTGTGCCTGTGCCGGGACCTTGTCCTCCCCGTGGAAGCCTGCCAGGCAGCCCCCAGCAGGGTGCCATAGCAGCCTGAGGGCACCACATTCTGGAAGCTAAGCAGGGTCAGGCCTGGCTGGGGAGTGGATTGAAGACTACCTGGGGAGACTGGGGCCTGGAGGCTTTTAGCTGCCTTCCTGCTTTCCTCTGCTTGTCACCTCGCTTCCAAACTGCCCCCTAACTCTCTGACCCGCTCTTTCACACCTGCCTGCGCCCATGCCGCGGCTAGGGACCTCTCCGTGGCGGTCGGTCCTGGCTGCCCCAGTGTGCCATAGCAGCCTGAGGACGCCCCAGCCCAGAAGCTAAGCAGGGTTGGACCTGGTTGGGGCTTGGATGGGAGACCACCTGGTGAGACTGGGGGCTTCAGGCTTTTAGCTTCCTGCTTCCTTCCTGCTTTCCCCCGCTTGTCGCAACACTTCTCAACTGTCCCCGGGATCTCTGGCCCCCCTTTCCCGCCCGCCTTCGCTTCCAAAGCGGCCTGGGATCTCCCTGTTGGGGTTCGTCCCAGCAGCACCCAGGGGCCATAGCAGCCTGAGGGCACCCCAGTCTGTAAGAAAAGCAGGGCTGGGCCTGGCTGGGTCTTGGATAGGGGACCCCCTGTGAAGACCAGGGGCTGAAGGCTTTTGGCTTCTCACTCCCTTCCCACTTTCTCCTGATGCTGCAACACTTTCCAACCACCCCCGGACTCTCTGGCCTCCCCTTTCCCCCAACCTGCGCCCCTGCCGCGGCCCAGGACCTTTCCATGGATGCTTCTCCTGGCAGTCCCCTGGTGCCATAGCAGCCCGAGGACGCCCCAGCCCGGAAGCTCAAAAGGGTCGGGTCTGTACCGGGCTTGGATGGGGGACGGCCTGGGGAGACTGGGGGCTGGAGGCTTTCGGCTTCCTGCTCCCTTCCAATTTTCCCAGCTTGCTGCAATGCTTTCCAATGGCCCCTTGACTCTCTGGCCCCACTGTGCCAGCCCCCGCCTGCCTGAACCCCCGCTGCAGCCGGGGATCTCCCCGTGGGGGTCCGCAGCCGACAGGTGCCAAAGCAGCCTGAGGGTGCGCCATCCTGGAAGCTAAACAGGGTTGGGTTTGCCTGGTGCTTGCATGGGAAACCGCCTGGGAGAGACCAGGGGCTGGGGAATCTTGGCTTCCTGCTCCTTTCCCGCTTTCTCCCGCTTGTTGCAGCGTTTCCCAATCGACCCCTGACTCTCTGGCCACCCTTATTTTAACCCCTGCCCACCTGCGCCCCTGCCACAGCCCAGGACCTCCCTGTGAGGGTCCGTCCCAGCAGCCCCAAGACACCATAGCAGTCTGAGGGTGCCAACACCTGTCAAGCATATCTGTGTGAAGAGACCACCAATAGGCTTTGTGTAAGCAACAAGGCTGTTTATTCACTTGGGTGCAAGTGGGCTGAGTATGAAAAGAGTATCAGTGAAGGGAGATGGGGAAGGGGTTGCTTTATAGGAGTTGGGTAGGCAGTGGAAAATTACAGTAAAATGTGGTTATCTATTGTTAGCAGAGGAGGGGCCACAAGGTACATGGTGGGGGGATCATAAGACTTATTGTCCAGAAGAAGAATGTTACAAGGTTGATTGATCAGTTAAGGTAGGGCAGGGACAAGTCATAATGGTGGAATGGTGGAATGTTGGTTAATCAGTTAAGGCAGGAACAGGCTGTTTTACTTCTTTTGTGATTTTTTGGCTGCCCCAGACTTCTTGGCTCCTACAGGCTGTCTGGACATTTATGTGTAGGTCGCAGGGGTTATGATGGCTGAGTCTCGGCTCAGAGACCTGACATTCCTGTCTTTTTATTTATAAAATATATAGTTGTAAGAAAAGATAAAATATAAGTTTTTTTCTGGGGATTATTGGGGTAGGGGCGATGTTTCTCAGGACTGCCTCAGGCATGACTTAGGGGCGATGTGAACACCTAAAGAAAATTTAATTTTATAGTGAGTTGGTCTAGAAAGTTTTTGGGTACAATTCTGTGTGGCTAACAAGTCACCAGTTAGCATATTTTTGAGCTTGGAGTTGTCTTAATACAGTAAATTATCTAAAAATAGCAATTAAGCATAATAGCTTTAAGGTAGGTGACAGTGAGTTTTAGGCCAAGGTAGGAATAATGTTTTATATACCAAGGTCTTTTGTCCTCATTTTCCTTCATACAAATAGGACCTCCTGGCATCAAGCCAAAAGTCTATTATATTACTTTTTTCCTAAAGGTGTTAGTGGCGTTTTGAATAGAGGAGTTCAATACTTCTGATTGCAGACCTTATACAGGAAAGATAATAAGTACAATAGTCCTTGTCTCCTAGAATAAGTTGGGGCTGGCAAAGACAGAAATGTCCGATGCCTTCTGACAACCAACGATAGACCATGTGTTGTCGTGGATGTTGATCTGAGTGCCAGATATATGGAACCGGTCCTGTATTTGCATATTGCTTGTCATTTTTATGTGAGTAGGCCTGAGGACACCATGGGCAAAGATTTGACAGCTGCCACCTCAGGGGTTTTAGATTTTTAATCCAGAGATCCTTGATTTTGGGGGTGGGGAAAATTTTGGAGAGCAAGGCCTGAAGAAAGTTGTTTTTATAGACAGCAGGTCCTAAGAGATTAGGTTTAGAAGAACGGGTGAAGCAGGCCTGGAAATATGTTTGGACAGCCATTATTTGTAGGGGGTGTTGCATGGAAGCTTGGTCTTGTCAGTACGCTGCCAAGAGTCCATCACTGGTTTAGTCCTAAAGGTGAGAAGGAGTATAATACGACAAGGAATTGAAGTTTAGGCTGTGGGAAGATTTTGGGGTACAGGATATTACTGTGGGGTTTTTAAAAGCAGCAACTGCCATATGGAATAATTGGTGATGGCCTGGATGCGGTTTTGTATGAATTGAGAGACTAAATGAAAGACACAAGGCCTGAATAAGAGAAGGAGAAAAACAGGTACCAGGGGACTAAGAATAGGGAAGAACCAAGACACCTAGTTAGAAAGTGCCTAGGTGGGTCCAGCATAATTATTTGCCTGGCTGGCAAGATTTGGGGCCTAATCTTTAAGCTTTTTTATGTTGTCATACACCAGGCTGGACTGATTTAGATAAAAACAACATTCTTCATTTAAAAATATGCAGAGTCCTCCTTTTTCAGCAGTGAGTAGGTCAAGGCCTTGGTGATTTTGGAGGACAACTGTGGCTAAGGAATTGACCTGGGCCTGAAGGACTGATAAAGTTTGTGATATATCTGTAATGCTAGCAGAAAAGTCATTAGAAAGGCTACAGAAGGTTGTGACGGAAGTTGAAATGACTACTATTCCAGTTCCGAGGGCAATAGTGGAAGCAGAAAGTCCTAACCTTACAAGTAGAGGGATTAGAGGAATAATTCTTTTTGTCTGTTTGGTGTCATGAGGGGGACAGGAAGTTGTTCGGTGTCATGAGGGGGACAGGAAGTTGTTCAGTCCCATTTGCAAGTTGAATTTTGGGAGTAAGAAAAACTAGTGTACATGTATCTGTCCAATGAGAACGTACACACATGTAAGTGGGGGAGCCACAGAGGAAGAAGAGGCCTTGTGTAGGGAAAAACTGAAAATGTAGAGTAAAAAGATGGGAGGGAGTACCAGGTGAGGTGTCTTGTACCTAGACTCCTAGTAATCCAGTGAGAGCAGCATCCATTAAAGGTTGTAATGGGGACCTATGTGGTAACTGGGTAGAAAGGGAAATTAGATTTTCATGGTGTAAGAGAAAATGTACAGTGTCTACAGGTAATCTTTCAGTACTATTTATGGGGTTGGGTGTAAGTAAACAAGTTGCGGGGCTGGGAGGAGAGTCTGGAAAGCAAGGAGAAGGTAGCCAAGGATGAAGGGAAAGGCAGGGGAACTGTCTACCTAAGAAATAGTAACTGTTAATGTTTTTAAGTTTGTCAGTATGGATAGAGGGCTGGTCCATAATGCATAGCTGAGAAGCCCTCGTAGTTTCAGTAATGTGTGTCTTTGGGCTTTGGAGATGAAGAGTAAAGGAGCATAGCGAAAGTGAAAGGTTACCTATGGGAATTCTGGTAGGTGGTTGCTGGGAGATGCACAAAGGAGCGGCAGCAGGGATAGTGGTTTGAGTCATAAGGGGTCCAAATATGGAGGGAGTGGAATTAATGTAAGGGGAAAGATTTTTTAAGTCGGCATGGAGAAGGGCGTCAGCCTGCTGATATGAAGTGTCTGAAGAGGTTTTGCTGGATCTGTCCAGAAAATAAAGAAGTTCTTCAGGAGAATAGAGATGAGGCCCATTGAAAGAGGTTCAAAGATGTAGGGAGACAGATGTTGCCCAATCGGGAAGTAGGGCGGGGACAACTGTGTAAGAATAAGAAGAAAGGGAAATGCATAGCCAGCAGTTATTTGCTAAGGAGGGATTAGAGATGGCAAGGAGGGAGTGAATGAGATTGATGGTATGTTGTAGATAACTGGGGAGAGGTGGAGGGTGGCAGGAGAATGAGAGTAAGGCAAAGAGTGAGTATAAATGTAAAGAAAAGAAATTCATTAGGGTGGAAGAATTGGACTGTGTCTTACCAGCAAAGGTCATTTTTCCACTTAAAGAGGGAATTAATAGTGGCAGTTTCTGGGCAGCACCAGAAGATATTAGCTATGATAGTTTGGAGGAATGGGGTAAGAAAGGATAGACCTTACATAAGGATTATTACTGTTCTTCAGGAATGTGGGTGAGTTTAAGGGAAGTGAGGGAGAGGGCTTGTGACTTCCAGGAGGAAGAGGATAAATCAGGCTGGCTGTCTGAGAGGCATAGCTTTAATCTGGAATGAAGAACACAATGCGGGGGAGGTTTGCAGATGAACAGCCATTGGGGTGCTATAGATGACTAAGTGGGGTCCAGTCCACTGAGGTTGTAGAGTCTGAGTGGTCAGATTCTTAAAAAGAACTGACTGTCCAGCTAGAGTGTCTTCATATGGCTGGGAATATGGAGTAGGCAAAGGAAGATTAGCAGCTTGGCGAATTTCCTGTCTAGCTTGCTGGAGGACTGGAAGATAATCACCTAGAGGGCTGGTGTCTGGAATGAGAATGGGGCCTAATAAAAAGGAGCTCCATACAGGACCTCAAATGGGCTCTACCCTGTAGTGTCCTGAGGACAGGCCCGAATTCTGAGAAGAGCAAGAGGTAAAAGTACGGTCCAGTCGTTTTTAAGTTGGACGCTGAGTTTGGTGAGGTGTGTTTTTAAAAGACCATTAGTTCTTTCTACCTTTCCTGAGGATTGAAGGCAATAGAGAGCATGAAGTTTCCATTGAATGTCCAGGGCCTGGGAGACTGCCTGAGTGACTTGACTAATGAAGGTCGGTACCTTGTCAGACTGTATACAGGTAGGAAGGCCAAATCAATGAATTATATCTGACAGAAGGGAGGAGATGACCATGGTGGCATTCTCAGACCCTGAGGGAAAGGCCTCTACCCATCCAATGAAAGTGTCTATTCAGACCAACAGGCATTTTAGTTTTCTGAGTCAGGGCATGTGGGTAAATTCAATTTGCCAGTCCTGGGAAGGAGCAAATCCTCGAGCTTGATGTGTAGGGAAGGGAGGGTGCCTGAGAAATCCCTAAGGAGTAGTAGAATAGCAGATGGAACAATGAGAAGTGATTTCCTTGAGGATAGATTTCCATGATGGAAAGGACATGAGATGTTCTAAGAGGCAGGCTAGTGGCTTGTAACCTACATGGAAGAGGTTATGAAAGGATGACAGAATAGAATGGGCCTGTGAGGCTGGAAGTAGATATTTTCCTTGGTGTAAGAATCATTTGCTATGAGTGGGGAGGGACTGATAGGTGGAAATTCAGTGGGAGAGTAAGTAGGAGTGACTGATGAGGAGAAAAACTGGCCATAAGGGACAGAAGTAGGAATACTGGCTGCTTCTTTAGCTGACTTAACAGCATAATTGTTGACTTGAGCAATGGGGTCTGAGGCTCTTTGATGGCCTTTGCAGTGAATGACTCCAGCTTCTTTTGGAAGTAAAGCAGCCTTGAAAAGAGTTTTTATTAAAGAGGCATTAATGATGGAGGACCCTTGTGTAGTGAGGAAACCTCTTTCAGCCCATATAACAGCATGGTGGTGCATGCTATGGAAGGCATATTTAGAGTCAGTATAAATATTGATGTGAAGTCCTTTTGCAAGAGTGGGGGCCCAAGTTAGGGCAATGAGTTTGGCTTGTTGAGAGATAGTGGAGGGGGGCAGAGTGGTAGCCTCATTGATAAATGTGGAAGATACTATAGAATAGCCTGCTTTTGCTGGTGAGTGGCAATTAGGCCTGGTGGAACTGCCATTGATAAACTAAGTGTAATCAGGGTGTGGAACAGGAAAGAAGGAAATATGGGGAATGGGAGTGAATGCCAGGTCTATCAGAGAGATACAGTCATGGGGGTCAGGTGTGGTCTCAGGAATAATGTGGGAGGCTGGATTGAAGTTTGGGCCAGGAACAATGGTAATTGTGGGAGACTCAAAAGAGTGAGTACAGCTGAAGGAACTGGAGGGGGGTGCAGAAAGTATACGCATCAGGTTTGAGGAAGAAAATAGATTTTGAAAGCTATGAAAACTGTAGACAGTGAGTTGAGCACAGTTTATGATTTTGAGGGCTTCTAAAAGTACTAGAGCAGTGGCAGCCACTGCACCCACACATGAGGGCCAGCCTAAAACAGTAAGGTCAAGTTGTTTGGACAAAAAGATTACAGGGCATGGTCCCGATCCTTGTGTAAAAATGCTGACCACACAGCCCTGCACTTCGGCTGTGTGTAATGAAAAGTGTTGGGATGAGTCAGGGAGAGCTAGTGTGGGAGTCGTTTCTAGAGCTGTTTTCAGGGAATGGAAAGAGGAGTTGGGAAAGGATTTAGGATCGATGAGGTCAGCTAGATTTCCCTTTATGAGTTTATATAACAGTTTTGTTAAGATGGCAAAACCAGTATCCACAGGTGAAAGTATCAAACTCTGCCCAGGAAGGAAAGAAGGTTTTGCTTTGTAGAAGGGGTTGGGGTTTGAGAGATCAGCCAGACACAATTGACAGGGAGATCACCTGTGTTTTCAAGAATTATTATGCTGAGGTAGGTAATGGATAGGGAAGAAATTTGAGCTTTGGAGGGGGTTACCCAATATCCCTTGGAGAATAAATGTTGAAGGAGCAGGAGGGTGTCCTGTTGAGAAGATTCAAAGGAGGGGCTACAAAGTGGAAGGCCATCAATACATTGAATAAGGTGAGAAGCAAAGGGGTGGAAAGAAAGTAAATCATGAGAAAGAGCTTGGCTGAAGTAATGAGGGCTGTCCATGAAGCCTTGCAGCAGTCCAAGGTAAGCTGCTGGGACTGATGGGTGTCAGGGTCAGTCCAGGTAAAAGCAAAGAGGCTGGGACAAGGGGTGCAGGGGAATAGTGAAAAAAAATCTTTAAGATCAAGAATGGAATATTAAGTGGTGGAAGAAGGTATTGAGGACAAAAGAGTGTATGAGTTGGGCAAAACAGGGTGGATGAGCAAAACAATTTGTTTGATAAGGCATAGATCCTGAACTAACCTGTAAGACTTGTCCAGTTTTGGACTAAAGCCTATTGTGGGATGCCATACTGGCATTGAGTGGGATAAGGGTGATTAGGTTTTAATGGGATAGTAATGGGCATGTGATCAGTGCCAGGGAGGGAGTAGAGGTGTCCTATATTTTTGGGTTAAGGTGGGGAGATGCAAGAAGAAGATGTGAAGGAGGCTTTGGGTTGGGAGGAAGGGTGGCAATGAGATGTGGCTGTAGTCCAGTAATAGGTTAGCGAATAATTTTGTTAAAATGTCTCAACCCAATAAGGGAACATGGCAGGTGGGGATAACTAAAAAGGAGTGCATAAAAGAATGTTGTCTAAGTTGGCACCAAATTTGGGGAGTTTTAAGAGGTTTAGAAGCCTGGCCATCAACACCCACAATAGTAATGGGGTCAAGGGAAACAGGCCCTTGAAAAGAATGTAACGTGGAGTGTGTAGCCCCCGTGTCAATTAAAAAGGAGATGGACTTACCCTCCACTGTGAGTTACCTGAAGCTTGGCGTCCATGATGGTCCAGGGAGCTTCCCAGGCAATCGGGCAATGTCAGTCTTTAGCCACTGAGCTGAGCAGATATAAGAAGGAGTCAGAGAGCCTTGGGCCAGAACTTTAGGGGCTCTGGGAGTGGATACTGGGCGAGCTGTGCAGTCTGATTTCCAGTGGGTCCCTGCACAGATGGGACACAGCTGAGGGATCGCAGGCTGTGGGCATTCCTTGGCCCAGTGGCTAGATTTCTGGCACTTGAAGCAAGATCCTGAGATTGAAGGTCCTGTAAGAATGCCTGACCTCTTTGGCTTAGGTGCTTTGAAGTTCTTGTGTGCTGGAGGTGTGGCTGGGTTTAGTCTCACAGCAGAGGCAAGTAATTGTAACTCAGAAATGCATTGACGCTTGGCTGCCTCTTCTCTCTTATTGTACACCTTGAAGGTGAGGTTGATTAATTCCTGTTGTGAGGTTTGAGGGCCAGATTCCAATTTTTGAAGCTTTTTTCTAAAGTCAGGAGCTGACTGGGTGATAAAATGCATACTGAGAATAAGACAGCCTTCTGGGCTTTCAGGGTCTAGGGCTGTAAAGCATCTAATGATAACTGCCAAATGGGCCATGAACTGGGCTTTGTCTTCGTCTTTACCTTGGGTAGTTTCTTTAAGTTTGTCACAATTAACAGATTTGTATGCTGCCTTTTTAAGCCCTTCAACTAGGCAGGAAATCATGTAATCTGCCTAGCTATACCTGGGGGACCTGCCTGATAGTGACATTGGGGATCTTCTCGGGGAACCACTTTAATGCCTTCCTGGAGGCTGGGCTCATGATGCTGGTGGGTGTCTGAATGAGATTGGGTTAGAGAAAAAAAAAAACTTTCCCATTCATCTGGGGAGAGGGTAGAAGTTAGGATGACATTTAAATCACTCCAGGTTACATTGTAGGACTGGGTGAAATATTGGAATGCCTGTATATATTTGGTGGGGTCTGATGAGAAGGCACCTAAGCATTGATTTATTTGGGAAACTTCTGATAGAGAAAATGGTACATGCACTCTGACGATGCCCTCAGCTCCAGCCACTTCTTGAAGAGGAAATTGTTGGGCAGGGGTGGGGGAGTATTTGACAACAAACAAAATTGTAAGCTGGACCGGGTGTGGGGAGGGGAGGTGATAGAAGGGTTTTAGATCGGGGAGCAGAGACTGAAGAAGAGTTGTAGCCTGATTCAGCCTGGCAGTGAGTGACCTGAAGAGGAGCAGTCTGGGGAGGAGGGGAGAGGTCAGATGGGTCGGTAAAAGGGGAATATTCAAAAGACTCAGCAGTGCTTGGGGTTGGGGCTGAAGGGACAGGCAGAAGGGAAAGAAAGAAGATTTGGGATGAGTCACATTGGGAACAGAGATTAGGGAGGGAATGAAGTGTTAAAAATGCCTGGATGTAGGGCACTTCAGACCATTTGCCTATTTTATGACAAAAATTATCTAGATCTTGTAGGATGGAGAAATCAAAAGGGTAATTTTCTGCACATTTAGAGCCATTATCAATTTTGTATTGGGGCCAAGCAGTGTTGCAGAAAAAAAGTAGATGCTTAGGTTTTAGGTCATGTGAGAGTTGAAGAGATTTTAAGTTTTTAAGAACAAAGGCTAAGGGGGAAGAAGGAGGAATGGAGGGCAGAAGGTTGCCCATAGTGAAAAGTTAAGTTGAGAGAAAAGAGGGGGTACTTGCCACCCAGGGGAGGTGGTACTTGCCACCAAGGTGGAGGATCAAGGCACGCATACCCGCAGTGATCGAACACCTCTGGAATGTGGGTGAATCAGGCAAATGTCCTGCAGTGACTAGACACCAAAGGAAAACTGTCTTCCTGAGTACGTGATCAGTGCCAGACTTTTCAGTCTACAGATAAAATGTGTTTCCTCTGTCTCTGCCAGAAAGGGAAAGGAACTGAAATTAAGGAAAGGGAGAGATTGAAGGGTGGCACTGAAATTGAAAGGAGAAAGAGGTTGAAGGATACTGAGAGAGGTTGGAGAAGAGAATAAAAAAGGCTGCTTACCCGATTCAAAATTGGTGAAGTGTTTCTTGGCTGGTCAGAGGACCCGAGGTTGTAGGTGGATTTTCTCACAGAGCAAAGAGCAGGAGGACAGGGGATTGATCTTCCGAGGGAGGTCCCCTGGTCTGATTCATGGCTCCAAACGTCAAGCCCATCCATGTGAAGAGACCACCAACAGGCTTTGTTGAGCAACAAGGCTGTTTATTCACTTGGGGGCAAGTGGACTGAGTCCAAAAAGAGAGTCAGCAAAGGGAGATAAGGAAGGGGTGCTTTACAGGAGTTGGGTAAGTAATGGAAATTTACAGTAAAAGGTGGTCATCTATTGTTAGCAGAGGACAGGGTCACAAGGTACATGATGGGGAGATCATAAGACTTATTGTCCAGAATAAGAATGTTACAAGGTTGATTGATCAGTTAAGGTAGGGCAGGGACAAGTCACAATGGTGTAATGGTGTAATGTTGGTTAATCAGTTAAGGCAGGAACTGGTTATTTTACTTCTTTTGTGTTTTTTTGGTTGACCCAGACTTCTTGGCTCTTGCAGGCCATCTGGACATTTATGTGTAGGTCACAGGGGTTACAATGGCTGAGCTTTGGCTCAGAGACCTGACAAAGCCCAGAAGCTAAACAGGGTTTGGCCTGCCTGGGGCTTGGATGGGGCACCGCCTGGGGATACTGGTAGGTGGAGGTTTTTGGTGTCCCTCTCCCTTCCCGCTTTTCCCTGCTTGTCACAAAGGTTCCCAACTGCCCCCGACTCTCTGGCACCTCTTTTTCCACCCATATGCGCCACCGCCAAGGCCCAGTACCTCCCTGTGGGGGTCCATTCTGTCAGCCCCTGGGTGCCATGGCAGCCTGAGGGCACCCTGGCCTGGAAGCTAAGCAGGATCAGGTCTGCCTAGTGCTTGGATGGGGCACCACCTGGGGAGACTGGGGGCCAGAGGCTTTTGGCTTACTGCTCCCTTCCCGCTTTCTCCCGCTTATCGCAAGGCTTCCCAACCGCCCTCTGACTCTCTGCCCACCCCCCGTTTCTGCCCACCTGCACCCCCACCATGGCCTGGGACCTCCCCATGGGGGTTTGTTTTGGGCAGCCCCAGGGCACCATAGAAGCCTGAAGGTGCCCCAGCCTAGAAGCTACCCAGCCCAGAAGCTAAGCAGGGTTGGGCCTGGCTGGGGCTTGGATAGGGGAACGCCTAGGGAGACCTGGGGCTGGAGGCTTTTGACTTCCCTGCTCCCTTCCCACTTTCCCCCGCTCCCTTCCCACTTTCCCCCGCTTGTCGCAACTCTTCCTAACTGCACCCTGACTCTCTGGCCCCTCCCTTTCCTGCCCACCTGCACCAACACCACGGCCTGGGACCTCCCAGTGGGGGTTGGTCCTGGCAGCCCCCGGGCGCCATAGCAGCCTGAGGGTGCTCCAGCCCGGAAGCTAAGCAGGGTTGATCCTGGCTGGGACTTGGATGAGGGACCACTTGGGGAGATCGGGGCTGGAGGCTTTTGGCTTCCCGCTCCCTTCCCACTTTTCCCTGCTTGTTACAACATTTCCCGATTCTGTGACCCCCCCGCCACCCGCTTCCCACATGACTGCATTCTTGCTCCAGCCCAGGACCTCCTTTTGGGGCTCCATTTGGCCAGCCCCTGGGCACCATAGCAAACTCAGGGTGCCCCAGCCGGGAAGGTAAGCAGGGTCGGTCTTGGCTGGGACTTGGATGGGGGACCACCTGGGGAGACCAAGTGCTGGAGGCTTTTGACTCCCAGTCCCTTCCCACTTTTTCCCGCTTTTTGCAATGCTTCCCAACCGCCCCTGTTTCTCTGGCCCCACCTTTTCCGCCCGCCTGTGCCCTTGCCAAGGCCCAGGACTTCCCCATGGAGTCCGTCACAGCAGCTCCTGCCATAGCAACCTGAGGGCACCTCAGCCAGGAAGCTAAGCAGGGTCGGGACTGGCTGGGGCATGGGTGGGGGACTGCCTGAGCAGACCGGGGGCTGGAGGCTTTTGGCTTCACGCTCCCTTCTAGCTTTCTTCCCGCTTTCCCCTGCTTGTCATAATGCTTCCCAACCGCCCCTTGACTCTCTCACCCTTTCTTTGCTGCCCGCCTTCATTCCCACCACTGCCCAGGACCTCCCCTTGGTTGTTCCTCCTGGTAGCACCAGGGGGCCACAGAAACCTGAGGGCCCCCAGCCTGGTAGATATCAGGGTCAGGTCTGGCTGGGGCTTGGATGGCGGACCGCCTGGGGAGACCAGGGGCTGGAGGCTTTTGGCTTCCTGCTCTTTTCCCGCTTTCCCTCTCTTATTGCAAAATTTTCAATCTTGCCCCCATTTTCCACCCGCCTGCTCCTTCACTGCGGCCTGGGACCTACCCACAGGGGTCTGACCTGGCAGCTCTTGGGTAGCATAGCTGACTGAGGACGCCCCAGCCCGGAAGCTAAGCAGGGTCAAACCTGGCTGGGGCTTGAATGGTTGACTGCCTGGGGACAACCGGGGCTGGAGGCTTTTGACTACCCGCTTACCCCCGCTTGTTCTAATGCTTCCTAACTGCCCCCTGACTCTCTGGCTCCCCATTTCACACCCACCTGCACCCCTACTATGACCCAGGGCCTCCCCATGGAAGTCTGTCTCGGCAGCCCCCAGGCGCCATAGCAGCCTGAGGGCATCCCAGCCTGAAAGGTAAGCAAGGTCAGGCCTGGCTGAAGATTGGATGGGGGACTGCATGGGGAGACCAGGGGCTAGAGGCTTTTGGCTTCCCAGTCCCTTCCCGCTTTCTTCCGCTTGTCCCAACACTTCCCAACCACCCCCTGACTCTCTGGTACCCCCTTTTCCTGCCCGCCTGTGCCCCCACCATGGCCCGGGACCTCCCCTTGGGAGTCTCTCCCGGCAGCCCCCTGGCGCCCTAGCAGCCCAAGGGGGCCCCAGCCCGGAAGCTAAGAAGGGTTGGGCCTGGCGGGGCTTGGATGGGGGACTACAACCTTGGGGGAATGGGGGCTGAAGGCTTTTGGCTTCCCACTCCCTTCCTGCATTCTGTCACTTGTCACAATGCTTCCCAACCCTCCTTTTACTCTCTGGCCTTCTCTTTTCCACCAGCCTGCTCCCCTGTGAGTCCCAGGACCTCCCACCTCCGCGCGGGGGTCCGTCCTGGCAGCCCGTGGGCACCATAGCAGCCTGAGGGTGCTCCAGCTTGGAAGCTAAGCAGGGTCAGGCCTCCTGGGGTTTAGATGGGGGACCGCCTGGAGAGACTGGGCTGGAGGCTTTTGGATTGCCTCTCCATTCCCACTTTCCCCTACTAGTCACAATGCTTCCCAACTGCCTCTTGACTCTCTAGTACCCTGTTTCCCACCCACCTGTGCCCCCCCCCCCGGTGGCCCGCTACACCCCTCCCCCCGTGGAAGTCAGTCTCGGCATTCCCGGGCATCATAGCAACATGAGGGTGCCCCAGCCCGGAAGGTAAGCAGGATCGGACCTTGGTGGTGCTTGGATGGGGGACCACCTGGGGAGACCAAGGGCTGGAGGCTTTTGGCTTCCCGCTGCCTTCCCGATTCCCCGCACTTGTCTCAATGATTCCCAATAGCCTTCTGACACCTGGCCCCCAAATTCCCGCCCACCTTTGCCCTTTCCAGGGCCCAGGACCTCCCAGTGGGTTTCCGTCCCAGCAGCCCGGGCGCCACAGCAGTCTGACAGCGCCCCATCCCAGAAGGTAAGCAGGGTCGGGCCTGGCTGGGGCTTGGATGGGAGCCTGCCTTGGGAGACCAGGGGCTGGAGGCTTTTGTCTTCCCACTCTTTCTGCTTTCCCCCACTTGTCACAACACTTCCTAATCGCTGCTGACTCTCTGACTGCCCATTCCCCGCCTGCCTGCTTCGCCGCCGCGGCCCGAAACCTCCCCGTGGCGATCCATCCCAGCAGCACACGGGCACCATAACAGCCTGAGGGCGCCCCAGGCAGGAAGCTAAGCAGGGTAGGGCCTGTCTGGGGCTTGGATGTGGGGACCGCCGGGGGTGACCAGGGGCTGGAGGCTTTTGGCTTTCCTCCCCTTCCTGCTTTCCCCTGCTTGTCTCAGTGCTTCCCAACCGCCCCTTGAGTCTCTGGTCCCCCATTTCCTGCCCGCCTGTGCCCCCACCGCGGCCCGGGACCTTCCCGTCAGGGTCTGTCCTGGCAGCCCGGGGGCGCCATAGCTGCCCGAGCACGCCTGAGCCCGGAAGCTAAGCAGGGAGGGGCCTGGCTGAAGCTTGGGTGGGGGGACGCATGGGGAGACTGGGTCCTGGAGGCTTCTGGCTTGCTGCTCCGTTCCTGTTTTCACTCACATGTCACAATGCTTCCCAACCACCCACTGACTCTCTGGCCCTCCTTTCCCACCCGCCTGTGCCCCTGCCACCATCTGGTACCTCCCTGTGTGGGCATCCGTCCCCGCAGCCCTTTGGCGCCATAGCAGCCTGAGAACGCCACAGCCCGGAAGCTAGGCAGGGTCGAGCCTGGCTGGGGCCTGGATGGAGGACCGCCTGAGGAGACCCAGGCTGAAGGCTTTTGGCTTCCTGCTCCCTTCCCGCTTTTCCCCGCTGATCACAATGCATGCCAACCGCATCCTGAGTATTTGGCCCCCAATTTCCCGACCGACTCTGCCCTCGCTGTGACCCGGGACCTCCCCGTGTGGGTCTGCTCAGGGAGCCTTTGTGTGCCATAGCAGCCTGAGAGCGCCCCAGCCCAGAAGCTAAGCAGGGTCGGGTCTAGCTGGGGCTTGAATGGGGTCCGTCTGGGGAGACCGGGGGCTGGAGGCTTTTGGCTCCCCGCTCCCTTTCCGCTTTCACCGGCTTGTCGCAACGCTTCCCAACCGCCCCTTGATTCTCTGCCCCTTCACCCTTTCCCACCCGCCTGTGCCCCCGCCACGGACCAGGACCTCCCTGTGGGGGCCTGCCCTGGCAACCCCCGAGCGCCATAGCAACCTGAGGGCACCCCAGCCCGGAAGCTAAGCAGGGTTGGGCCTGGCTGCAGCTTGGATGAGGGACTGCCTGGGGATACCAGGGCTGGATGCTTTTGGCTTCCCATTCGTTTCCTGCTTTCCCCCGCTTGTTGAATCATTTCCCAACCGCCCCCTGACTCTCTGACCTCCACTTTCCAGCCCACCTGCGCTTCCGCCACAGCCCAGGACTGCCCCATGCTAGTCTGTCCCAGCAGCCCCCAAAATTCATAGCAGCCTGAGGTCACCCCAGACTGGAATCTGTGCAGGGTCTGGCCTGGCTGGGCCTTGGATGTGAGACCATCTGGGAAGACTGGGGGCTGGAAGCTGTTTGCTTCCTGCTCCCTTCCCATTTTGCCAGGCTTGTAGCAACAATAACCAACCACCCCCTGACTGTGGCTGACCCTTTCCCACCCTCCTGTACCCCCGATGTGGCTTGAGAACTCCCTGTGGGAATCAGCCCCAGCAGCCCCCGGGAACCATAGCAGCCTGAGGGTGCTCCAGCCCGGAAGTTAAGCAGGTTAAGGCCTGGCTGAAGCTTGTATGAAAGACCGCCTAAGGAGACTGGAGGTTAGAGGCTTTTGGCTCTCTGCTCCCTTCCCACTTTCCCCTCTTGTCGCAAGGTTTCCCAACCTTCCCCTCCTGACCCCCTGGCCCCCACTTTCCCACCACCTGCACCCCCAAAATGAACTGGGATCTCCCCGGGCTGTCCGTCCTGGCCCACAGGCACCGTAGCAGCCGGAGGGCGCCCCATCCCGGAAGCTAAGCAGGGTCGGGACTGGCTTAGGCTTGGATGGAGGATCACCTGTGGACACCAGGGCCTGGAGGCTTTTGGCTTCCTGCTCCCTTCCCGCTTCCCCCTCTTGTCTCCCTGCTTCCCAACCACCCTGTGACTCTGGCTTCCCATTTCCAGCCTGCCTGCACCCTTGCAAAGGCCCGGGCCCTCTCCGTGGGGGTCCGCCCCCCCAGCCTTTTGTGCCATGACAGCCTGACGGCACCCCAGCCAGGAAGCTAAGCCGGGTTGAGCCTGGCTGGGGCTTGGATGAAGGACAGCCTGGGGGGACCGGTGGCTGGAGGCTTTTGGCTTCTCACTCCCTTCCCACTTTCCCCCACTTGTCAGCCTGCTTCCCAACTGCCCCCTAACTCTCTGACTCCACATTTCCCACCCTCCTGGGCCCCCACCAGGGCCCGGGACCTCTCCTTTGGGGTCTGCCAGAGCAGACCCCTGCGCCATAGCAGCTTTAGAGTGGCCCAGCCCGGGGCTTAGAGGAACTCTAACCAGAGTCGAGCCTGGCAGGGGCTTGGATGTGGGACCGCCTGAGGAGATAGGGCTCTGGAGGTTTTTGGCTTCCCGCTTTCTTCCTGCTTTCTCTTGCTTGTTGGCCTGATTCCCAACAGCCCCCTGACTCTGGCTTCCCCTTAACTGCCCGCCTGCACCCCCGCCCTAGCCCAGTGCCTCCTTGTGGGGGTGTGCCCTGGCAGCCCTCGGTGCAATAGCAGCCTAAGGGCACTTGAGCTTGGAAGCTAAGCAGGGTTGGGCCTGTCTGGGGCTTGGATGTGGGACCGCCTGGGGAGACCGGGCTCTGGAGGCTTTTGGCTTCCCGCTTTCTTCAGGCTTTCTCTCGCTCGTTGGCGCAATTCCCAACCGCTCCCTGACTCTGGCTCCCTCATTTCTGCCCGGACCTTCTCCTCCGCCACGATCCTGGGCCTCCAGGTGGGGGTCCGCCCCAACATCCCTCGGCGCAATAGCAGCCTGAGGGCACCGCAGCCCGGAAGCTAAGCAAGGTCAGGCCTGACTGTTGCTTGGATGGGGGACTGCCTGGGGAAACTGGTGGCTAGAGGCTTCAGGCTTCTCACTCCCTTCCTGCTTTCCTCCACTTGTCACCCAGCTTCTCAACTGCTTCCTGACTCTCTGGCTCCCCCTTTCCCACCCGCCTGCACACCCACTGCGACCTGGGGCCTCCCTATGGGGGATTGCCCTGGCAGCCCTGGTGCCATAGCAGCCTGAGGGTGCCCAGCCCAGAAGCTAAGCAGGGTCCTGCCTCGCTGGGGCTTGGATGACGAGCTGCCTGGGGAGACTGGGGGCTGGAGGCTTTTTGCTTCCCAATCCCTTACGGCTTTCCCTGCTGGTCGTCCTGCTTTCCAACTGCCCACTGACTCTGGCTCTCCCATTCCAGTCCGCTTGCATCCCCGCTGCGACCCGGGGCCTCTCTGTTCGGGTCTGCCCCAGCAGCCCCCGAGATCCATAGCAGTCTGAGGAAGCCCCATCCTGGAAGCTAAGCAGGGTTGGGCTTGCCAGGGGCTTCACTGGGGGACTACCTGAGGAGACTGGGGTCTGGAGGCTTTTGGCTTCCCACTCTCTTCCCGCTTTTACCTGATTGTTGCCCTGCTTCCCAACTGCCTCCTCTCTGGCTCCCCTTTTCCCACCCACCTTCATCCCTGAGGTGGCCTGTGGCCTCCCGCTGGGGGTCTGCCCTGGCAGCCCCTAGCGCCGTAGCAGCAGGAGGTCACCCCAGCCCAGAAGCTAAGCAGGGTCTGGCCTGGCTGGGGCTTGGATGGGGGAGCGCCTGTAGAGACAAGGGGCTGGAGGCTTTTGGCTTTTTGCTCCCTTCCCGCTTTCCCCCACTTGTTGCCCCACTTCCCAACTGCTCCCTGAGTCTCTGGCTCTCCCTTTTGCCCCGCCTGATCCCCCACCGTGGCCCGGTGCCTCCTTGTGCAGATCTACCCCGGCAGGCCAAAGTGCCATAGTCGCCTGAGGGCACCCCATCCCGGAAGCTAAGCAAGGTCAGTCCTGGCTATCGCTTGGATTGGGGACCACCTGGAGAGACCAGGGACTGGAAGCTTTTGGCTTCCTGCTCCTTTCCTGCAATCCCTCACTTCCTAATTGCCTCCTGAATTCCATGGCTCCCCCTTTTCCGCCCACCTGCACCCTTGTCACATCCGGGGCCTCCCTGTGGGGTTTTGCCCCAGCAGCCCCTGGTGCCATAGCAGCCTGAGGGCGCCCCAGCCTTGAAGCTAAGCAGGGTCAAGACTGGCCGGGGCTAGTATAAGGGATTGTCAGGGGAGACCGGGGCCTTGGGGCTTTTGGCTTCCTGCTCCCTTCCTGCTTTTCCTCACTTGTCGACCCACTTCCCAACTGTCTTCTGACACTCTGGCTCCCCCTTTCCTACTCACCTGTGCCTCCGCGGTGGCCCTGGGCCTCCCCTTGGGGATCCACCCCAACAGCCCCCGGCACCATAGTAACCTGAAGGCATCCTACCCCGAAAGCTACCCGGGTCGGGTCTGGCTGGGGCTTGGAAGGTGAACTGCTTGGAGAGACCAGGGGCTGAAGGCTTTTGGCTTTCTGCTCCCTTCCCGCTTTCTCCCACTTGTCAGCCAGTTTCTCAACTGCCGCCTGATTCTCTGGCTCCCCCCTTCCCGTTAGCCTGTGCCACCGCCACTGCCTGGGACCTCCTTGTTAGGTTTTGTCCTGGCAGCCCCTGGCACCATAGCAGCCTGAGGGCGCCCCAGCGTGGAAGCTAAGCAGGGTCAGGCCTGGCTGTGGCTTGGATGGGGAACCACCTGGAGAGACTGGGGGCTTGAAGCTTTTGGTTTCTTGCTCCCTTCTTGCTCTTTCCCACTTGTCATCCCACTTCCCAACCACCCCCTGACTCTCTGGCTTCCTCTTTGCCACCAACCTGTACCACCAAGGGGACCCGAGGCCACCACATGCAGGTCCACCCTGGCAGCCCCCAGTGCCATAGCAGCCTGAGGGCACCCCAGCCTGGAAGCTAAACAGGGTCTGGCCTGGCTGGGGCTTGGAATGGGGACTACCTGGGGAGACCGAGGGCTGGAGGCTTTTGGCTTCCCAACCCCTTCCCACTTTCCCCCACTTGTCTTCCCCCCCTTCCCAACCACCTCCGGACTCTCTGGCTCCTTTCTCGACTGCCTATGCCTCCCATTGCGGCCCGGGGCCTTCCTGTGGGAGTCCACCCTGGAAGCCTCTGACACCATAGCAGCCTGAGGGTGCCCACCTTGGAAGCTAAGCAGGGTTGGGCCTGCCTGGAGCTTGGGCGGGGGAACCACCTGGGGAGACAGGCGGCTGGAAGCTTTTGGCTTCCCACTCCCTTCCCTCTTTCCTTCTCTCGTGGCTCCACTCCCCAACCACCCCCTGACTTTCTGGCTCTCCCTTTTCCACTTGCCTGTGCCCCTGCTGGGGCCCAGGGCCTTTCTGTGGGGGTCTGCTGCAACAGCCCCTGGTGCCAAAGCAGCCTGAAGGCGCCCCAGCCCAGAAGCAAAGCAGGGTCAGGCCTGGCTGGGGTTTGAATGGGTTACTGAATGGAAAGTATGAAGGCTGGAGGCTTTTGGCTTCCTGTTCCCTTCCTGCTTTCCCCCCGCTTGTCAGCCCACTTCCCAACTGCCCCGTGACTCTCTGGATCCTTTTTTTCCCACCCGTCTGGGCCTCCAACATGGCCCAGGACCTCCCAGTGGTGGTCCCCCTTGGCAGGCACTGGTGCCAATGGAGCCTGAGGATATCCCAGACTGAAAGCTAAGCAAGGTTGGGTCTGGCTGGGGCTTGGATGGGGGACCACCTGGGAAGACTGGGAGCTGGAGGCTTTTGGCTTCCTGCTGCCTTCCTGCTTTCCCCCACTTCTCAGCCCCCTTCTCAACAGCCCCCTCTCTGGCTGCCCCTTTCTTGCTTACCTGCACCCCCACCGTGGCCCGGTGCCTCCCCGTGGGTGTCCACCTCGGCAGCTTCCCAACTGCCACCTGACTCTCTGGCTCCCCATTTCCCGCCTACCTGCATCCCCGTTGAGACCTGGGGATTCCACCTAGGGGTCTGTTCCAGCAGCCATCAGTGCCATAGCAGACTGAGGGCACCCCATACCGGAAGCTAAGCAGGATGGGACCTGTCTGGTTCTTGGATGGGGCACAACCTTAGGAGACCAATGGCTGAAGGTGTTTGGATTCCTACTCCCTTCCTGCTTTTCCTCACATGTTGGCCCACTTCCAAACCATCCCCTGACTCTCTGGCTTCCTCTTTCCTGCCTACCTGTGCCACTGCCATGGCCCAGTGCCCCCCAGTGTGGGTCCCCCATGGCAGTCCCTGGCACCATAGCAGCCTCTGGGCGTCCAAGTACAAAAGATAAACAGGGTTAAGCCTGGCTGGGGCTTGGATGGGATACCACCTGGGAAGATCTGGGGTTTCAGGTTTTTGGCTTCCATTCCTTTTCACTTTTTCCTGCTTGTCGCCCTCTTCCTAACTGCCCCCTGACTCTCTGGCTTTCCCTTTTTTCCCATTTCCAGCTCACCTGCACCCCTGCTGTGGAAGAAAACCTACCTATAGGGGTACTCCCTGGCAGCCCATGAAGCCATAGTAGCCTGAAAGTGCTCAAGCCCAGAAAACAATAGTTACTTCTGTGAGATGAATGGAAACTATGTTCCAATGGGATCCAAAATGTCCCTTCAAAAATTCTACAAAAAGACTGCTTCCAATCTGCTTAATCAGAACAAAGGTTTAACTCCATGAGATGCATCCAAACATTGCAAAGCATTTTCACATATAGCTTTTTTCTAGTTTTTATCACGGGATATTCATTTTTTCACTATAGCCCCAATTAGCTCCAAAATGTCCATTCATAGATTTTACAAAAACAGTGTTTCTAACATGCTGAATGAAAACAAAGGTTTAACTCTGTGATATGAATCCACACATTGGAAAGTGTTTTCACAGATAGTTTGTTTCTAGGTTTTATCATGGAATATTCAGTTTTTCACTATAGGTTTCAATTAGCTCCAAAACATCCATTCGTAGATGCTACAAAAAGAGTGTTTCCAACCTGCTGAATCAAAACAAAGGTTTAATTCTGAGATAAATCCACACATCACAAAGCGGTTTCACAGATACCTTGTTTCTAGTTTCTATCGTGGAATGTTTGGTTTTCTTACTATGGGCCTCAATGGGCTCTGAAAGTTCCCTTAGATATTACAAAAAGATTGTTTACAACCTGCTGAATCAAAGCAATGTTTTAACTCTGTGAGAGAAATCCAAATGTCACAAAACATTGTTAGAGGTAGCTTGCTTCTAGTTTTCATCACTAGATAATCAGTTTCTTAATATAGGCCTCAATGAGCTCAGAAATGTCCCTTTGTAGATTCTACAAGAAGACAGTTTCCAACCTGCTTAATCAGAACAAAGGTTTACCTCTATGAGATGAATCCACACATTGCAGAGAATTTTAACAGATAGCTTGTTTCTGGAGTTTACTGCAGAATATTTGGTTTTCCACTATAGGCTTCAATGAGCTCAAAAATCGCCCTTCGTAGATTCACAAGAAGAGTGTTTCCAACCTGCTGAATCAAAACAAAGTTTTAACTCTGCGAGATGAATCAACATATCACAAAGTATTTTCAAGGATATCTTCTTTCTAGGTTTCATTATGAGATATTCCCTTTTTAACTATGTGTTTCAATGGGCTTCAGAATGTCCCCTTGTAGTTTGTTCAAAAAGAGTGTTTCCAACCTTCTGAATAAAAAGAAAAGTTTAACTCTGTGAGATGAAACCACATTTGAAGAGCATTTTGACAGATTGCTTGTTTCTAGGTTGTATCATGAGATATTTGTTTCTTCACTATATTTTCCAAGGGGCTCTGAAATGTCCCCTTGTAGATTCTACAAGAAGAGTGCTCCAACCTGCTGAATCAAAACATATGTTTAACTCTGTGAGGTGAATCCACACATCACAAAGCATTTTCACAGATAGCCTACTTCTAGTTTTTATTGTGGGATATTCAGTTTTTCACTACAGGCCTAAATGGGCTTTCAAATATTCCTTTGTAGATTCTATAAAATGAGTGTCTCCAACCTGTGGTATCAAAACAAATGTTTATCTCCGTGAGATTAATTCACACTTCACAATGCATTGTTTCTAGCTTTTTGTTGTTGTTGTTGGATATTCCTTTTTACACCATATGTTTCAATGGGCTATGAAATATCCATTCATAAAGAGTACAAAAAAAGTGTCTCCAACCTGCTGAATCAAAACAAAGGTTTAACCCTGTAAGATAAAATGACACATTGCAAAGCATTTTCACAGATAGCTTGTTTTTAGTTTTTATCATGGGACTTTTGGTTTGTTACTCTAGGCTTCCAAGGGCTCATGTCCCTTCATAGATTCTGCAGAGTGTTTTCAATGTGCTGAATCAAAACAACAGTTTTAGTCTGTGAGATGAATCCAAACATTGAAAAGCATTCTGAAAGACACCTTGTTTGCAGTTTTTATCACAGGATATTCAGTTTTCCAATATAGGCAGCTCTGAGATGTCCCATCTTGGATTCTACAATTAGAGTCTGTGCAACTGCTGAATCAAAAGAAAGGTTTAATTCTGTGACTTGAATCCACACATCACAAAGCATCATCACAGATAGCTTGCTACTAGTTTTTATTGTAAGATACTCGGTTTTTCACTATAGATTTAAATGGACTCTGAAACGTGCCTTTGTAGATTCTACAAAAAGAGCATTTCTAACCTCCTGAATCAAAACAACAGTTTAACTCTATTAGATGAATCCACACATTGCAAAGCATTTTCACGGATAGCTTGTTTCTAGTTTGTATAACGGGATATTCAGTTTTTAAATATAGGCCTCAATGGGCTCTTAAATGTCACTTCGTACATATCACAGAGTGCTTCCAACCCTGCTGAATAAAAATAAATGTTTATCTCTGTGAGCTGAATCAACACATTGCAAAACATTATCATGGATATCTAGTTTCTAATTTTTATCAAGAGATATTCAGTTTTTTACTATAGGCATCAATGGTCTCTGAAATGTCCCTTCATCGATTCTACAAAAAAAGTGTTTCCAAACTCCTGAATCAAAAAAAAAAAGGTTTAACTCTATGAGATGAATCCACACATTACAATGCACTTTCACAGATAGTTTGTTTCTAGTTTTTATTGTGGGATATTGGGTTTTTCACTATAAGCCTCAATGGGCCCTGAAATGTTCACTCGTAGATTCTATTAAAAAAAAAAAAAAAAGGGTTTCCAACCTGCTGAATCCAATCTAAGGTTTAACTCTGTGAAATGAATCCACACATCACAAAGAATTTTCAGATAGCTTGTTTCTAGTTTTTATTGCAGAATATTTAGTTTTTCACTGTAGGCCTCTATGGGCTCCAAAATATCCCTTCGTAGATTCTACAAAAAAAGTGTTTCCAAACTGCTGAATCAAAACAAAGTTTTAACTCTATGACATGAATCCACACACTGCAAAGCATTTTCACAGATAGTTCGTTTCTAGTTTTTATCATGGAATATTACGTTTTTCACTATACGCCTCAATGGGATCCAAAATGTCCCTTTGTATATTCTACAAAAAGAGTGTTTCCAATTTTCTGAATCAAAATAAAGGTTTAACTCTGTAAGATGAATCCACACATCGCAAAGCATTTTCACAGATAGCTTTTTTTCAGGTTTTTATTTCAGGATATTCATTTTTTTTCTGTGTGCCTCCATGGGCTCTGAAATATCCCTTCATGGAGTCTACAAAAGGAGTGTTTTAAACCTGCTGAATCAAAACAAAGTTTAACTCTGTGAGATTAATCCACACATTACAAAGAATCTTAACAGATTAGTTGTTTCTAGTTCATCGCAGAGTATTCGGTTTTTCAGTATAGCCATCAAAGGTCTCTGAAATGTCCCTTTGTAGATTCTACAAAAAGTGTTTCCAACCTGCTGAATCAAAACAAAAGTTTAACTGTATGAGATGAATCCACACATCACAAAGCATTTTCACAGATAGTTTGTTTCTAATTTTTATCACGGGACATTAAGTTTTTCACTATATGCCTCAATGGGCTCTGAAATGTCCCTTTGTAGATTCCAGAAAAACAGTGTTTCAAATTTTCTGAATTAAAACAAAGGTTAAACTCTGTGAGACAAATCCACACATCACAAATCATTTTCACAGATAACATTTTTCTAGTTTACATCGCAGGATATTTGATTTTTTTCTGTTTGCTTCCATGGTCTCTGGAATGTCCCTTCATAGATTCTACAAAAAAGAGTGTTTTAAACCTGCTGAATCAAAACAAAGGTGTAGCTCTGTGACATTATACCATACATCACTAAGAATTTTAACAGATAAGTTGTTTCTAGTTTTCCTCACAGTATATTCAGTTTTTCACTATAGCCATCAAAGGTCTCTGAAATGTCCCTTCATAATTCTACAAAAAGTGTTTCCAAACTGCTGAATCAAAACAATGGTTTAACTATATGAGATGAATCCACAAATCATAAAGCATTTTAACAGATAGCTTGTTTCTAATTTTTATCATGGGATATTCAGTTTCTCACTATAAGCCTCAATGGGATTTGAAGTGTCCCTTCATAGATTCTACAAAAAGAGGGTTTCCAATCTGCTGAATCAGAACCAATATTTAATTCTGTGGGATGAATCCACACATCACAAAGCATTTTCACAGATAGGTTGTTTCTAGTTTTTATCACGGGATATTTGGTTTTTAACTGTCAAACCCAAGGGTTTTGAAATGTCCTTTTGTAGATTCTACAAGAAGAGTGTTTCCAACCTTTTGAATCAAAACAAAGGCTTAGCTCTGGGAATTGAATGCACACAATTCACAGCATTTTAACAAATAGTTTCTTTCTAGTTTTTATCATGGGATATTTCGTTTTTCAGCATAGGCCTCAATGGTCTCTGAAATGTCCCTTTATGTATTCTCCAAAAAGAATTATGTATTTCCAAACTGCTTGATGAAAACAAAGTTTTACCTCTGCAAGATGAATCCACACATCACAAAGCATTTTCACAGATAGGTTGTTTTTAGTTTTTATCAGAAGATATTCCCTTTTTCACTACAGACCTCCATTGGCTCCGAAATGTCTTTACGTAGATTCTACAAAAAGAGTATTTCCAATCCACTGAACCACAGCAAAAGTTTAATTCGGTGAGATGAATACAAACATCACAAAGCATTTTCAAAGATAGCTTGTTTCCAGTTTTTATTGCAGGATAATTGGATTTTCAATATAGGCCTCTATGGGCTCTGAAATGTCCCTTCATAGATTTCACAAAAAGAGCACTTCCAACCTGCTGAATGAAAATAATCATTTAACTCTGTGAGATGAATCGAGACATCACAAAGCACTTTCACAGAAACCTTATTTCTAATTTTTATTGCAGGATATTAAGTTTTTCACTATAAGCCTCAATGGGCTTTGAAATGCCCCTTTGTAGATTCTACAAAAATAGTATTTCCAAACTGCTAAATCAAAACTAAGGTTTAATTCAGTGAGATGAATACATACATCACAAAGCATTTTCACAGATAGCTTGTTTCTAGTATTTATTGTGGGATGTTTGGATTTTCACTCTAGGCCTCAATGGGCTCTACAATGTTCCTTCATAGATTGTACACAGAGAGTGTTTCCAACCTACTGAATAAAAAGAAAGGTTTAACTCTGTGAGATGAATCCACACAGCGCAAAGCATTTTCACAGATATCTTGTTTCTAGTGATTATCATGGTGTATTCAGTTTTACACCATCAGCTTCAATGGGCTCCAAAATGTCCTTTCATAGATTTTACAAGAAGAGTTTTTCCAACTGGCTGAAGCAAAATAAAATTTGAACTCTGCTGATGAAACCACACATTGCAATGTATTTTCACACATAGCTTTTTTCTCGTTTTTAAGGTGTGATATTTTATTTTTCACTATTGGCCTCAATGTGCTCCCAAATGTCCCTTTGTAAATTCTACAAAAGCAGTGTTTGCAACCTGCTGAATGAAAATCAATATTGAACACTGTGCAATGAATCCACACATTGAAAAGCATTTTCACAGATAGCTTGTTTCTAGTTTTTCAACACGTGATATTCGATTTTTCACTACTGGCCTCAATCAGCTCTGAAATATCCCTTTGCAGATTTTATATAAAGAGTCTTTCCAATAGGGTGAATCAAAACCAACGTTTAGCTCTGTGTGATAAATGCATGCATCCCAAAGCATTTTCAAAGATAGCTTCTTTCTAGTTTTTATCATGAGATATTCTGTTTTTCACTATATGCCTCAAGGGGCTATGAAGTCTTCCTTTGTAGATTCTATAAAAAGATGGTTTCAAACCTGCTGAATCAAAACCTGCTAAATTTAACTCAGTGAGATGAATCCTTACATAACAAAGCAGTTTTATGGATAACGTGTTTGTAGTTTTTATCATGGGATATTTGGTTTTTCTCTATAGGTGTCAATGTGCTCTGAAATGTCCCTTTGCAGATTTTACAAAAACAGTATTTTTATTATGTTGCATAAAAAAACATGTTTAACTCTGTGAGATGAATTCACAGATCACAAAGCATTTTCACAGATAGCTTCTTTCCAGTTTTTATTGCAGGATATTCATTTTTTCTCAAAATGTATAAATGTGCTCTGAAATGTCCCTTTGTAGATTTTACAAAAATAGTATTTTCATTCTACTGAAACAAAACAAAGGTTTCACTCTGTGATATGAATCTACATATTGCTAAGCACTTTCACAGATAGTATGTTTCTAGTTTTTATCATGGAATATTTGGTTTTACAATATAGCTTGCAATGGTTTCAAAAATATCCCTTCATAGATTCCACACAAAGAGTGCTTCTAATCTGCTAAATGAAAATAAGTATTTAACTCTGGGAGATGAATCGACACATTGCAAAGCATTTTCACAGATAGCTTGCTTCTAATTTTTATTGCAGAATATTCGATTTTTCACTACTGGCCACAATGGGCTTAAAATATTCCTTCGTAGATTCTACAAAAAGAGTATTTCCAACATCCTGAATTTAAAAAAAGTTTAGCTCTGCCAATTGAATTCAAACATCACAAAGAAATTTTATAAATAGCTTGTTTCTAGTTTTAAAATGGGAAATTTGGTTTTTCACTATAGGACTCAATGGGGTCCAAAATCTCTTTTCATATATTCTAAAAAAAAAGTGTTTCCAACTTGCTGAATCAAAATAAAGGTTTAACTCTATGTGATGAATCTACACATCACAAAGGCTTTTCACAGATAGGTTGTTTCTAGTATTTATCAGGGATATTCAGTTTTTCACTATAGGCTTCATTAGGCTCTGAAACGTCACTTTGTAGATTCTACAAAAAGACTGTTTTTACCCTGCTGAAACAAAATAAAGGTTTAACTTCATGAGATGAATCCACACATGGCAAAGCATTTTCACAGATAGCTTGTTTCTAGTTTTTATCGTGGGTTTTTTGGTTTTTCACTATTGGCCTCAATTGGCTCTGAAAAGTCCCTTAGTAAATTCTTCAAAAAGAGTGTTTCCATCCTGCTGAATCAAAAGAGAGCTTTAACTTTGTGGGATGAATCCACACATCACGAAGCATTTTCACAGATAGCTTTTACCTAGTTTTTATCATGAGACATTTGGTTTTTCACTATTGGCTTCATTAGGCTCTTAAATGTCACCTCATAGATTTTACAAACAGAGTTTTCCCCTCTTGCTGCATCAAAAAAAAAAAAAAAAGGTTTAACTCTGTGAGATGAATTCACAGATCACAAAGCATTTTCACACACAGCTTCTTTCTAGTTGTAATAGTGGAATATTCAGTTTTTCCCTACAGGCCTCATTGGGCTCCAAAATGTCCCTTCGCAGATTCTAAAAGAAGTGTGATTCCAGTCTGCTGAAACAAAACAAAGGCTTAACTCTGTGAGATGAATCCACACATCGAAAAGCATTTTCACAGATAGCTTGTTTCTAGTTTTTATGTGAGATATTTTGTTTTTAATTATAGACATCAATGGGCTCAGAAATGTCCTTACGTAGATTCAACAAGATTGTTTTCATCCTGCTGGATCAAAACAAAGGTTTAGCTGTGCAAATTGAGTCCACACATCACAAAGCATTTTGTCTAATAGGTTGTTTCTAGTTTTTATTATGGGATATTTGGTTTTTCACTACAGGACTCAAGGGGTCCAAAATGTCTTTTCGTATATCCTACAAATAGAGTGTTTCCAACTTGCTGAATAACAATAATGCTTTAACTCTCTGATGAATCTATACATCACAAGGTGTTTTCACATGTATCTTATTTCTAGTTTTTATCATTGGATATTCAGTTTTTCACTATAGGCTTCATTTGGCTGTGAAATGTTACCTTGTAGATTCTACAAAAAGTGTTTTTAATCTGCTGTACCAAAACAAAGTTTTAACAGTGTGAGATAAATCCACACATCATAAACCATTTTTGAAGATCGTTTGTTTCTAGTTTTTATCACACAGTTATTCAGTTATTCACTATAGGCCTCAATTGACCCTTTTGTAGATTCTTCATAAAAAGTGTTTTCATCCTGCTGAATCAAAACAATGGTTTAACTCTATGAGGTGAATCCACACATCACAAAGTATTTTCACAGATAACTTGTTTCTAGGTTTTATCATGGAATATTTGGTCCCTACATAGTTTTCATAAAAATAGTAATTCCAACCAGATGAATGAAAATAAACATTTAACTCTTTTAGATAAATCTACATTTTGCAAAACATCTTCATAGATAGCTTGCTTCTAGTTTTTTTCACAGGATATTGAGTTGTTCACTATAGGCTTCAATGTGCTCTGAAATATACATTTGTAGATTCTACAAAAAGAGGATTTCCAACCTGGTGAATCAAAACTAAAATTTTACTCCATGAGATGAAAACACATATGACAAAGCATTCTCAGAGACAGCTTGTTTGTTGTTTATATCGCAGGCTATTTGGTTTTTCACTGTAGGCCTCAAGGGGTTCCAAAGTGTCCCTTTGTAGATTCTACAAAAAGAGGGTTTCCACCCTGCTGAATAAAAACCAAGGTGTGACTTTATTAGATGAATCCACACATCACAAAGCATTTTCACAGATAGATTGTTTCTATTTTTTGTCATGGGTTATTCGATTTTTCACTATTGGACTCAATGGGCTCCAAAATATTTCTTTGTAGATTCTACAAAAAGAGCGTTTTTAACCTGCTGAATAGAAACAAATATTTAACTCTGTGAGATGAATGCACACATCCAAACCATTTTGAGAGACAGTTTGTTTCTAGTTTTTGTTGCAGGATATTCAATTTTCACTATAGCCCTTAATGGGCTCTGAGTTGCTCCTTCATATATTCTACAGAAAGAGGGTTTCCACCCTGCTGAATAAAAAGCAAAGACTGGGCACAGTGGCTCATGCCTGTAATCCCAGCATTTTGGGAGGCTGAGGTGGGCAGATCACCTGAAGTCAGGAGTTTGAGACCAGTCTGGCCAACATGGTGAAACACCATCTCCACTTAAAATACAAAAATTAGTAGGGCGTGGTGTCAGACACCTGTAATCCCAGCTACTCAGGAGGCTGAGGCAGGATAATTGCTTGAACTCAGGAGGTGGAGGTTGCAGCAAGCTGACATTGTGCCATTGCACTCCAGCCTGAAGGACAAGAGTAAGGCTTCATCTGGAAAAAAAAAAATGATTTGACTTTATAAAATGAATCCACAGATTGCAAAGCATTTTTACAGATAGATTGTTTCTAGTTTTTATGGCTGGTTATTCAGTTGTTCACTACAAGCCTCAAAGAGATATGAAATGTCTCTTCATAGATTATTAAACAAGAAGGATTCTAACCTGCTGAATGAAAGCCAAGGTTTAACTCTGAAATGAATCCACAGATCAAAAAGCATTTTCACAGATAGCTCGTTTCTAGTTTTTAGTGTGGTATATTTGGGTTTTCACTATAGGTCTCAATGGACTCCAAAATGTCCCATTGTGGATTCTACAAAAAGAGCGATTCCAATTTTCTGAATATAAACTAAGGTTTAACTCTGTCAGATGAATGCACACATCACAAAGCATTTTCACAAATAGGTTGTTTCTAGTTTTTATTGTGGGATATTCAGTTTTTCACTGTCAGTCTCAATAAGCTTTGAAATGTCCCTTCATAGATTCTACAAAAAAAGTATTTACAACCTGCTAAATCAAACAAAAGTTTAGTTCTGCAAATTGAATACACACATAGTGAAGCATTTTGAGAAATAGCTTGTTTCTAGTTTTTATCACAGTATATTTTGTTTCTCGCTATGTGTTTCAAAGAGCTTCGAAATGTCCCTTCATATATTCTACAAAAAGAGTGTTTCCAACTTGCTGAATCAAAATAAAAGTTTAAATCTGTGTGATGAATTTACATATCATGAAGCATTTTCACAGATAGCTTGTTTCTAGTTTTAATCATGGGATATTCTGTTTTTCACTATAGGCCTCAATGGGCTTCACAGTGGCCCTTTGTAAATTCTACAAAAAGAGTGTTTCCAACTTGCTGAATCGAAGCAAAAGTTTACTTCTGTGAGATGAATGCACAAATCACAAAGCAGTTTAACAGATAGCTTGTTTCCAGTTTTTATCACGGAATATTCAGTTTTTCACTGTTGGCCTCAATAAGCTCTGAAATGTCCCTTCATAGATTATACAAAAACAGTGTTTCCAACATGCTGAACCTAAACAGAGGTTTGGCTCAGTGAAATGAATCCACACATTGCAAAGCATTTTCAAAGATAGCTTGTTTATAGTGTTTATCAGGAAATATTTGTTTTTTTTTTTTTTTCACTATAGGCCACAATGGGCTCCAAATGTCCCTTCGTAGATTCTACAAAAAGAGTGTTTCTAACCTGCTGAATCAAAACAAAGGCTTCACTCTGTGAGATGAATTCACAAATCACAATGCATTTTTGCACATAGCTTGTTCCTAGTTTTTTATCGCAGGATATTTGTTTTTTTCCTACAGGCCTCAATGTGCTCCAAAATGTCCCTTCATAGGTTCTACAAAAAGATGGTTTGCAACCTGCTGAATCAAAACTAAGGTTTAATTCCATGAAATGAATCCACACATCACAAAGCATTTTCGTAGCTAGCTTGTTTCTTCTTTTTATCGTGGGATATTCTGTTTTTCATTATGAGCCTCAAGGGGCATTGAAATGTCCTTTTGTAGACACTTAAAAATGTGTTTCCAACCTCTTGAACCAAAACTAAAATTTAACACTTTGAGGTGAGTCCACACATCACAAAGTGCTTTCACAGATAGCTTGTCTTTTGTTTTTATCATGTGATACTCAGTTTTTTTACTATAGGCCTCAATGGGATACACAATGTCTTTTTGTAGATTTTATAAATTTAGAGTTTTCTACCTGCTGAATGAAAACAGAGGTATGACTTCATTAGATTAATCCACACATTTCAAAGGATTTTCATAGATAGCTAGTTTCTAGTTTTTATTGTGGGATAATCTGATTTTCACTGTATGCTCAACATCTTCAAAATGTCACTATAGGCCTCAATGGGCTTCACAATGGCCCTTTGTAAATTCTACAAAAAGAGTATTTTCAGCCTGCTGAATCAAGGCAAAGCTTTACTCTATGAGATGAATCCACACATCACAAAGCATTTTCACAGATAGCTTTTTTCTAGTTTTTGTCATGGGATATTCAGTTTTTCATTATAGGACTCAATGGGCTGTAAAATGTCCCTTTGTAGATTCTACAATAAGAGTTTTTCCAACCTGATGAATCAAAACCAAGTTTTCACTTTGTGAGAAGAATCCACTCATCATATAGCATTTTCACTGATAACCACTTTCCAGTATTTATCATGTGATATTTGGTTTTTCACTATCTGCCTTGATGGGCTCGAAAATGTTTTTTAATAGATTTTACCAAAAGAGTGGTTCAAACCTGCTAAATCAAAACACAGGTTGAACTCTGTAAGATGAATCCACACATTACAAAGCATTTTCACAGACAGCTTGTTCCTAGCTTTATCGCGGGACATTCCGTTTTTAACTATAGGCCTCAATGGGCTCCAAAATTTCCCTCCATAGATTCTACAAATTAGTGTTTACAACCTACTGAACCAAAACAAATGTTTAACTCTGTGAGATGAATTTACAGATTGCAAAGCATTTTCACAGATGGCTTGTTTATAGTTTTTATTGTGAGATATTCAGTTTTTCCTTGTAGTCCTCTATAGGCTCCCAAATGTCTTTTTGTAGATTCTACAAGAAGAGGGTTTCCAACTTGTTGAATCCAAATAGAGGTTAAATTTATGAGGTGAATCCACAGATTACATTTTTTTTTCACAGATATCTTGTTTCTGGTTTTTATTGTGGGCTATTCGGTTTTTTTAAAATTACACTTTAAGTTCTAGGGTACATGTACACAATGTACAGGTTTGTTACATATGGCTTCAATAGGCTTTGGAATGTTACTTTATGTATTCTACAAAAGGAGTGCTTCCAACCTGCTGAATCAAAACAAAGATTTATGTCTGCAAATCAAATCCACACATTGCAAAGCATTTTGACAAATAGCTTGTTTCCAGTTTTTAGCACAGGATATTCATTTTTTCACTATAGGCCTTAATGATCTCCAAAATATAACTTCGTAGTTTCTACAAAGAGAGGTTTTCCAACCTGCTGAATAAAAATAAATGTTTAACTCTGTGAGATCACAAAGCATTTTGGCAGATAGCTTGTTTCTAGTTTTTATCACAGCATATTCAGTTTTTCCCCATAAGCCTCAACAGGCTTCAAAATGTCCCTTTGTAAATTCTACAAGAAAAGTGTTTCTAATCTGCTCAATCAAAACTAAGGTTTAACTCAGTGAGATGAATCCACACATCACAAAGCATTTTCACAGAAAGATTGTTTCTAGTTTTTATTGTGGGATATTCATTTTTTCACTGTTGGCCAGAATGGGCTCCAAAATGTCCCTTCACAGAAGATACAAAAAGTGTTTCCAACTTGCTGAACCAAAGCAAATGTTTAACTCTGTGATATGAATAGACACATCCTAAAACGTTTTCCTGAATAGCTTGTTTCTAGTTTTTATCATGGGACATTTGTTATTTTTCTCTTGTTGCCAATGTGCTCTGAAATGTCCCTTTGTAGATTTTACAAAAAGTGTTTACATCCTGCAGAATCAAAAGAAAGGTTTAACTCTATGAGATGAATCCACAGATTGCAAAGCATTTTCACAGAGGGTGTGTTTAGTTTTTTTGTGGGATATTTCTTTTTTCACAATAGGCCTCAATGTGCGTGAAATGTCCCTTTGTAGATTCTATAAAAGTAGTGTTTTCAACCTACTGAATCAAAAGAAAGCTATAACTCTGTGAGATGAATCCACACATCACAAAGCAGTTTCAAAGATAGCTTCTTTCTAGTTTTTATCCTGGGATATTCAGAGTTTCACGGTAAGCCTCAGTGGGATCCAAAAAGTCCCATTGTAGATTCTACAAAAAAAGTGTTTCCAACCTGCTGAATCAAAAAAAAGTTTAGCAATGCAAATTGAATCCACACATCATGAAGCATTTTGAGAAATAGCTTGTTTCTAGTTTTTATCATGGGATATTTTCTCACTATAGGTTTTAAAGGGCTTCAAAATACCCTTTCATATATACTTCAAAAAGAGAATTTCCACCTTGCTGCATCAAAATAAAAGTTTAACTCTGTGTAATGAATTTACACATTGCAAAGCATTTTCACAGATAGCTTGTTTCTAGTTTTAATTGTGGGATATTCTTTTTTTCACTATAGGCCTCAAAGGACTTCAAAATGTCCCTTCGTAAATTCTACAAAAAGAATGTTTCAAACCTCGTGAATCAAAATAAATGTTTACTTCTGTGAGATGAATGTAACAAATCACATAGCATTTTCACTGATAGCTTATTTCTAGTTTTTATCACAGATAATTGGTTTTTTACTGTTGGTCTCAATGGGCTCCAAAATGTCACTTTGTAGAGTTTACAAAAAAAGTGTTTCCAACCAGCTGATCAGAAATGAAGGTTTAACTCCATGAGATAAGTCCACACATTAAAATGCACTTTCACAGATAGTTTTTTTTTACTGCGTTTATCGAGAAATATTTGTTTTTTCACTATAGGCCACAATGGGCTCTGAAATGTCCCTTCATAGGTTCTACAAAAAGAGTGTTTCTAACCTGCTTAAAGAAAGGGTTTAGTCTGTGAGATGAATTCACACATCGTAATGTATTTTCCCACATAGTTTGTTTATAGTTTTTATCGTGGGATATTCAGTTTTTTTTTACTACAGGTCTCAAGGGGCTCTGAAATGTCCTTTCATAGATTCTACAGAAAGATGGTTTCCAATCTGCTGAATCAAAACTAAGGTTTAACTCCGTGAGATGAACCCACGCATCATAAAGCATTTTCATAGATAGGTTATTTCTTCTTTTTATCATGGGATATTCAGGTTTTTACTAAAGCCTCAAAGGCCTTTGAAATGTCCTTTCATATATTCTACTAAAAGAGTGTTTCCAAACTCCTTAATCAAAATCAAAATTTAACAATTTGAGATGAGTCCACACATTGCAAAGCATTTTCACAGGTAGCTTGTTTCTTGTTTTTATCATGTGATATTTGTTTTATTTTACTATTGGCCTCAATGGGCTTTTGAATGTCCATTCATAGATTCTACAAATAGAGTGTTCCCAACCTGCTGAATCAAAACCAAGGTATGACTTTATTAGATGAATCCACACATCATAAAGCATTTTCACAGATAGCTAGTTTCTAGTTTTTATCCTGAGATATTTAGATTTCTGCTATAAGCTCAATGGGCTCCGAAATGTCCCTTCATAGATTCTACAATAAGAGGGTTACCATTCTGATGAATCAAAACCAAGACTTAACTTTTGAGATGAATCCACTCATCACATAGCATTTTCACAGATAATCTTTTTCTCATTTTGATTGCATGATATTTGGTTTTTCACTATTCACCTCAATGGGCTTTGAAATGTTTTTTCATAGATTCTACACAAAGAGTTGTCCCCCCAAAAAAGGTTGAACTCTCTCAAATGAATCAACACATTGCAAAGCATTTTCACAGCTAGTTTCTAGTTATTTTGCAGGACATTCAGTTTTTAACTATAGGCCTCAATGGGCTCCAAAATGTCCCTTCATAGATTCTACAAAAAGAGTATTTCCAGTCTGGTGAATCAAAATAAACGTTTAACTTTGTAAGATGAATCCACAGATTGCAAAGCATTTTCTCGTACAGCTTGCTTCTAGTTTTTATTGCAGGATATTCAGTTTTTCACTATAAGCCTCAATAGGCTTCCTAATGTCTCTTTGTAGATTCTACATGCAGAGGGTTTACAACCTGTTGGATCTAAATAAAGTTTATAGTTTTGAGATGAATCCACACATCAGAAAAGATTTTTACAGATAGCTTTTTTCTAGTTTTCAATCATGTGATATTCAGTTTTTCACTATTGGCTACAGTGGGCTTCAGAATGCCCCTTCATAGATCCTACAAAAAGGTATTTACAACCTGCTGAGTCAAAACAAGGGTTTAGGTCTGTGAATTGTATCCACACATTGCGAAGCATTTTGTCCAACAGCTTTTTTCTACTTTTGAGCATGGGGTACATTGTTTTCACTATAGGCCTCAATGGTCTTCAAAGTATAACTTTGTAGGTTCTCCAAAAAGAGGCTTTCCAACCTGCTGAATCAAAATAAATATTTGACTCTGTGAGATGAATCCACACATGACAAAGCGTTTTGACAGATAGCTTGTTTCTAGTTTTAATTGCAGCATATTCACTTTTTCCCTATAAGCCTCACTAGGCTTCAAAATATCCCTTCATAGATTCTACCAGAAAAGAGTTTCTAACCTGCTCAATCAAAACTAAGGTTTAACTCAGTGAGACGAATCCATCACATTGCAAAGCATTTGTCCCAAAATATTCATTTGTTCACTATCAGCCTGATAGGGCTCCAAAGTGTCCCTTGGCAAGTGTGACAAAAACTGTGTTTACAATGTGCTGAACCAAAGCAAATGTTTAGCTCTGTGAGATGAATCCACACATTGCAAAGAATTTTTTCCCAGATAGCTTGTTTCTGTTTTTTTTTTTTTATGGGATATGTTTTTTTTTATAGTTGTCAGTATGCTCTGAAATATCCCTTCGTAGATTTTCACAGAAAGAGTCTTTTCATCCTCTTGAATCAAAAGAAAGGGTTAACTCTGTGAGATGACTCCACAGATTGTTAAGCATTTTCACAGATAGCATTTTTCTAGTTTTTATCATGGGATATTAATTTTTTCACTATCTGCCTGAATGGGCTTTGAAATGTTCCTTCATAGATGCTATAAAAACTGTATTCCCCACTGGATGGACAAAAACAAAGTATTAATTCTGTGAGAGGAATCCACACATGGCAAAGCATTTTCACATATGGCTTGTTTCTAGTTTTTATCATGGTGTATTTGCTTTTTCACTATAGGGCTAAGTGCCCCAAAATGTTCTTTTGTAGATTTTACAAAAAGAGTGTTTTCATCCTGCTGAAACAAAACAAAGGTTTAATTCTGTGAGATGAATCCACAGATTTCAAAGCATTTTCACAGATGGTGTGTTTCTAGTTTTTATCACGGGATATGCGGTTTTACAATACAACATGCATTGGGTTCTGAAATGTACCTTTGTAGATTCCAAAAAAAGAGTGCTTCAAACCTGCTGAATAAAAATAAATGTTTAACTTTGTGAGATGAGTCGACACACCACAAAATATTTTCACAGATAGCTTGTATCTAATTTTTATCATGGGATATTCCATTTTTCACTATAGGCCTCAACAAGCTTTGAAATATCCCTTCATAGATTCTACAAAAAGAGTATTTTTGATCTGCTCAATCAAAAGTAAGGTTTAACTAAGTCCCTTTGTAAATTCTACAAAAAAAGTGTTTTGAACTGGCTGAATCAAAAGAAAGGTTTAACTCAGTGAGATAAAGCCACACCTTGCAAAGCATTTTCACAGATTTTTTTTTTTTAGTTTTTATTGCAGGATATTAGATTTTTCACTGTAGGCCTCAATAGGCTCCATAATGTCCCTTTGTAGATTCTAAAAGAAGAGTGTTGCCTATCAGCTGAATCAAAACAAAGGTTTAATTCTGTGAGATGAATCCACGCTTTGCAAAGAATTTTCACAGATACCTTGTTTATTATTTTTATTGTGGAGTATTTGGTTTTTAATTATGGGCATCAGTGGGCTTTGAAATGTTCCTTCATAGATCCTACCAAGAGAGTGTTTCCAACCTGCTGAATCAAAGAAAAAAGTTTAACTCTGTGAGATGAATCCACACATTGCAAAGCATTTTCATAGATAGTGTGTTTCCAGTTTTTATCAGTTTTTTACTATTGGCCTCAATGGGCTCTGAAATGTCCCTTTGTAGATTCTACAAAAAGAGGGTTTTCAATCTGCCAAATCGAAACAAAGGTTTAGCTCTGTGAATTGAATCCACACATTGCAAAGCATTTTCACAGATAGTCTGTTTTTTGTTTTTATCATGGGCTGTTCAATTTTTCACTATCGGCCTCAATTGGCTCCAAAATGTCCTTTCATAGATTCTACAAAAAAGATTTTTCCAACCTGCTGAACCAAAGCATAGTCTTAACTCTGTGAGATGAATCCACACATCACATAGAATTTTCACAGATAGCTTGTTTCTAGTTTTTATCACAATATATTGTTTTTCTCTATCAGCATTAATGAGTTTTGAAATGTCCCTTCATAGATTTTACAGAAAGAGTGTTTCCATCCTGCTGAATCAAAATAAAGATTTAACTCTGTGAGGTGAATACACACATCACAAAGCATCTTCACAGATAACTTGTTTCTAGTTTTTTGCAGGATATTCAATACCTTCATAGATTCCACAAAAGGAGAGCTTCCAACCTGCTGAATGAAAATAAATGTTTAACTCTTTGAGATGAATCTATACATTGCAAAGCATTTTTACAGATAGCTTGTTCCTGGTTTTTATGGCTGGATATTCGGTTTTTCACTATATGCCTCAATGAGCTCTGAAATATTCCTCCTAGATTCTCCAGAAAGAGGATTTCAAACCTGTTGAATCAAAACTAAGGTTTTACTCCGTGAGATGAATACACACATCACAAAGCATTTTCACAGATAGCCTGTTTCTTGTTTTTATTGTGAATATTCGGTTTTCATGATAGGCATCAATGGGCTCTGAAATGTTTTTTAGTAGATTCCACAAGAAGAGGGGTACCACCCTGCTGAATAATAACAATGGTTTGACTTTATGAGATGAACCCACACATCACAAAGCATTTTCACAGATAGCTTTTTCTAGATTTTATCATGGGATATTTAGTTTTTCACTATTTGTCTCAATGGGCTCTGAAATGTCTTTTTGTAGACTCTACAAAAAGAGTGTTTTCAACCTGCTGAATCAAAACAAAGGTTTAGCTCTTCTAATTGAATCCACACATCACAAAGCATTTTCACAGATAGCTTGTTTTTTTCTTTTTAATGCAGGATGTTCAGTTTTTCATTAGAGGCCTTAAAGGGCTCCGAGATGTCCCTTTGTGGATACTACAAAAAGACGGTTTACTCACTGTTGAATAAAAACAAAGGTTTGACTTTATGAGAAGAATTCACACATCACAAAACATTTTCACAGGTAGCTTGTTTCTAGTTTTTAACATGGGATATTCTATTTTGCACTATAAATCCGAAAGGGCTACGAAATGTCTCTTTTTAGACTACACACAAAGAGGGCTCCAAACTTGCTGAATGAAAGCCAAGGTTTAACACTGTGAGATGAATCCACACAATGCAAAACATTTTGAGAGATAGCTTGTTTCTAGTTTTTATTGTGGGATATTCGGCCTCAATGGGTTCTGAAATGTCATATCATATATTCTACTAAAAGAGTGTTGCTAACCTGCTGAACCAAAACAAAGTTTTAACTCTGTGAGAGAATCCATACATCCAGAATATTTTTAGATTGCTTGTTTGTAGTTTTTATCATGAGATATTCCATTTTTTAATATCAGCTTCAATGGGCTCCAAAATATCTCTTTGTAGATTCTACAAAAAAAGCGTTTCCAATCTGCTATATGAAAACAAAGGTTTAGCTCTGTGAATTGAATCCACACATCACAAGGCATTTTGAAAAACAGCTTGTTGCTAGTTTTTATCTCAGGATATGTGGTTTTTCACTATAGGACTCAATAGGATCTGAAATGTCTTTTGGTATACACTGCAACAAGACAATCTTCAATATGCTGAATAAAAATAAAGTTTTAACTCTTTGTGATGAATCAATACATCACAAAGCATTTACTAATATAGCTTGTTTCCAGTTTTCATCACAGGATATTCAGTTTTGATCTATAGGCACCAATGAAATCCTAAATGTCCCTTCATAGATTTTACAAAAAGAGTATTTGTATCCTGCTGAATTAAAACAAAGGGTTATCTGTGTGAGGTGAATCCACATATTGCAAGCGTTTCCACAGATATCTTGTTTATACTTTTTATGGCAGGATATGGGGTTCTTCCCTATAGGCCTCAAAGGGCTTTGAAATGTCCCTTGTAGATTCTACAAAAAGAATATTTTCAACCGTCTGACTCCAAACTAAAGTTTAACTCAGTGAGATAAATCCACACTGCACAAAGCATTTTCAAAGGCAATTTGTTTCTAGTTTTTATCAAGAAACATTTGGCTTTTCACTATAGGACTCAATGGGCTCCAAAATATCTTTTCATACATTCTACAAAAAGAGTGATTACAACCTGCTGAATCAAAATGGTACTTTAACTCTGTCAGATGAATCCACACTTTGCAAAGCATTTTCACAGAGAGTTTGTTTCTCATTGTTAAGACAGGATAATTTGTTTTATATTACAGGCCTCAATAGGCTTAAAAATGTGACTTTGTAGATTCTACAAGAAGAGTGTTTCCAACCTGCTGAATGAAAACTAAGGTTTAACTCAGTGAGATGAATCCACATATCACGCAGCATTTTCACAGATATTTTTTCTAGTTTTTATCATAGGATATTTATTTTTTCACCATTGGCCTGAATGGGCTTTGAAATTTCCCTTCATAGATGCTACAAAAGGTGTTTTCCAACCTGCTGAACTGAAGCAAAGGTTTACCTCTGTGAGATGAATCCACATATCACAAAATATTTTCAGAGACAGCTTGTTTTTAGTTTTTATCATGGGATATTCAGTTTTTCAGTATTGGCTTCAAGGGGCTTCAAAATGTTTCTCCATAGATTCTACAAAAAGAACGTTTTCAACTTGATGAATCAAAAAAAAGGTTTAGCTCTTTGAATTTTATCCACACATTGCAAAATATTTTGACAAACAGGTTGTTTCCAATACTTATTGTGGGATATTTGATTTTTCATTTTAGGTCTCAAAGGGTTCCAAAATGTCTTTTTGTATGTTCTACAATAAGAGTGTTTTGAAACTGCTGAATGAAAGCAAAGGTTTAACTCTGTGAGATGAATCCGCACATCACAAAGCATTTTCACAATTTTCACAGATAACTTGTTTCTAGAATTTATCATGGGATATTCCATTTTTCTCTACAGGCATCAATGGGCTCTGAAATGTCACTTTGTAGATTTAACAAAAAGAGTGCTTCCAACCTGCTGAATGAAAAGAAATGTTCAACTCTTTGAGATTGATTGACACATCATGAAGGATTTCTATTTTTTATTGTGGGATATTTGGTTGTTCTTTATCAGCCTCAACTGGCTCCGAAATGTCCCTGAATAGATTCTAAAAAAGGATTGTTTAAAACCTGCTGACTCAAGAGAGATTTTTTTACTTTGTGAGATAAATCTATGCATTACAAAGCATTTTCAGAGATTGCTTGTTTCTAGTTTTTATTGCGGGATATTCTATTTTTCACTATAAGCCTCAATGGACTCTGAAGTTCCCCTTTGTAGATTGTGCAAAAAGAGTCTTTTCAATCTGCTGAATATAAACAAATGTTGAAGTCTGTAAGATGAATCCACACATTGCAAAGCATTTTCACAGATAGCTTGTTTCCTGTTTTTATTGCAGAACATTCTGTTTTTCAGTTTTGCCCTCAAAATGCTCTGAAATGATTTTCATAGATTATACAAAAAGGGTGTTTCCACCCTGCTGAATCAGAACCAAGGTTTTCAAAGATAGTTTTTAGTTTTTATCACAGCAGAGTTGGATTTTTCACTATACACATCAAATGGCTTTGAAATGTTTCTTAGTAGATTCTACAAGAAGAGTGTTTCCAAATGGCTGATTTAAAAGAAAGTGTAACTGTGAGAAGAATCCACACAATGCAAAGTATTTTCAGAGATAGCATTTTTCTAGTTTCTAACACAAAACATTTGTTTTTTTACTATAGGCCTCAATGGACTTCGAATGTCCCTTCACAGATTCTAGAAAAATACTGTTTCCAAACTGCTGAATCAAAATAAAGTTTTAACTCTGTGAGATAAATCCACATATTAAAAAGCATTTTCACAGACAACTTGTTTCTAGTTTTATAATGGGATATTTGCTTATTCACTATAGGACTCAGTGAGTTCTAAAATATCACTTTGTAGATTCTATGAAAGAGCATTTCCAACCTGAAAAATCAAAAGAAAAATGTACCTCTGTGAGAAGAATTTGCACATTACAAAGCACTTTCACAGAGAGCTCTTTTCCAGTGTTTTCCTCATCAGCCTCAAAAGGTTCTGAGATGTCCCTTCCTACATTCTACAAAAGAAGTGTTTCCAACTTGCTGAATTAAAGGAAAGGTTTAACTCTTTGAGATGAATTCAGACATTACAACACGTTTTCACAGATAGCTTGTTTCTCCTTTTATTGCAGGATATTTAATTTTTCTCTATAGGCCTGAATAATCTCCAAAATGTCCCTTCATATGGATTCTATAAAAAGAGTATTTCCAATAAGCTGAATCAAAAGAAAGTTTTAACTCTCTGAGATAAATCCAATCGTAATATAACATTTTTACAGATGCCTTGTTTCAGGTTTTTATCATGGGATATTCAGTTTTTCACTATAAGCATCAATGGGCTCTGAATTGTTATTTCTTAGATTCTATGAAAAGGATGTTTTCAACCTACTGAATCAAAATAAAGTTTTAACTCTATTAGATTAATCCACACATTGCAGAGCATTTTCACAGATAACTTTTTTCTAGATTTTATCATGGAATATTCAGTTTTTCACTTTAGGCCACAATGGGTTCGGAAATGTCTGTCCAGATATTCTACAGGAAAACTGAGTATTCCGTGATAAAACCTAGAAACGTATATTCTAACCTGCTGAATCAAAACAAAGTTTTAGCTATTTGAGATGAATCCACACATCACAAAGCATTTTCATAGAAGGTTTGTTTCTAGTTTTTATCATGGAATATTCTGTTTTTTTTTTTGTTTTGTTTTGTTTTGTTTTGTTTTGTTTTGATGTAGTATCACTCTGTCACACATGCTGGAGTGCAGTGGCATGACCTCAGCTCACTGCAACCTCAGCCTCCCAGGTTCAAGTGATTCTCCTTCCTCAGCCTCCCAAGAAGCTGGGACTACAGGTGCATGCAAACACACCCAGTTAATTTTTGTACTTTTAGTAGAGATGAGGTTTCATCATGTTGGCTAGGATGATCTCGATTTGTCAACCTCATGATCCACCCACCTCAGCCTCCCTAAGTTCTGGAATTACCAGTGTGAGCCACGACACCCAGCCTCTGTTTTTAACAATAGGCTTCAAAGGGCTTCTAAATGTTTCTTCCTGGATTCTACAAAAACAGTGTTTCTAACCAGCTAGATCAAAATAAAGGTTTAAATTTGTGAGCTAAATCCACACACAGTGAAGCATTTTCACAAATAGCTTGTTTCTAGTTTTAATTGTGAAATATTCAGTTTTTCACTATAGGCCTCAAAGTGCTCCAAAATGTTTCTTTATAGATTCTACAAAAAGAGTGTTTAAAATTGGCTGGACCAAGAAAAGGTTTAACTTTCTGAGATAAATCCACGTATTGCAAAGTGTTTTCACAGATAGCTTCTTTCTAGTTTTTATCTGGGGATATTCGGTTTTTCACTATAGGCTTCTAAGGGCTTCAAAATGTCATTTTATAGATTATACAAAAAGAGATCTTCTAACTGGCTATATCAAAACAAAATTTTGACTCTGTCAGATGAATCCACACATCTCAAAGCGTTTGTAAAGACCGCTTGTATCTACTTTATATTGTGGGATTTTTGGTTTTTCACTGTAGGCCTCAATGGGTTTCAAAATGTTCCCTCATAGATTCTACAAAAAGAGTGATTTCCAGTGCCTGTTCATAAGAAAGGTTTAACTCTGTGAGATGAATCCACACATCACATAGCATTTTCATAGATTGCTTGTTTCTAGTTTTTATCATGGTATATTCTGTTTTCCACTATAGGCCTCAATGGTTTGTGAAATATTCCTTCGTAGATTCTACAAAAAGAGTCTTTCAATCCTGCTGAATCAAAACAAAGGTTTACCTCTGTGAGATGAATCCACACATCCCAAAGTGTTTTTATATATAGCTTGTTTCTAATTTTTATCATGGGATTTTTTGTTTTTCACTATAGGCCTTATTGTGCTCTAAAATGTCTTTTTGTATATTCCACAAAGAGTGTTTCCAACCGGCTGAATCAAAAGAAAGGTTTAATTCTGTGAGATGAATCCACACATTGAAAAGCTGTTTCACATATAGCTTGTTTCCAGTTTTGATCATGGGATATTTGTTTTTTGACTATAGGCTTCATTGGCCTCTGAAATATCTCTTCGTAGTTTCTAAAAAAAAAGCATTTCTAATCAGTTGAATCAAAGCAAGGATTTAACCCTTTGATATGAATCCACACATCACAAAGTGGTTTCACAGATAGCCTGTTTCCAGTTTTTATCACAGGGTATTCCGTTTTTCCCTATAGGCCTCAATGGGCTTTGAAATGTCACTTTGTAGATTCTACAAAAACAGTGTTTCCAACTTGCACACTCAAAAGAAACGTTTAATTCTTTGAGATGAATTCTCCCATTGCAAGGCATTTTCACAGATAGCTTGTTTCTAGTTCTTATTGTGGCATATTCTGTAATTCAATATAGGCCTCAAGGGGCTCTCAAATGTTCCTTGGTAGATTCTTCAAAAAGCATATTTCCAAATGGCTGCATCAAAAGAAAAGTTTAACTTTGTGGGATGAATTCATATAACCTAAAGCATCTTCACAGATGGCTTGTTTTTAGTTTTATCATGAAATATTCTTTTTTTTCACTATAGCTCTTAATCGGCTCCAAAATGTCCCTTTGTAGTTTCTACAAAAATAGTGTTCCCAATTGGTTGAATAAAAAGAAAATTTTAACTCTGTGAGATAAAACCACACATTACAAAGCATTTTTACAGATCACTTTCTTCTACTCTTATTACAGGATAGTCTGTATTTTGCTATAGGCCTCAATTGGCTCCAAAGTTTCCCTTCATAGATTCTACAAAAAAAAAAAAAGTATTTCCAACCAGTTTAATCAGAACAAAGGTTTAACTCTGTGAGATGGATCCAGACATCACACAGCAGTTTCACAGATAGCTTGTTTCTAGTACTTATTGTGGCATATTTGGTAATTCAATATAGGCCTCAAAGGGCTCTGAAATTTCCCTTGGTAGATACTTTTAAAAGTGTATTTACAACTGGCTGAACAAAAAAAGAAAAAAAAGGTTTAACTTTGTGAGATGAATCCACACATCACAAAGCATTTTCACAGACTGCTTGTTTCTTGTTTTTATCATGGAATATTCTGTTTTTCACTATAGGCCTCAAAGGGCTCAGAAACTTTCCTTCATATATTCTACAAAAAAAGTGTTTCCAAATGGCTGAATAAAAACAAATTTTTAACTCTGTAAGATGAATCTACACATCACAAAGCATGCTAACAAACTGCTTGTTTCTAGTTTTTTTTTTAGCATTTCTTTTTTTCTTTTTTTTATTATACTTTAAGTTCTAGGGTACATGTGCACAACGTGCAGGTTTGTTACATATGTATACATGTACCATGTTGGTGTGCTGCACCCATTAACTCATCATTTACATTAGGTATATCTCCTAATGCTTTCTCTCCCCCCTCCCCCCACCTCACGACAGGCCCCAGTGTGTGATGTTCCCCTTCCTGTGTCCATGTGTTCTCATTGTTGAATTCCCACCTATGAGTGAGAACATGTGGTGTTTGGTTTTTTGTTCTTGCGATAGTTTGCTGAGAATGATGGTCTCCAGCTTCATCCATGTCCCTACAAAAGACATGAACTCATCCTTTTTTATGGCTGCATAGTATTCCATGGTGTATATGTGCCACACTTTCTTAATCCAGTCTATCATTGTTGGACATTTGGGTTAGTTCCAAGTCCTTGCTATTGTGAATAGTGCCGCAATAAACATACATGTGCATGTGCCTTTATAGCAGCATGATTTATAATCCTCTGGGTATATACCCAGTAATGAGATCACAGGGTCAAATGGTATTTCTAGTTCTAGAGCCTTGATGAATTGCCACACTGTCTTCCACAATGGTTGAACTAGTTTACAGTCCCACCAACAGTGTAACAATATTCCTATTTCTGCACCTCCTCTCCAGCACCTGTTGTTTCCTGACTTGTTTCTAGTTTTTATTGCAGGATATTCAGTTTTCCCTACAGGCCTCAATGGCCTTTGAAATATCCCTTCATAGATTCTACAAAAAGAGAGGTCCCAACTGGCTGAATAACAAAAAGTTTTATTTATGTTAAATGAATTCACACATCACAAAGCATTTTTACAGATAGTTTCTTTCTAGTTTTTATTGCGGTATATTTGGATTTTCAAAATAGGCCCCAATGGACTCCAAAATGTCCCATTGTGGATTCTAAAAAAAGAGTGTTTCCAACTTGTTTAATCAAAAGAAAGTTTCATTCTTTGAGATGAATCCACACATTGCAACATGTTTTCACAGACAGCTTGTTTCTAATTTTTATCATGGGATATTCAGTCTTTCACTATGGACTTCAATGGGCTCCGCACTGTCCCCTTATAGATTCTACAAAAAGAGTGCTTCTCACTGGCTGAAATGAAAGAACAGTATAACTCTCTGAGATGAAAGCATGCATCATAAAGCATTTTCACAGATAGCTTGCTTCCAGCTTTTCTTGCGGGATATTTGGTTTTTCTCTATAGGCCTCAATGGCCTTTGAAATGTCCCTTCACACATTCTACAAAGAGAGTGTTTCCAACCAGCTGAAATAAAACAAATGTTTAATTCTGTGAGATGAATCCACACATTGCAAAGCACTTTCACAGACAAATTGTTTCTAGTTTTCATTGCAAGATGTTCATTTTTTTACTATAGGCCTCAATGGGCTTTAAAATGTCCCATCGTAGATTCTACAGAAAGAGTGTATCCAACCAGCTGAATTAAAACAAAAGTTTAACTGTGTGAGATGAATCTACAAATTGCAAAGCATTTTAACAGACATTTTTCTTCTAATTTTTATTATGGGATATTTATTTTTTCACTATAGGCCTCAATGGACTCCAAAATGTTTCCTTGTAGATTCCACAAATGAAGTCTTTATAACCTGCTGAAACAAAAGAATGGTTTAACTCTTCGAGATAAATTTTCACATGGCAAAACGTTTTCACAAATAGCTTATTTCTACTTTTTATTGTGGGAGGTTCTCTTTTTCTTTATAGGCCTCAGTAAGCTCTGAAATGTCCCGTCATAATTCTACAAAATAGTAGTTCTGATGGACTGAATCAAAAGAAATGTATAGCTCTGTGAGATGAATCCATACATAGCAAAATATTTTCACAGATAGCTTGTTTCTAGTGATCATGACAAGATATTCCATTTTCTACTATAGACTTCAATGAGCTCTGAATTGTTCTTTCCTAGGTTTTACAAAAAAAGTTGTTCCTACTGGCTGAATAAAAGAAAGTTTTAACTCTGTGAGATGAATCCACACATCACAAAACAGTTTAAAAAAATCTTTCTTTCTAGTTTTTATTGTGGGATATTCGATTTTTCACTATAGGCCTCAATGGGCTCCAAAATATCCCTTCGTAGGTTCTACAAAAAGAGTGTTTCCAATCGGCTGAATCAAGAAAAGGGTATAGCTCTGTGAGATGAATCATACATCCCAAAGCGTTTTCACAGATAGCCTGTTTCTAGTTTTTATTGTGAAATATATATATATATATATACCATAAGCCTCAGTGGGCTCCAAAATGTCCCTTCATAGACTCTACAAAAAAAAGTGTTTCTAACATGGTGAAGTAAAACAAAGGTTTACCTCTGTGAGATGAATCCACACAAAAGAAAGTGTTTTTACAGATAGCTTGTTTCCAGTTTTTATTACAGTTTATTCGGTTTTTTGCTATAGGCCTCAATCTGCTTTCAAATGTCCCTTCATAGGTTCAACAAAAAGAGTGATTCCAACAGGCTGAATCAAATGGGAGGTTTCATTTTGTGAGATGAATCTCTCTCTAGTTTTAATCATGGAATATTCAGCTTTTCAATATAGGCCTCAATGGGCTCCAAAATGTCCCTTCATAGATTCTACAAGAAGAGTGTTACCAACCAGCTGAATCAAGAAAATGGTATAATTCTGTGATATAAATCCATACATCACAAAGCATTTTCACAGATAGCTTGCTTCTAGTTTTTATTGCAAAATATTTGTTTTTTTACTATAGGTCTCAATGGGCTCTGAAATGTCTCTTTGTAGACCCTAAAAAAGAAGTGTTTCCAAACTGCTGAATTGAAAGTTTTATCTCTGTGAGATGAATCCACACATCACAAAGTGGTTTCACCAATAGCTTCTTTCTAGTTTTTATTGAGGGATATTCAAGTTTTTACTATAGGCGTCAATGGGCTTTGAAATGTCCCTTCACAGACTCTACAAAAACAGTGATTTTATCCAGCTCAATCAAAAGAAAGGTTTTCCTCTGTGAGATTAATCCACACATCACAAAGTGTTTTCACAGGTAGCATTTTTCTAGTTTTTAATGACGAGATATTCAGTTTTTTACTATAGGCCTCAATGGACTTTGAAATGTCCCTTTGTAGATTTTACAAAAATCTTCAGTGTTTCAAAACTGCTGAATGAAAATAAATGTTTAACTCTGTGAGATACATTTACATATCACAAAGCATTTTAACAGATAGCTTGTTTCCAGTTTTTATCATGGGATATTCAGTTTTTCACTATAGGTCTCAATAAGTTCTGAAATTTCCCTTCGTAGATTCTACAAATAAAGTGTTTCCAACTGGCTGAATTGAAAGAAAGATTTAAGACTTTCAGATGAATCCACACATTGCAAAGCAGATTCACCAGATATATTGTTTCTAGTTTTTATGGTGGGATATTCTATTTTTCACTGTAGGCTTCAACGACCATCAAAAGGTCACTTCATAGATTTTACAAAAAGAGTGTTTCCAACCAGCTGAATCTAAAGAAAGGTGTAACTCTATGAGTTGAATCCACACATTGCAAAGTGTTTTCACAAATGGCTCTTTTCTAGCTTTTATCACAGGATATTTGTATTTTTACTATAGGCCTCAATCTCTCTGAAATGTCCTGTTGTAGATTCTACCATAGAGTGTTTCTAACCTGCTGGATCAAAAGAAAAGTTTAACTCTGTGATATGTTGGCACACATCACTCAGTGTTTTCACACATAGCTTGTTTCTGGTTTTCATCATGTGATATTTGGTATTTTACTATAGGCCTCAATTGGCATTGTAATGTCTTTTCATAGATTCCTAAGAAATTGTGTTCCCAACTGGCTGAATCAAAACAAAATTATAACTCTCTGAGATAAAACCACACTTCACAGCGCATTTTCACAGATAGCTTTTTTCTAGTTTTTATTATGGCATATTCGGTTTTTCACTATAGTCATCAAATGCCTCTGAAATGTTTCTTCATAGATTCTACAAAAATAGTGTTTTCAAACTGCTGAATCAAAAGAAAGGTTTAACTGTGTGAGACAAATCCACACATTGCAACGCATTTTCACAGATAGCTTGTTTCTAGTTTTTATCATGGGATATTCATTTTTTCATCATAGGACTCAATGTCCCTTTGTAGATTCTACAAAAAGAGTGTTTCCAACCTGGTAAATTAAAAGAAAAATTTACCTCTGTGAGATGAATTCGTACATCACAAAGCATTTTCACAGGAAGCTCTTTTCTAGTTTTTTCACAGGATATTCAGTTTTTCACTATAGGACTAAAAGAACTCTGAAATGTCCCTTCATACATTCTACAAAAGAAGTGTTTCCAACCTGCTGAATTAAAAGGAAGGTTTAATTCTTTGAGATGAATTCACACATCACAACACGTTTTCACAGATAGCTTGTTTCTGCTTTTATCGCAGGGTATTTGGTTTTTCTCTATAGGCCTCAATAAGCTCCAAAAAGTCCTTCATAGATTCTACAAAAAGAGTATTTCCAACTAGCTGGATCAAAAGAAAGGTTTAACTCTCTGAGATAAATTTACACGTAGCATAGCATTTTCACAGAGAGCTTTTTTCAGGATTTTATCATAGGATATTCAGTTTTTCACTGTACTCCTCAATGGACTCTGAAAAGTCCCTTTGTGGATTCTACAAAAAGAGTGTTTCCAACTGGCAGGATCAAAAC